>NC_000015.10:41458692-41761722 GCF_000001405.40 Homo sapiens | reverse complement strand
GGTATTATTGAAAATTGATCCACTCTTTCTTTAAACACAGCTAAGGCCTATACAATTTCTCTAATGAAAAAAAACTTAATCTGACATCTTAAGAGAATTTTTAAATTCCATTAACAATTGTTGATGTTTCAGAAATTATTTTTTGTTAAACTGTAAGAGGATTTCTGGCTTACACTTTTAAGGAATGTGACCATGATTATTTCCAAAGAGCATCACTGAATGGTAGTAGGTATTCCACCACTGCGAGGAGATACAAAACACCTGTGCTCTGCTTAGATTTTAATAATCAACTTTAAGATCAACTCCTAGTCTAACCAAAATCTGGTTGAAATAACTGCTCTAGAGGGATATGAATGCTTATCCTGTACTCCTCCACCTTCTACTTAAAAACTGTTTAAACGAAATTACTTTAGATATTCTACATGCAAAATTAAAACTTCTGCTCCCTTGAATATTTCAGGTTTTCTTTTAAAATGACTGTCAACTGTTAAGCATATTAAAATATCACTTATGCTGTGCTTTATGCTGTGATAACCTGTACTAAGTGCTATCAAGAACACCAATGTAACGAGAATGTGGTCAACATGGCTAACCAGAGTTTCTGACTCTATCTGAAGAAAGGATAGCTGTGCCAATAAAGAACCTGACTTTTGCCCGGGTGCAGTGGCTCATGCCAGTAATCCCAGCACTTTGGGAGGCTGAGGTGGGCGGATCACTGGAGGTCGGGAGTTCAAGACTAGCCTGACCAACATAGAGAAACCCCGTCTCTACTAAAAATACAAAATACAAAATTACTACTAATCTACTAAAAATACAAAATTAGCCAGGTGTGGTGGCGCAAGCCTGAAATCCCAACTACTCAGGAGGCTGAGGCAAGAGAATCGCTTGAACCCATGAGGCAAAGGTTGCGGTGAGCCAAGATCGTGCCATTGTACTCCAGCCTGGGCAACAAGAGCAAAACTCCGTCTCAAAAGAAAAAAAAAAAAATCTGACTTTCAATGAAAACCTACTGTGACTTAGCATAATGATTTTCCCCCTAAGGGATTTACTGGGCATTCACTAGTCCATATTCATCTGTTACATTTAAGCAGCTCTATTTCAATCTCCCTTATATGTCAGTGGATTATCTTTCTCATATCATCGGTAAGAATCTCTTAGTCAAGCTCTTACTGTCATTTACACAGAACACTTACTCGAGTAAGAATGAGACTTTTGGAAACCTTGGAAGAATGAAGTAATCCCAATGTGATCTTTAATTTCTCAAAGAGATCCCTCATTTCACCACGCCGCCGCCGCTCATTGGCAGTGTGTGTCCGGCGATAATAAGCAAACGCTTCTGCTTCTTTCTGTAGTTTGTCACTCCAGTAATCAGGCTTCAGTTTTAGAGGAATTGGTGGAGCCTGTCCAAACAAGATTGCCTCCTAAACATCTTGAACATGTAGTTGGCCCTCTTACTCTGTTTCAAATGACACTGCCCTATTTCAGGCACTCATTACCTTTTGTCTGGACTGTTGTAACAGCCTCTCAATTGGTCATCTTACTACCAGTCTATCCTTCCTTCAAATCTAACTCTTACAATGCCAACAGTGTAATTTCTAATACATGCTAAAGTGATCTTACCAGCTCTCAGTTCAAATTTCAGTGATTTTCAAATGAGGAAGAAATTGTATATGTTACAGGCGTACGAGATCTGAAAGAGCTTAAGTAATTTATTGTATTACTAAAACTTGTTTTCATGATACAAATTACATTAAATGTTTTTCAAAAAATACTGTAAGATCCTCCTCAATCTGGTAAAAAATCAACTGCCACTCTTCTAAATCACCTTTCTCTCCAACCATTCCTATCTGCTAGAAATTCCCAAAATATACTACACAATCCCACACCTCCCTGACATTACACAGGCTTTTTACCTGTACCTAGATTACTTATCCCACCTCTTACCTAAACCCCCATAACATTTAAAACTTAACATTTAAAACTTAACACTTAAAACTCAAACTCTGCACTTTTTCAGGAAAGTCCTTCTTGATCCCCAGAAAGGCTTAAAGCCTCCTTTCTCTATCTTATTTATTCTATTACAATCTTTGCATATAGGACTTAAAATATATGAAAAGGCTGGCCAGGCACAGTGGCTCACACCTGTAATTTCCAGCACTTTTGGACGCCAAGGTAGGGGATCACTTGAAGCCAGGAGTTTGAGACTAACACAGGCAACACAGTAAGACTTCATCTTTACAAAAAAAAAAAAAAAAAAATACACACACACACACACACACACACATATTAAGAAGCTTATAATGAAAAGCAACTGTGCCCTGAACTTGTACCTGGATCCTCAGAAACAATCACTTTTTAATTCTTTTAGCAGCTTCTTCTAGTTCTTAAATCTATATCCTAAACCAAAAATAGTAACATAAGCTTATTTTTTTCCATTTTCAATGCTATCTATTGACTTCTTGCTATGCAGAAGAGGATTTAGCTCACATCACTCTTATGTCTTACCATCTTATCATCCCAATATAGTTACATCACTACTTTTAGCTGTTCTACTGATCCCTTAGCAACTTGAATTCTACCTTAATTTCTTATTTCATCAACAATAAACAATCTATCTTGCCTTTCTACTTTGTAAAATGAGGGTATCAGCACCTGTATCCTTCCCTTTATTTCTTCTTCCCTCTCTCACCTCCCAATTTGTCATTTGTATTCTCACATTTTCAAGACTGAAATTAAGTCTTCTATATTTTAATCACAGGTTATAAACGTTAAAAAAGCATCAACATTAACTATTATGACATTATAAACACTACTCATACAAAGTGAATAATATTTCCTGTCCTGTGCAGTTTCTTGGTTTTGTGATTTTTCCCTCTGATGTTTCTAATTGTCTCTTTTTCTGACACTGTTTGCTTAATCGTAACTCTGACCGTAACCAAAAACTCTAATGTAAAAGCCACTGCCTTTCTAAAGTTAAACCCATTATGCATTAACATAGAATGGGAGAATAAAACAGCCAAGAAGACAGAAAGAAAAGCAATATAAACATTAAATATAGCAAAGTGCAGCAAGAATTTGCATGTAATTATTTGGGTACAAAACAATGAATTATGTAAATAAGCTATTATGAAAATTCTTGTTATATCTGAAAAATGCTTCAGAATAAATTTTTAAAAGCCAAATATAATGATATATGCAAATAATTACAACCATGCAAATACGCTGTATCATATAAGTCCCAAATCAGATCAAAACCAAACAAACTGCACTATGATTTTTTAAAGGAACCAAATGCCACCCTCTACTTCAACCCAACCCCCATCATTGTCTTTTTTTAATCTTTTAAATTAAGATAGAAAAACAAGTGGAAAACAATTTAAACAAACCAAACTCTCCTCCATGCCTACTGTTGGTTAGGATAAACAAAAAACCCTGCTTAATTATGTTACTATGATATAAACCAAAAAGATTAAGAAAATTAAAGGTTTATTTTTTCATGGATCCCTAACTGCTAGCCATTTTGCAGAGCATAGTTTTTTAAATCACTTAAAATCATGAGCCCAAGCAAGAAAGAATGGCACCTTGTTTTACATCAGACCATTACAAGAACAGTTTTCAAATAACCACATATATTCTCATAAATTTCATATCCATTTTTAACTCCTCTACATTAGTCTATCCTCTGAGGAGAAGAATTAAAAGGGAAAAAAAGGACATTAGCAGTATAATTTGATTAAGGAGAAAAAACTGATTATATTAACTCACTGGCAAAAATAGCCCTGAGAAAAAATCGTGGCTAATATAGCTAATGTTGTTTCAACCCTAAGATAAATGTTAACAATTTTATTCAATGAGTAATTATCACTAAATATATCCTAAATACCTTTCGACTCCTTTCAGCTGCTTTTTCATCTGCAGAGATGTGAGTACAGGACCTGGATAAAGACAGGATTTTTCAGTGTCTTACTGAAATTTAATAATCTAAGACCTATTTCACAGCTACAACCAAACCATTCCAAATTACAACCAGTTTCTTTTTCCCAAGGTGTGATATATGGCCACATTATTTACTTGACATTATATATTTTCTCTAAAAGTGTACAAATAGTCACTAAAACTTCAAATTACTTTGTACAATCATGAAATATTTAATATACAAAACCATATAAACAAATTTAAAGTTGTCCTTCAGTATCCAGGGAAGACTCGTTCCAAAACTTCCAGCAGTATCTTTGAATACTCAAGTCCCTGATATAAAATGGCATAGTATTTGCATATAACATAGGCACCTCCTCCTGTATACTATAAATCATCCCTACATTACTTATAACACCTAGTACAATGTAAAAACTAAGTAAACAGTTGTTATACTGTATTGTTTAGGGAATAATGACATGAAAATAAAGTCTATACATGTTCAATACAGATGCAATTTTTCTTCTTCCAAGTATTTCCAATCCACAGTTGGGTGAATCCACAAATACATGCTTTCTATATTTGTGGATACATGCTTTTCCATTATAAACTTGGTCTTCCCATCCGTGAAGGAGGACCAAGCGTATAATGAACACCCACATATGAACCATCTAGCTTGAGAAATAATACATCTCAAAAATACAGAAGGTTCTATGTGCAGTCTACTCAATCACATTCCCTTCCTTCCTTCTCAAAAGTAACCATTCTAAGACAGAGTTTACCATGCACACTTTTGTAAGTCTTACTAGAAATATATATATATATATCTAAACAAAAAAAGTACCACTTTAAATATTATATACTATACTATATCTTTCTGCAACTCATTTGTTTCATTCAATATTCCACCTGAAGGCCAGGCACAGTAGCTAATGCCTGTAATCCCAGAACTTTAGGAGGCCAAGGCACGAGGACTGGTTGAGGCCAGGAGTTCAAAATTAGCCTGGCCAACATAGCAAGACTCCGTCTCTACAAAAAATATCGAAAATAAAAGTACAAATAAATTACACCTGAGATATGTTGATACGCAGAGTTCCAATTCCAATTGTTTTAATTGTTATATAGTTATATAGTATTCCACAATGTGAATTTCCCCGAATTTTTTTTTCAGAATGTTAGTAGTTATTTAGGTTGTTTCTAAATCTTCATAATAGCAAACAATGCTGCAATGGACAGTCCCATACACGACCCCTTGTGAAAATTTTTCTGGGGCATAGGAGCAGAGGAAAGATATGCACACCTTCAACTTCAGTAACTGTTAAACTGGTAATAACAATGTACACTCCCACTTGCAGTATGCGAGTTCCCATTGCTCCACACCTAGATAACTGTACCACCAGAAATCTCCACTTTTGAAGTCTTATGGGTGTGAATTGGTAAAGTCACTGTGGTTTTATCTGTATTTCCTTAATTACTTGTGAGGCTGAACAAATGTACATGTGTTTGCTGGGCTTTTAGGTTTCTTCTTCTTCTGTCAACTGTCTCTAATATCCATTACTTTTCTACTGGGTCATCTTTTTCTTACTGACTTGTAACAATTTTTTTATACCCTTGACACTAATCCTTTGTTAGTTAATACGTATGGCAAACACTTTCTTCATATCTGAGTTTGGCTTTTCACTGTTTTCACGGTGTTCTGACAGAATTTTTCAATTCTTTTAACTTGTATTTTTAATTAAATTTAAACAATTAATTTAAACAAATCTAATTAAATCTTTAATTTTTTTTTTTGAGATGGAGTCTCACTGTGTCTCAGGCTGGAGTACAGTGGCACAGTCTCAGCTCACTGCAACCTCCACCTCCCAGGTTCAAGCAATCCTCCTGCCTTAGCCTCCCGAGTAGCTGGGACTACAGGCGTGTGCCAACAAGCCCGGCTAATTTGCATATTTTTAGTAGAGACAGGGTTTCGCCATGTTGGCCCGCCTGGTCTTGAACTCCTGAATTCAGGTGATCCACCCACCTCGGCCTCCCAAAGTGCTGGAATTACAGGCGTGAGCCACCACGCCCAGCCTAAATCTTTAATTTTTTATTTTAATCTGTTCCCTTACAGTGTTTGTGCTGTGTGTTGGTTATTCTTGGCCCTTTACTATTGCAATCCATTAACATGTTATCTCTCTCCATTTGTTGAATTCCTCTTCGTCTTTCAATACAATTTTGTAAGAAAAGTCTTACACAGCTTGTCAGAGAATGTTCTCACACGGCATTTTTCCTGTTACTATTGCAAATATTTTTTAGAGTTTTTGTTTGTTGCCATTGTTTACAAACTCAGTTTTAGTATACAGAACTCATTATCCCAGACTAAACTCATTAAGTCTAATTAAGTTTTTAAGGGATTTAAATTCTTTCAAGTTTAGCCAGTAGGTAACTGAAGTAGCCTGCAAACAGCTCCGGACTGAAGAAAACTATTAGTCCTACTTTCTACTCCTTCAACTTTCTCAGCATCAGTAGGAACGAAGAATTATTCTTTCTCAACTCATAGCTACTTTCATATCATCGTAGTTAATGAGATGACAGGAAAAGTACAATGTCTGGCACAAAATATCTTCCTTCTCTACTCTTTCTCACAGCCCAATCCATAATCAATATAAGGCTTACTAAAACAGAAAATGAAATAAATTTTCCTGAGCAAGTCATCATTCCTTTCATATTTTCATCTCACCAGTGAAACAGGAAGAAAAATTTTCCTACCTGTATCTCACCTGTTCAACTAGTAAAGTAACCAAATTTAGAATGTAATGCCTATTCTTAAATGATAAAAGAAACTAACCTTTGTTGAGTAGTCCACTTATATCAGTTATTATGCTAGTTGCACATACTACCTCATTTAACACTTCAAATGGGGGCATTTTCCTCATTTCATAGGTAAAGAATCTGAGGTTCAGAGAGATTAAAGATTTGCCCAAGGTTAAATACCTACAAACTAGCAAAACTAATATTTTATAATACCAGTCTATCGGGCTCCAAAAGCATGTTATTCACATTTACACACTGCCTCCTACCAACGACCAAAGAAAATTAATTACCCAAATTCTAGTTCCTCTCCTCATCTATACTAATCAGAAAAAAAGCTAGAGGAAGAAGGAACCAGATGAGTTACCCAGAGCTCCTGAACAGAACATCTCATTTTGTTTCTGGTTACAAAACTACAAAAACAACAATCCAAAGAGAAATAAGACTTACGGCTGTTTGAATGACTGTGTGTGGGCCGCTGTGGTCTTCAGGTGAGCAACATTAATTTCCTCTGAGAGCTCTTCTACAGTCTCAATGTCCACGTGCTCCTCATCATCCTCAATGTATTCTACACAGTTATTCTGAAATACATCATTATAAAAGTAAATAATGTATTGAGTGGCAAGCACACCTAAACTTTTCAAATGTTTGTTCCCCTTATAAAACCAACTAATGCCAGACATTCATGTTATATCATGAGTACTGATAATCCTAAGATTGTTAGTCATAATAAGGAATTAAGACAGAAAGATAACATATCATTAGAATTAACAATCAAGAACTATAAGTCATATATATATGTGAGCCGTGGTGGCTCACACCTATAATCCAGCACTTTGGGAGGCCCAGGCAGGTGGATCGTTTTGAGCTCAGGAGTGCAAAACCAGCCTGGGCAACATGGCAAAACCCTGTCTCTACAAAAAATACAAAAATTAGCCAGACATGGTGGTGCTCGCCTATAATTACAGCTACTCGGAAACCTGAGGTGGGAGGATTGCTTGAGGCCAGGAGTTCGAGGCTGCAGTGACCCAAGACTGCACCACTGCACACCAGCCTGGGAGACAAGAGTAAGACTGTCTCAAAACAAATTAAATAAAAAATAAATAAACAGACATAATTAAACTTAACAGCATCCTCAAAGGACTGCACTGATGCTTCAGTGTTATTTCTAGTGGACAAAATTCAGGCACAGATATATTAAGGTTTCATAAATCTTAAGATTAAATAACAGTAAAATAAAATTTGGTGAAAGAAATATAGAAAGGAGAAAAATTCAAGTGCCACTTTAAGGGGGCTTCATGACCAACATCCTATCAGATGCCCACAAATCAACACACATTAGCATACACAGGCAGGTATAGAAATAGGATACAGCCTAGTCCTGCAACTCTCTCAAAACCACAAAATGAGAGCTTGTAAGGAATTTCAGGTTTCAAAAAAGCCCACGATTGCTGTATTTCCTTATTATACCAAAAAAGGAGTCAAAGTGTTTACTGAGCACCTGTCACAGAAACTTGCTAAATATTTTATGTAACACTAGAGTTATGTGGATATATAGGATAAGCAGATCTTTTTAAGTCCACCTTTACAAATAGTATTTGCTTGCAACATTTCTGTGCCCCCTCAAAAAAAAAAAAAAAGTGTTTACTATGCCAGAAACATAGTAAATGAGCCCACCTCCCGGGATTCAAACGATTCTCCTGCTTCAGCCTCCCGAGTAGTTGGGACTCTAGGACTGTGCCACCACACCTGGCTAATTTGTGTATTGTTAGTAGAGATGGGGTTTCACCATGTTGGCCAGGCTGGTCTCAAACTCCTGACCTCAGGTGATCCGCCTGCCTCAGCCTCCCAAAGTGTTGGAATTACAGGCGAGAGCTACAGCGCCTGGCATAACTGCAGTATTTCTAAATAATATTCCAATAACTTCCACAAGGAAGATTTAAATTAAAGAAGCTATTTACAACTTCCCTCACAGTATTCCAATGCTAATCATAAAGGTAACGTAGGTGTGAGATGTGCAAATAAAAACAGTGTAGACTTTAGATTTTAGAGATCACTTAATATGACCTTTAAAAAAAAAGTCAGTATAACTTGTTTGCTTGTCAAATTCCCTATTAGTACATTCAAGCAATGCCTCCTTGTATGATTAAGATACTTCAGGCCGGAGGCAGTTGCTCATGCCTGTAATCCCAGCACTTTTGGGAGGCCAACGTGGGTGGATCACCTGAGGTCAGGAGTTCAAGACCAGCCTGGCCAATATGGTGAAACCCTGTCTTTACTAAAAAAATACAAAAATTAGCTGGGCATGGTGGTGCCCACCTGTAATCCCAAGCTACTCGGGAGGCTGAGGCAGAAGAATCGCTTGAACCGAGAAGGCAGAGGATGCAGTGAGCCGAGATGGCACCACTGCACTCCAGCCTGGGCGACAAAGCGAGACTCTGTTAAAAAAAAAAAAAAAAAAAAAAAAACTTTAAAGGTTCTATTATGTAAGTTCCACTAATAGTAATAGTTTTCACTGGTTTTAAAGTTGAACTGTTTTTTGGTCTCATGTTAACTTGGGCTGACTTACAGTGTGAGACTGCAAAAAACACAAAAAAATCAGCAATATAACTCCTAAAGTCAATGAATTTACATCCATTCTTGAAAAAGATTAGGCTATGGAGAGAAGGTATAAGTCAAATGAATACAGAATCATCCAATTTTAGAGCAAGATCCTCCTTTATAAATGAGACAATGGAGGTACTCAAATAACCAATATAAGAACATTAAGACCAGCCTGGCCAAGATGGTGAAACCCCATCTCTACGTAAATACAAAAATTAGCTGGGGCGGTGGCAGGCTCCTGTAATCTCAGCTACTCAGGAGGCTGAAGCAGGAGAATTGCTTGAGCCCCAGAGGTGGAGGTTGCAGTGAGCTGAGTTCGCACCACTGCACTCCAGCCTGGGCGACAGAGTAAGACTCCATCGCTAAAATAAAATATTTCAACATTTTAGATTTTTAAAACAGTAATCTTTTTGTCTTATTTTATGTGCATAAAGCAGTTAAGCAATAACAGAAAAGGACCAGATAACACAGAGGCAGAATGAATCTCAAGGAAGTGAGATTGTAAAACAAGCAGTTGTATGACAATCAGTGCAGACGGCTGTCATCTGCTCCTGAAAAGAAGGACACAGTTTAGATTTTAGGGCACTCCACAGGCAGCTGGTTATGATCTCCCCATGTTTTACATCAGACCTTATGTCAGGGGTCAGCAAACCACAGCCCACTAACAACTTCTTTTTTTTTTTTAACCCGAGACAGAGTTTTGTTCTTGTCGCCCAGGCTGGAGTGCAATGGCGCGATCTGGGCTCACTGCAACCTCAGCCTCCCGGGTTCAAGCGATTCTCCTGCCTCAGCGTTCTGAGTACTGGGATTACAGGCACCCATCACCACACCTGGCTAATTTTTTGTATTTTTAGTAGACACGGGGTTTTGTCATGTTGGCCAGACTAGTCTCAAACTCCTGACGTCAGGTGATCCACCCACCTCGGCCTCCCAAAGTGCTGGGATTATGGGTGTGAGCCACCGCACCTGGACTTTTTTACTAAAGTTTTAATGGAATACAGCTGCTTTTATACTACAACAGCAGTCAATTAGTCGCAACAGAGAGCCATCTAGCTCTCTGCAAAGTCTAAAACTATTTACTATCTGGCCTTTTACAGAAAACGTTTGTACAACTCCTGCACTGTATCAATACCTGACAGTTACTTATTTAAGTAAATACAACAACCCTAAATAGGAATCCTATAAAAAAAACTTCAGGAAAATAATAAAAATAGGCCATAAAGGTCATATTACAAAGGACGAAGACCAAAGTCTAGAATATAAATTCCAGAGACTAAATATTTAATTTTTGGATATAAAAGCAACTCAAGGCAAAATGGTACTAGAATATGATGGTATTTTCCAGTTTTTCTCCAAAAACAAAAACATCTCTCTATATGCAAGTGAATAAGTTCTCCTCTAGTTCTAAGGTCACCCATTCCCAGTTTCTGATTAACATCTACCAGAGAAGCTACAACCACCTCACATAGAAAACGTCATAGAAATTGACTGAGGTCAAATGGGAGTAGTGGTTTCGGGATTTTAAAAATCTAACTCGGTAGGGACTCTCAAGCACCTATCCCCCAAATATTTAAGCCAGCCTTCCCATAAAACCAGACAAGTCTCAAAGAATAAAAGCTCAATAAATGATGCTTGATTGACACAGCCTAAAGAACTACTAAGCCATTTAAGTCATAATCTTAAACCTAGGCATCCAATTAAATGTATTATGCCTTAGTGCTCTTCTGAAAAAGCTTCTGTCTTTAATAAATCATTTAAATCCTTTAGGTTTCAGTCACAACAAAAATGGGCTCACCACCTTTTCTACATCATCAACCTCCTCACTCTGGTAGTCAGAAACAACATCCACAATTTCATCAATAGAATCATCAGTTTTCTCATTATCATCTTCATCATCTTCTTCCAAATCCAAAACAGTGAAGTCAGCACTGCTTCTCCCACCCTTCTTCTCTTGCTTTGGTTGTATCTGTTCTCCAGGTAGCAGTAAGTGACCCTGAAAATGTCCATTCCCTCTGCTGCTTTTTGCAGCTCTCCTAGGAACAATGGAGAAGGCTGAAGGATTAGAAATCCTACTCCAAGAATCACATTCAGTTTTCAAAACTCTGGCATCTTCAGTAATTCCACTTTTTCCAAGTAAGTCAGAGATGCCTTGTTCTTGCTGAAACACATCTGAATTTTCCTGACATGTCTTTGTTTCTTTAATTAACTGCTCGTCTGCCTCTTTCTTACATTCCTGTGAAGCTCCAACACATTTCCTGGTTAAGGGGCCCTTCAGATGTTTTCTCCATCTTTCCCTGTCTTTCTCCAGAGAGTCTCCACATTCCTTCTCTTTGGCCTCTGGCTGTAGATTAGATTGCTGCTCCATAACTTTGCTTCCTGACAATTCAAATTTACTTTCTTCCTTAAAGGTGACTGGAAATTCACTTGAGTTTTCTTCTGGATTGTCAAATCCTTTCTGCTGTTCCACCTTCACATCACCAAGTTTTTGATGCTGTACTTTACTTAAATTTTGGACTGTCTTATTACTGGCTTTTTCAGAAATGGTCCTAACTTCCAGAACAGCCACTTTTTCTTTGGAACTCTTACGATTCCTAGCCCCATATTCTTCATTAACATCTTTATAATCTTGATCTGTATGTGACCCAGTGATACAGGAATGCTCAGATGGTTTGACAGTTGCACAACCTTCTTCTGGAAGGCATTCTTCATCCAAATGATCACCCCTATCTTCCAAGGAATCATTCAGAGTTTCTTCTGAGGTAGCAGCTCCTGAGTTTTGTTTTATTACATTAGCCTCAGGGTCTACAGCCTCTCCTTCTGACTGTAGAACCTTCTTCGTTTCTTGCTCTCTTTTTATTGAGTTTGTTTCATCTTTCTGGTCTGGATTCTGAGATTCTCTCTTCATCTGAAGGGAAGCAACATGCTGAAGAATGGAGCTAGGAACAGGCTTTTGTCCTGGGAGCTGTAACAAGGCAAAACTACCAGACTGGAGAGGAATAAGACTGGCTGTACCAACAGGCTGTCCTCCTGAGCTATAAGTTATTTTGGTTTCAGAGCCTGTTTTACTTGCAAAGCTTTGTGGTTCAGGAGGAGAAATCCTCAGGGTCAATGTACCAGCCTGAGACACAAAACTAGCTCCAGAGGAAAGCAATGATGGTGCCTGAGTGATAACATTCACTGCTGAAGAAGACCCAACAGCTTGAATTACAGGATTCATGACAGAGAAAGCAGAGGACGAAGTGGAAGATGGCGGAGTCTCAGAGGGTTTGGAAGGAGCAGGTAACCGGATTCCCATCACAGACCCTGGTTTAAAAAATAAGAGAGAAATTTTTAAATCATGACTGCCCATATCAAGACTTCCAATGTTTGCTTTTCTTTTTGGAAAAGTAACTCTTAAGAGATGAAGAAAAACAATCTTGGTGTATTAACATACCATATGGCCAAGTGATTCAACAAAAGAAAAGTTCATAAAAAAGAACTTTATACCTGGGTTCCGAAACATGACAGGCTGTAAGTTGGGCTGGGTATTAGAGCCTCGAAGCTGATGCAAAGGTAGAAGCTGGACAATCTGCCCATTAGGGTGCCTGAATAAGTTCATTCCACTTGGACTCCTAACAGGCTGCAAGACCATCCGATGTCCCTGAAGTTGTGTGTTTGAGACAGGTCTAAGAGTAGGAGAACCCTGCTGCACTGGAATCAACAACAATCGAGGTCCAGCACGTTTCACTGTGTTAGGAGAGACCTGTGGAGTAGCCACTGGAATTTGAGCAGCATTTTCTGAAAAACAGGAAATGGAAACATGGTACCCAAATTCCCCTTTAACACACGTAGGAAAAAAAAGTATTCATAATATTTTTTAAGACACAGTCTTGCTTTGTTGCTCAGGCTGGAGTGCAATGACACAACCTCGACTGACTACAACCTCCGCACCTCCCTAGTTCAAGTGATTCTTCCACTTCAGCATACCGAGTAGCTGCGACTACAGGTGTGCACCAGCACACCTGGCTTATTTCTGTATTTTTGGGTAGAGACAGGGTTTCACCATGTTGGTGAGGCTGGTCTCAAACCCCTGACCTCAAGTGATCTGCCGTTCTCGGCCTCCCAAAGTGCTGAGATTACAGGCGTGAGCCACCGCGCCCAGTCTATATTTTTTTTTTTTTAAAGAGGCAGGGTTGCACTTGTCACCTTCAGTGCAGTAGCTCAATCATAGCTCACTGCAGTCTCAAACTCCTTGGTTCAAGAGATCCTCCTGCCTCAGCCTTCCAAGTAACTGGGACTACAGGGATGTGTCACTACACCTGGCTAATTATGTTATTCTTTGCAGAGACAGGGTCTTGCTTTGTTGCTCAAGCTAGTCTCAAACTCCTGGCCTCAAGTGATCCTGCCATCTCGGCCTTCCAAAGTGCTGGGACTGCAGCCATGAGCCACCATGCCCAGTCATTAAGGCACAGAATCTGACCTTGCTTCAAATAACGTCTAATTTGGATTATAAAGTTGCTGAAATTCTGTAGTTTCATAATACACTATTTATGGCTGAGAACAGCCAGACATTATGGAGCTTTACATTTAGAATGGTAAAAAATAGAGTATCAACTGTCAAGAGGCACATTTAAAGAGATAATACTTTTGCCTAAAGAAAAACATGGTTATCTCTCTAAATCTGGATTCCTGTTAAAGGGATCATTCATGATAAAATTATGCTTCAACTTCATTCTTTTGAGACAGCATCGCACTCTGTCACCCAGGCTAGAGTGCAGTGGTGGGATCACAGCTCACTGCCACCTCGAACTCCCAGGCTCAGCCTCCCAAGTAGCTGGGACCACAGGTGCACGCTTTTTTTTTTTTTTGTGGAGATGGAGTTTGCTATGTTGCCCAGGCTGGTCTGGAACCCCTGGGGCTCAAGCAATCCTCCTGCCTTGGCCTCCTAAAATGTTGGGATTATAGGTATGAGCCAATGTGCCTGGCCTCTTATGTTTTTAAATAAAATCCAGATTCTGCACAATTTAACTTTAAAATTAAAGCTCATAACACTTACTAGAGTTATGGGTCAATTTCTAAGCTTATACCACCTGAGGAAGATAAAGAACTAAAAATCCTTGGTTTATAAAGGGCTTTTGGTTTTTAAAATTCACTAACAAATATGCAAAGCTTAAAGGTTTGTGGGAATTATTTTTCAGAAGGAAAAAATTACTTAAGCCCCCCAAAATGGAATGAAATTAAGAGACATCAAAGAAGCAGGGAAATAAACCTGGCTTAGAAGAGGCAAAAGATGTTTTTAAAACAAAAAGAAAAAGCAGAAATTTAATGCAGAAGATGTGAATTAATAGAGATTTCAAACCATTAATAGTACTTTAAAGATGCCCTTTCCTGATTGGAAGACATATTTCGAAATACTAAAGACATAGGAAAAAACAGTATGAGTAATCTAGATTTTTTTTTTTAGATCAAAGAGATAAAGAGGTAGGAATCATGGTAATAGTAAGCATAAATGAAACTGGTCTAACATTACTATTCAAATTGGTGAGCTTATTTAACATTAATAAATAAAAATTGGTAGGCTTATTTAACATTAATAAATAAAACTTAAAAAGTCTGCTACTGAAGAGAAAAAAAAATCAAACAAATGAAACAAAACAAAGACTTTAGCTTAACGTGATTCTCTATCAAACAGGCACTCTGCCCACACAAAAAAATATCAAATTTCAAAAAGAAAGTCATGGTCATAACATTTAGATGAAAAATTATATAGAAAATCCAAGACTACTCTTAAAAATTAAATAAAACACAAAACCAAACTGTTCATGAAAATAATCATGTGCAATTTAAACAAAAAATATTCATCTACCTTTTTTTTTTTTTTTTTTTTTTTGAGACGAAGTCTCGCTCTGTTGCCCAGGCTGGAGTGCAATGGCAAGATCTCGGCTCACTGAAACCTCCGCCTCCCGGGTTCAAGCGATTCTCCTGCCTCAGCCTCCAGAGTACCTAGGATTACAGGCATGCAACCACCACATCCGGCTAATTTTTTTTGTATTTTTAGTAGAGACAGGGTTTCACCATGTTGGCCAGGCTGGTCTTAAACTCCTGACCTCAGGTGATCCATCCTCCTCAGCCTCCCAAAGTGCTGGGATTACAGGCGTCAGCCACTGTGCCCAGCCATATTAATCTTACGTGAATTAAGAAACAAATATGTTAATGCATTCTTAATTTTTCAACTTTTTTCTTCAAATTAACTTTTAGAGAGTGATTCAAAAACATTCAGAGAATGAAAGCAATCTTTAATATACACATTAAATATGTGATGGTTTACTTAACTGTGTGCAAGGAAAAGGAAGGTAAAGAGGAAAAGGAGAAAAATCAAATTTTAAAAGCACAGATATCAAAGTGCCAACAGGGGATCCTCTTTATAAATAGAGAAAAAAATTACACACACTTCCTTAAGTAGCAGTTACCTGAGTCAGGTCTATTTATTTTAAAAGATTAGAAAACTTGTTAAATGTTAGTGTTTCCTGGCAGGATGCAGTGGCTCATGCCTGTAATCCCAGCACTTTGTGGGGCCAAGATGCAAGGACTGCTTGAGCCCAGGAGTTCAAGACCAGCCTGGACAACACAGCGAGACCTCGCCTCTACTGAAAATCAAAAAAATTAACCAGGTGTGGTGGCACAAGCCTATGATCCCAGCTACTCGGGAGACTGAAATGGGAGGATCACTTGAGCCTGAGATGTAGAGGCTGCAGGGAGCCATGATCATGCCACTACACTCCAACCAGGATGACAGGGCAAGACCCTGTCTGTCTCTCTCTATATATAGATATATATTTTTTTTAAATAAAAATACATTTTTATTAAAAATATATCTACATGTTTTTCCTCAAATGGTACTATAGAAGATATTTTATGTACAGTCTTTGATGATATATCTTTAATGTTACTCTAGTATTTTCTAGCTTTCTTCTTTAAAAAAAAAGACAGCAAAGCCATGTGCTCAGAATATATAGTAGCTAACAGGAATTTAATGATTTTTTAATTATTATAGTTTCCAGTGTATTTCTTTATAGGGTTAACCTCTATTATGCCGAGTAATGCTGGTTTCCAATTAATGCTGTCTCTTTTTTTTTTTTTTTTTTTTTTTTTTATTGATCATTCTTGGGTGTTTCTCGCATAGGGGGATTTGGCAGGGTCATAGGACAATAGTGGAGGGAAGGTCAATGCTGTCTCTTTTAAAAACACATTTACAGCCAGGCGCTGTGGCTCACGCCTGTAATAATCCTAAGCACTTTGGGAGGCCAAGGCAGGCCGATCATGAGGTCAAGAGTTTAACACAAGCCTGGTCAACATGATGAAACCCCGTCTCTACTAAAAATATAATATACACCACTGCGTGGTGGCGGGCACCTGCAATCCCAGCTACTCGGGAGGCTGAGGCAGGAGAACCACTTGAACCTGGGAGGCGGAGGTTGCAGTGAGCTGAGATGGTGCCACTGCACTCCAGCCTGGGCAACAGAGCGAGACTCCGTCTCAATAAATAAATAAATAAACAAACACACACACATTTACATATAAAAAAGCAGTTGATTAAAATAAAAATATTAGGTAGGTGACAGTACAGATGGGACTCAGCAAAATATGTGAATGCATATCCTGAATAACTGAAGTCTGAGAAACAACAGAACTACAGAAGAATAAACTACTATATTGTTTCATGAAAGAATTAAGAGTACAGAAACAGGCTGGAATCCATATGGTTTAGAAGACATGATCTGTTAAAATATAACAGATATGCACCTTGAGATTCAATAGGAAATAAAAGTAGCTTCACTAATGACTTCACTCCCAAAAGTATGTATCAGATTAATCATGATTTATGGGCTTATTTGTGGGAAGAAGCACAAGACAGACACATTTAATATTGTGATTCACAAGCCGGACGTGGTGGCTCACGCCTGTAATCCCAGCACTTTGGGAGGCCAAGGTGGGAAGATCACGGAGACTGAGATCAGCCTGACCAAAATGGAGAAACCTCGTCTCTACTGAAAATACAAAAAATTAGCTGGACGTGGTGGCATAAACCTGTAGTCCCAGCTACTCGGGAGGCTGAGGCAGGAGAATCATGTGAACCCAGGAGGCAGAGGTTGCAGTGAGCTGAGATTCTGCCATTGTACTCCAGCCTGGGCAACAGAGCAAGACTCCATCTCAAAAAAATATATATATATATACACACACACACATATATATATATAGATTCACTTTTCCCTTCAACAGAACTTTAACTTACAAACTAACTCCCAATCTGTTCTTCCATAAAAGACAGAGAGGAATTTGGACCACATCACTAAATGCAAAAATATTTAAGAGAAAACATCAATAACCAAGACAGAATTGCTATTAGTTAATTATTTCCCCTCAAATCCTGCAAAGTCTCTTGCTCTTTTCCATATTAGTTCCTCTATGAGTAGATTAAAAGAACCACTTACTTTAGCTAGTTGCATCTGGATATAAAAACTACACAAAGTGTAGGATATTCCTATTTCAAATTCACTCAACCTAAGCCAATAAAAGAAATATTTTAACTAAAAAGTTTATAAAAATATTAGAGCCCTAAACAAATATGCCTCCTTGTTTCTATTTCAATCAGTTCATGTCCAGCAATTAAATAGGTGCTGATTCATTAGTGGTTTTTACTACACAAAAGGAGATGAAGTCTGCTCATCTGTCTCTAATTAAAAAGCAGCACCCCCCACACCCCACAAAAGGAACATCTGCATTTGAGGCTCCCTCCTCAAAGATGTGCACCCCTAGCTCTCAGCACACAGGTCATGTTTCCTCCCATGCCCATGTTAGTGGCTCAGAGCTCCAGTCTTACCTGCATTACTTCAGTATCCTTCAGCCACCACTTCCATTGTAATGTTTTTTAGTATTTTGAGTCGCAATCTCCAGCTCCACTAAACTATCAGTCAAGATTGTTCAAGTTATCTCTCAAGGTTATCAGTTATTGTTATTAATGTTCTGCTTATAAAACTGCATATATTTTCAGTGATTTATCGCAATCCCGTATTAACCATGAGCTCTATTAATTTTAGTGTTCAGTTTTGCAGCATGCAGAGGTTTTCAGGAATACATGTATCATGTTACAACAGAAATACCTATACTGTTATCCTGATATATCTATAATCCTAACACAACCACAAAGTTATATAAATAGGTGTACAGTAAAATAAAGCAGCTAGTAACATCTAGGCCTTACCTGGTCTCTGGCTCACTGGTGGACTCCCATTAATTCCTGAGAGTATAATAGGAACAGAGCCCAGAGATGAAGTTGGTGTGGTCACCATGGAGGAAGATGCAGCTGCAGTCACCACGACTAAGGAGGTGGAAGCAGTGGAAGCAACAGGAAGAGTTATGGTTGAAGGAGATGCTACCAAAGACTTAGGAAAAGCAACTGAAGCCACAGGGGTAGTTATCCCAGTGGTTTTGGTAAGGTTCACAGTGGCTGTAGACTGGGTAGATGTTACAGAGGTGCTGGTATTAGTTTCAGAGACCTCAACAACCCCTGTAGTGGTGGCACCAGAAGAATAAGTAGTTTCTTTAGTTTCCACGTCAGAAATAGCAGTCATAGGTGTCACAGCAGTAGTATTTTCTAAAAACACTTGAGGGGTGGTAGTAGTGACAGCAGCAGTCACAGGGCTGCACACCTGAACTGGCTCAGAAGAAACCACAGGTGTGACGACCATTACTGGAGAAGGTCTGATACTGAACTTCTGTGTCCCTGCCAGGGTTTGGGGTGTGCTAACTCCAGGTATCTTCTGCTGCAAGGCTCCAACTTTACTCATCACAAACTGTGTGAACACACCACCAGGAGAGGGTCGAGCCGCTGCAAACAGAAATTTGCAGGTCAAAAATCTTCAGTTCTCATATTTTATCCTCTTAGTGACTGTGCTTACCGACATTTACTGTGCACTACTGGGTCAATTTCTTACAGGTACTACCTACCTGTATTATTTGTGCCAATTTCTTTTTTTTCTTTTTTAAGATGGAGTTTCTTTCTTGTTGCCCAGGCTAGAGTGCAATGGCGCGATCTCGGCTCACTGCAACCTCTGTCTCCCAGGTTCAAGCAATTCTCCTGCCTCAGCCTTCCCGAGTAGCTGGGATTACAGGCACATACCACCAAACCCAGCTAATTTTTGTATTTTTAGTAGAGACAAGGTTTCTCCATGTTGGTCAGGCTGGTCTTGAACTCCCGACATCAGGTGATCTGCCTGCCTCGGGCCTCCCAAAGTGCTAGGATTACAGGTGTGAGCCACCACACCCAGCATCTGAGCTTATTTCTACTCTCAGAAATCAAACGCTTGCCTTGACCAAAAACAAACCTCAGTTCTAACAAGAAAGGGATTAAAATTGAGTGTTCCAGGCCAGACACAGTGACTCACACCTGTAATCCCAGCACTTTGGGAGGCCGAGGTGGGCAGATCACGAGGTCAGGAGTTCAAGACCAGCCTGGCCAACACGGTGAAACCCCGTCTCTACTAAAAATACAAAAATTACCAGGGCATGGTGGCACGTGCCTGTAATCCCAGCTACTCAGGAGGCTGAGGCAGGAGAATGGTTTGAACCCAGGAGGTGGATGCTGCAGTGAAATGAGATAGTGCCACTGCACTCCAGCCTGGGAGACAGAGCAAGACTCTGTCTTGAAAGAAAAATTAAAAAATTAAATAGAGTGTTCCTACTAAAATTCTTTTGACTGTGCAATATATTCAAACTGTCAGGATACTAAAAAGACAATACAGTAGCAAAAACTTCATCACCTAATACAGATAAAAGAAAATGAGAGGGTTTGTTTCCCCCAATTTCTAATGTAAAAACTTGTTTCTACCATTTCCTCCTGTCTGAGCACTCTCACCTCTTTACAGCTGTGCTATTATGAGATGCTTACGTATTACATATTCCTAAAATATATAAAGACATTTCTCCAAACAGATCAGGATAGGATTGCTTTTTTTACTCCCCTTAATCACAACTGAAGCTGCC
Organism: Homo sapiens; assembly: GCF_000001405.40. Lineage (NCBI taxonomy): Eukaryota > Metazoa > Chordata > Mammalia > Primates > Hominidae > Homo > Homo sapiens. Next base: position 41,741,391 of record NC_000015.10, on the reverse strand, counting down.
TTAATAAAAGGTAAAATAGATTCTTTTTTTTTTTTTTTTTTTTTTGGAGATGGAGTCTCACTCTGTCACCAGGCTGGAGTGCAGTGGCACGATTTCGGATTACTGCAACCTCTGCCTCCCGGGTTCAAGTGATTCTCCTGCCTCAGCCTCCCCAGTAGCTGGGACTACAGGCGCATGCCACCACTCCCGGCTAATTTTTGTATTTTTAGTAGAGATGGGGTTTCACCATGTTGGCCAGGATGGTCTCTATCTCTTGACCTCGTGATCCACCCGCCTCGGCCTCCCAAAGTGCTGGAATTACAGGAGTGAGCCACCGCGCCCGGCCAAAATAGGTTTTAAGGCAAACAATAAATATCTTCTATCTTCACACAACTCTAACCATTCAGCCAGAGATTTCAACTGACACTCTTACCTAACATTCCTAACAGATTTGAAACAACAAAAAGAGGAATTCAATAAACCAACTATAGATACTCTCAATGCTAAAACACAAATGTTTCAAGAAGGTAATTTATTACAGACTTCAGCATTTAAATGTTAAGGAAAAGAGAGATTTTCATTCATAGAACAGAGATGAATGGAATAAATCAACACTTTCAAAATTGTATTTATAGGAGCTTTCCACTTTAAGCCTATACTACTTACACCACTAGCTTTTGCTAGCTCCTTGGTTTCATAAGTTTAAGAAGTATCAACAGAAGCATTTACATAGCACCAGCAAGAGTTCAACAAGAGGCCAGAAACACCAGTCCTCACAGGAAAATAGTAAACTATTTTTAATTTAGTAAAATATTTTAGTAAATAATTTAGTATAATAGTAAACTATTTTTAAATGTCTTCCCTTTTTAGAAACAAAATTAAAATCCTTAAGTCTTTTCTACATTAATAACAACCAGTCTGAAAACCTTAAAAATAACTATAAAACTTGCCTTCAAGTCAGTGTTATTAAAAAATAAAAAATATATATAAAACCAAGAAATTAACTATAAAACAACTCAATTCATCTAATATTGCAGGTTATCAGACGTTAACCCCAAACAATCAAAAAAGTCCAGGCAAGACAGACAACAAGAATAAGAATAATGCCAAAGTACATATTTCTCTAATTTTTACAACCTCCATACCTGTACCCACTGTCCCACCACCAAGTCATAGGCCTTTCCAAACCATACATACACCCCAACTTACCAATTGGCCGTTTTGCTGGGACAAACGCCTTCAGATTCTTCCCAGGGCGATTTGTTGCAGTGCCAGAGGAGGATGCCATTTTGGAATTGGATGTTGAAGGCAACAGGGTACGTGGTTTCCTGGATGCAGCCACCTTGGCATTGGATGCTACCTTGGAGATGACAGTACTGAGGGTTGAGAGGTCCAGGACTGAGGGTCGCAACCTGCCTGTGATATAAGCAGCTAGCCTATTGGCTGGATGCAATGCCCCCATCTGTCCCAATAGCAACTTAGCCTGCGGGTAACTCTTACCATTAACCTGAAACAAGTGGCAAAGAGAAATTCTGTAAAGATAAAATTCTCTTGCTAACTCCTCTCCCTTGACAGGGGCTTCATTTTTACAAGTTTTCATAAGTCTATTTTTCAGATTTAAAAGGGAAAAAGAAGTAGACTTTTTCCATTTAGAATAATCTGAGTAATCAGAAGGTAGAAAAATGCTGTCAACTGATATTCTGAACTAATCTCATCTCCTTCATATTGTAGTTTGAAAATAGAGAATCGGAAACTCATCATTTCTGCATCCTAGTTATGTGAAAGTTATCATCAAATCTAAACAACTAGAATTATCCAATTGTTTTCCTTGTAAATAAGGCATTCTGGTTAAGCTATTAACCTCATCAGCAAAAATGAGTGTCCCACAGAATCTCTCTGATAAGACCAGAGAGACATAATGAAGCTCTCACACAAGGGTCCTTTCAAGCATCCTTCATATTTGAAAAATATAAGTGAAATCTACTTTAAGTTATAAGACAATCATTGTTGCAATAACCTAAGCCACAATTACCTCACAGTTTTTCATTTTCAAAAAGCTTAGCTTTGAAAATACTATTTTCATCTCTTGGATAAAACATGGGTTCAAACTGAATGTTGGTACGAACTCATTCTTATTCTAGACATAATTAACTAAATAGTCAGAAGAAAGTGAACCAACAAATGAAGTAAAGATCCCCTCTGCTGCCTGAGTTTATCAGACTGCCCATCATGGGTACCAGCACAGTTGTTTTTTGTGGGGGTTGATTTCTTTTCTTTTTTTTTTAAAGAAAGAAAACAAAAACTTCCCAAGTCTCTACCCATGTTCTCTAGGTCATATTGCCAGGCAACTCTAGAGAAGATAACCTTTTCTATATTTCCTTTTCACCATTTCAAAATCGGGGGTTGGGGGAGATGGAGTGAGGTAGAATCTACTCTCTAACAGGGAACTGGTGAGGAGACCAGCTACAGCAAGCAACTCCATCTTCAGAGACACAAAACAAAATTACTCTTTGCTACTTTGGTTAAATTGTGATTATTCCCACAGAGATCAAGAATATCTCTGCCTTGAGTTTGGTACAAAGAATGTGATCATTCCCCCTGAAAGTAGACTTTACTGTAACTTTTCAGGCTATACAGAAATAGGTCAGATACCCCCTCCCGGATCCCTTGGGACTGCGCTGAAGCCTACTCTGCAGCTTCCCCAAAGTTTACAAAGTTTACAGTTGCCTGACTGCTTATGCAGACACATTCTATGGTGGCTTTGTGAGTCCTGGGCAGAAGACAACAAAAAATTTCCATGCTTGTATTTTAGGGAGTCTAGTCTCACTAGAAATTGTATCAGGCAAACCTCTGTTTTCAAAGTGTCAATCAATATATAAGGTAGAGAAAATACTGTTCTCCTCATCAAGAGTATAAGAAATATCAACAGAAGCATTTACATAGCATGCACAACAGTAAACTGCAATAATAAGTTTTTTAATTAAGTAGATCAATCATATTAATATTATTTTCTCTTTTGAGATGGAGTCTCACTCTGTCGCCCAGGCTGGAATGCAGTGGCGTGATCTCGGCTCACTGCAACCTCTGCCTCCCAGGTTCAGGCGATTCTCCTGCCTCAGCCTCCTAGCTGGGATTACAGGCACACGCCACCATGCCCGGCTAATTTTTGTATTTTTAGTAGAGATGGGGTTTCACCATGTTGGTCAGGCTGGTCTTGAACTCCTGACCTCATGATCTACCCGCCTTCACCTCCCAAAGTGCTGGTATTACAGGTGTGAGCCACCATGCCCAGCCTATATCAATCATATTATTAATGGAGAAGTCCTTAGTGACTTAGAAGCAGCCAATCTAATGAAAGTCAAGCTAACTTTGCAATAATATCAGACACTTCCACACATTTGCTACTCTAATATAAAAGTGCACTTTTTTTTTTTTGAGACAATCTCCCTCTGTTGCCCAAGCTGGAATACAGTGGCACAATCTCAGCTCACTGCAACCTCCACCTCCCAGGTTCAAATGATTCTCCTGCCTCAGCCTCTCAAGAAGCTGGGATTACAGGCGCGCGCCACCACGCCGGGCTAACTTTTTTATTTTTAGTAGAAATGGGGTTTTGCCATGTCGGCCAGGCTAGTCTCAAACTCCTTGCCTTAGGTGATCCACCACCTCGGCCTCCCAAAGTGCTGGGATTACAGGCGTAAGCCACTGCGCTCAGCTAGAAAAACCTTTTCTGACTATGACATTAATTCAGAACGTCTCTTTTCAAATTTTCTATATGCCAGTATAATTTTACTAATACAACCTGCGTGAATTACTAAGTATCAAGGATAAAGGTATTTGTCCTACAACAGTTACACTAACAAAACCCCTACGAATCAAATAAAGAAAAAATATAATTAAGTAAATATGGCTGAATTTTTACTCTTGTATTTAAATAACACCTTACTAAATTAAAATTTTCAGCCATGCATGGTGGCTCACCCCTGTAATCCTAGCACTTTGGGAGGCCAAGGTGGGTGGATCACCTGAGCTCAGAAGTTCGAGACCAGCCTGGACAACATGGCGAAACCCCGTCTCTACTAAAAAAAAAACAAAAACAAAAAAAAACACACACAAACACAAAATTAGCCAGGTGTGGTGTCACATGCCTGTAATCCCAGCTACTTGGGAGGCTGAGGCACAAAGAATTGCTTGAACCCAGGAGGCAGAGGTTGCTGTGAGCCAAGATTGCAATAAATAAATAATAAATAAAAATTTTTAAAATTTTCCCCAAGTTTCTAAACATATATTGCCTATCTTTAAGTCAATTTCATCTTCCCCTTACACCTACCGTTCTAACCATGGTTTTGTTTTGAAACCTATCTGCTAATAATAAATTCCAAGAGCTAGACTGAATCCCTGATTACCCTTGCTTTATTGTCAAAGTATCACTAGAGCCTGCAGGCAATAAAGTTTATGAAGAGCAACTTTCTGGGAAGATTAGAAAGAAAATTAAAACTAATACAAGGCTCTACGTTTCTGTTCATAAATGTGACAAAAATTCACTCTAGGTATGCATCTAAACTAGGCCTATTACAAAAAGAGATAATAATTTTGTCACCCAGTTCCCAGGAAATGTCAAGATAAAGGATATCAGGACCATAAAGGGCTCTGAAAAATCATGATACTACCTAGGTGTATACAAAGGTGCTATACCCAGATTAAAGATAATTCTCACCTGGATAAGCCCAGATGTACTTGAACTGGGTTTACGTTTATAGGCCACAAGCTTCCCTGCAGGAGAAAGCCCTGCATAAAAAGGCAGACCTTTGCCTCCATGTAATCTCTCCCTCACTGAATCCAGGGCATCTGTCTGCACAGGAGAGATATCCTCCATTTTCCCAGGGGACAATGGACCATCAGGAGTCTCTGATCCAGATTTCTCAGCCATATCATCTTGGTCTTGACATGATGGCATAGAGATTTTCACACGAGAAGAATAAACAGGAGGGTTCTTCTCACCCCGGCTCTTTCGCTGAGAAGCCAACTCAATGATGAAGCTGCCCACCTTAAGTGATTGTGGCATGTTGCTATTGATGTGCTGGGATAAGATGCTCAAAATCTTGTTCCGATCTTCCTCCCAGTTGCAGTCTGAGATGATCTCAATCAGTTTGGTGGGACCACCAGGTGACCTCTGATGCATATAAGAAGTAGAAGAGGATTCTCCTTCATTGCAGGAAGACTTCCAGCTCTTTTCTGATGTAAAATAATAATAAAAAAGAAAAAGTTGAAAGATTATTTCTGCATCACAGCATTTTGTATGAAACTCTGAAAAAAAACTGTCACATTCTCACGTTCTTTCACAGTAGTAACTTAAAATGTATCAACTTTCACAATTTGGGAGTTTTCCAGGAAGAAAAAGTTCCAGAGAATAAGACTACAATAGTCCTCATTATCCTGCTGACTGGGCTCTAACAGGTAGTTCCCTTAACACTACTCTAAATGCCACAATTATTACATTAGAGTTAGCTTGCAAACAAACCATGACCTACAACCAAGGTTAAGCTTCACTGGTATAGGTTACTATTTTGCTATACATACAGGCAAAGTGAAACTACTTGCTAGATGCTTTGAAACATGTACAGATTAGAGTCAATCCAAAAGAACAGCAAGAAAAATAGTATTCTGATTTTTTTTTTTTTTTGAGACGGAGTCTAGCTCTGTCGCCAGGCTGGAGTGCAGAGGCGTGATAGCTCACTGCAACCTCTGCCTCCCAGGTTCAAGTGGTTCTCCTGCCTCAGCCTCCCGAGTAGCTGAGATTATGGACGCGTGCCACCACGCCCAGTTAATTTTTGTATTTTTACTAGAGACGGGGTTTCACCATGTTGGCCAGGATGGTCTTGGATCTCTTGACCTCATGATCCACCCGCCTCGGCCTCCCAAAGTGCTGGGATTACAGGCGTGAGCCACTGCGCCCAGCTGTAGTATTCTGATTTTAAGTGCACTCTAACTCTAATTTCTACTGCAAATACCTCTGAATTACTTCTGTGCTTCTAGATATGATTGCTCCATTTCTACACTGTTTGCAGATCACTCAACTACCCAAAGTATTCTTTCCATGGCAACATGTTGACTAGACATGTATTTCACTAGACTCCTGGATTTCTTTAGCACAGCTTCCCAATGAGTGTACTGGTATGTCAAGGGCCCCCATAATCCTCAGGGTGCTCACGCTCTCAGGCAGGTTCCCTCCACCCTAGTAGCCTCCTCCACTTACCGCAATGTGCTATAGAAACATTGTTAATTATTTGTATGTACCATGACGTTTTTTAAGAAGTTAGGAAGCCCTGCTGCTTAAGTGTCAGAAGTCTCGGGAAGCATAACCAAAAACAAATTGGTAACCACCTGACCACTACCTGTCATCAAAGTAATTCTGACAGTAGCCTCTGCCAGCTAAATCACAGTAATATTCCTTCCTTTCTCCTTCTAGATTTCCCCAGAGGTGGCAGTGATGGAGGACCAAAGGCTAATGATGCCAATATTACTGGGGTTTGGAAAGAGGTTAAAAAAAAAAAAACTCACTGACCTCAACCTAAATGTCTCTTGCAACAACATGCTTTATCAACATGAATGAATTTTCTTTTATTTTTGAGAGCAGGAGTGTTAACAGACCAAATAATGGGGAAAAAAAACTTTTACTTATTGTCCCTGTTTTTGGCATAAGTTTGAAACAGGGTAGGCAGACATATTCTGAATTGATGGTTTGGGTTTTCTCCCATTATTACTATAATCTAGACCTAAATAATTTTTATCAAATGTTAAGATCTAGTTTTCATTCTGACCTTGTAATTTATCAGAATCATCCTCCAAGTCACAGGTGAGTTGTTTTAAGGGCTGCTGTTCAGAATCAGGTTCCTGAAGGAGACAGTAACACAGAAATACTTTAACTTAACATATATTCAATACCCACAGAAACTTGGACACAAGCATTAAATCTCTCACAGAAGTTTAAATCATTAGAATGACTGAAATGTCAACAGCTTCAATCCACATGCACATCTACGTTACTATCATATAAAACCCTGGGTAAAAACACATAGTTTTGCTACCTAATGTCCTTGATAGTGACTGAGTCATCAAGAAAAAAATTCACATTGTACTTTAAAGAGGGAAACATATTTACTGTTAAATGAAACAAACTACAGTTATTCAGAAAATTCACCAGTTGAGGCCAGTCTCGGTGGCTCATGCCTGCAATCCCAGCATTCCGAGAGGCCGAGGTGGGAAGATCACTTGAGCCCAGGAGTTCAAACCAGCCTGGCCAACAAGGCAAAACCCCATCTATACCAAAAATACAAAAGCTTAGCCACAAATGGTGGCACACACCTATAGTCCCAGTTGGTTGGGAGGCTGAGACAGAAGGATCGCTTGAGCTGAAGGTTGCAGTGAGCCGAGACCATGCCACTGCACTTCAGCCTGGGTGACAGAGTGAGGCCCTATCTCGAAAAAAAAAAGAAAGAAACAAAATTTGCCAATGTGGAAAGATGCACACCCTAATAATTACAGACAAATTAATAAAACTAGAATTTTTAAAATTACTCCAGGATCAGAAAGAATAATACTTTTTAATTTATCAAATCCTCTATTAACAGGCATTCTGCCTCCAATTTCTCATTAGTAAGGGCAATAGTGCACTGAACAGCTATATATATGCGTATGTTTGAGTAAACATACATACATGCACATATCTTTGTGCCCTCATGCTATGTACACTTACAATTTAGGGTCAAAAAGATATGCACATTTAAATTTTTTTGTTTTTGTCATTAACAAATTGCTGTTTAAAAGAAAACTGCTGATTTATACCTTTAGTGGTTTTCCGGGGAGTCACCACTGATGTTGAGGTGGCAGTACAAGCGAAGGTGGAGCCCCCAGCCATCAGCTGAACCATGGAAAGGGAAGAGGTGTAGCCTAACTACAAGGGTAACTGGAATCAGAACTTATTATTTAAATTATCTGTGAATGTGTGCCTCAGTTTCTCATATAATCCTCCATGGGTTGGACAGACTGCCACCTAGACTCTTTTATCATTCCACTTTCACTAATCAGGAGAGACTGCCCTCTTTCCTTAGTTCCAATTTTTTTTTTAAGTGAAAGCAAGTTAAGAAAGTAGAGGAACAGGCTGGATGTTGTGGCTCACGCCTGTAATCCAGCACTTTGGGAGGCCGAGGTGGGTGGATCACCTGAGGTCAGAAGTTCAAGATCAGCCTGGCCAACATGGTAAAACCCCGTCTCAACTAAAGCATAGAAATTAGCCGGGCATGGTGGCACCCGCCCGTAATGCCAGCTACTCGGGAGACTGAGATGGGAGAATCACTTGAACCCCAGAGACGGTGGTTGCAGTGAACCAAGACAGCGCCACTGCACTCCAGCCTGGGTGGCTGAGCGAGACTCCGTCTTTAAAAAAAGAAAAAAGAAAAGTAGAGGAATAAAAAAATGGCTACTCCATAGACAGAGCAGCCCTTGGTTCCAATTTTTAAAATCCTAGGAAAGGAGTCTGAATGGTTCATCTTGGATCAGACACCAGCCTTTGACCCAGAACACTGTTGCCAAGGAGGCAAGAGCTGTAGGATAATGGCAGTTTCCATTTAATCTACGTAGTTAATGTATTAATAGCAGATTTTGTTCTGAGCAGATAATAATGAAAGCTAGTGTTTACAGGGTACTTATAATGTACCAGGCACATGCTGACCTAAGCATTTTACATATATGTAGAATGTCTCCCTAGACAGGCCACAGAGGATAAACAGCACATTTAAATGGACTAAAATACCTCCCACCTCACAATAAGTAAGTGTTCACTTGGTTATCTAAAAATTTATCAGTTCTTGCATTAGCAGAGGATATAACCATCTAGATAGCATTATAGTGGCTCAAGTAAATGACAGATTGAGTGTTTCAGGTGTCACAAGATATAATAAGGATAACAGGCCGGGCACGGTGGCTCACGTGGGTAATCCCAGCACTTTGGGAGGCTGAGGTGCGCGGATCACGACGTCAGGAGACTGAGACCACCCTGGCTAACATGGTGAAACCCCGTGTCTACTAAAAAATACAAAAAATTAGCCGGGCGTGGTGGCGGGTGCCTGTAGTCCCAGCTACTCGGGAGGCTAAGGCAGGAGAATGGCGTGAACTGGAAAGCGAAGCTTGCAGTGAGCTGAGGTTGCGCCACTGCACTCCAGCCTGGGGGACAGAGCGAGAATTCGTCTCCAAAAAAAAAAAAAAAGGATAACAAAATGGATTTTAGGGGCTTTTTCTTTAAAATAAATAAATAAAGACACCTTTGGGGTCAAGTATACTTAGTCTTAAATCCTGGCTTCACTGCTTGCTAGCAATATAGCTTAGGACTTATTGCCTCATGTGTGCAATGGGGATAATACCACCAACCTCATATGGTTAAATAAGGTAGTACATGTAATTGCACAGCACACTGGCACACTACCTGACACATGGTAAACAGTAGCAGGATCAAATGGGAGAATGTATAATTGCCCAGTGGCAGTAAGACAAGAAACCCTTATTCGTGTTTTTACTTCTCAAATATCCTGCTTCCCCACATGTTTAAGAGATGCCTAATCCCATTTCTTAAAATTGAGAAAATGATCTTATTAACCAAGTTTCAGTAAGTACTGGAATCAAATGGCATAGTGTATAATTAGGATTATATGCTATGAATAACTTTACTTTGAAAAACTAATTTCTTGTGTCTTTATTCATAAAAGTTTGTCCTTCTTAAAAATTCATTCATGGGTATTTTAAACAAACTGAAGACTAGGGAGTCCCTAAAAGTCCCTAAAAGCCAGACCTACCTCCTGAAAGCTGGGAAAACAGAAGTTTTTTTTATCCAAAATGATGTAACAAAGTAAAAGTAGTATATTAACTACTTTAAAAACTTGATGCTTTTTCTGTCTTTCCTTCTACCTCACTGAGTTTATTTTAAAGAGTTTTTATGAAAATGTTTAAAATAATTATGAGAGAAATTATTTTAAAATATACTAAAAAGGCAATTAAAATTTTCTCTGCATAGATACATAGATAAATGCATAGATACATGCATAAATGCTACTAGCTTAACTATATAATTTTTTAATATAGGTAACAAAGTTTTTATTTATCATGAGATCTGAAATTACAACTTATAATTAAAGTGGTCATTAATAATGCTAATGTTAATGATTTTAAATACTGTTTATAGGTTCTAAATGATATATAATTTACATTTTTAAATTACTGTCATCCTTATTCTGTTTTAAAATACAGGAGCTTTTAAGAAGAATTGGCATTAATGCTGCCCTTAAGAATGTTTTTCATCCTTAATTTTCCAAGGAATGAAAAATGCAGGATAGAAAATTGGTTGGATGTCCTTTGTTTTTTGCTCTTCACTTAAAGATAACATCATTCTCTTTATCTCTGCAAAATAATCACAAATACATGACTTATAACATAGTTTCTTCTTTTCACAGCCTCAGCGTTTACTTGCCTGGTAACAGCATTGGAATATTACAGATTCTGGAAGTACACTTAATGCTCGAATTGCTGCAACTATTGGCTTCTTAGAACACTAAACCAGGAGGGATTTACTTTGAATATTATCAGTTGCAGCAAAGACTTACCACACAAGATTATGCAAAGCATATAACGGACTAAAAGAGGAAGTGTTTTAGAATGGGAAGACATATTTTGTCTTTATTGTGTGCACATATGTCTTTATTATACTGAAAAAAGCTGTCATTCAAACCTGATTTGAGATAGAAGGGCATTTTTCCTTTCCTCTTGATAATTCATAGAAATTGAACCAGTTTTCTTGTGTTTGCTTGAACGACTGTGTAAATTATACAGGATTTTGTTGGTACAGGGTGCATATTTGAAAACTATTCCCTATTATTGAGTTAACTTTCTTGATAACCACTGCTTAATTACATTTTTTTTTTTCTTTTGAGACAAAGTTTTGCTCTTGTTGCCCAGGCTGGAGTGCAATGGTGTGGTCTCAGCTCAGTGCAACCTTGGCCTCCTGGGTTCAAGGGATTCTCCTGCCTCAGCCTCCCGAATAGCTGGGATTACAGGGGCCCACCACCACACCCGGCTAATTTTTTGTGTTTTTACTATGGATGGGGTTTCACCTTGTTGGCCAGGCTAGTCTCGATCAGCCCACCTCGGCCTCCCAAAGTGCTGGATGCAAATGTGGCTGGGTGCAGTGGCTCACGCCTGTAATCCCAGCACTTTGGGAGGCCAAGGTGGGTGGATCATCAGAGGTCAGGAGTTCGAGACCAGCCTGGACAACATAGTGGAACCCCATCTCTGCTAAAAATACAAAAAATTAGCCAGACGTGGTGGCAGGCACCTGTAATCTCAGTTACCCAGGAGGCTGAGGCAGGAGAATTGCTTGTACCCAAGAGGCAGAGGTTGCACTGAGCCGAGACCACACCATTGCACTCCAGCCTGGGCAACAAGAGCAAAACTCTATCTCAAAATAAATAAATAAATAAAAGATTATTATAACAAAAAAGAAAAGAAAAAGAAAGAATAATATACATATTTTTTTGAAACAGAGTCTCACTCTGTCACCCAGGCTGGAGTAAAGTGGCATGATAGCAGCTCACTGCAACCTCCAACCTCCACCTCCCAAGTTCAAGTAATTCTCGTTCCTCAGCACCCCAGGTAGTTGGGATTACAGGCATGCGGCACCAGGCCCAGCTAATTTTTTTTTTTGTATTTTTAGTAAAGATAGGGTTTCACCATGTTGGCCAGGCTAGCCTCAAACTCCTGGGCTCAACTGATCCGCCTGCCTCAGCGTCCCAAAGTGCTGGGATTAGAGACATGAGCCACAGCACCCAACCAAGAAAGAATACTTGTAATAACCATAAGGGACGTATCATACAATAGGTACACAGAGAAATAAACTGTTATACATGTCATGTATGACTTCTCTGCCCTGTAGGATAATTATTATTCTGATAGTAATACAAATCTTAATACCAAAAACAGGTAATCAGAAGTTAAAAAGAACTTATGCAACAAGAAACTCACCTTTGCATTATTATGGTTCTCAGGGCTAGAATGACATGAAGTTTGCTGCTGAAATGATGGAGATGGGGAGGAGGAGGAAGATGGTTGTCTCTGGTCCTCTTTTTTTCGCTCATATACTCGAACTCGAGCACAAGTCATCATACTTTCAAAGTACAAGTAGACTGGATCTTTGTCCTCTTCCCGAATCTGTAAATTTCATACAACAAAATATTCCATACAGTGGGAAAAACTCCGCTAGACTCCAAAACAAAACGAATGTTTAATCTTTTTTTGTATTACAACAGTCGAAATTTTTTAATGCAAACTTTCAAATCAAACAGCACAAGTACAGTTCATATGTGCCGAACCTTAGGGCAGTCAGAAAGGATCCAGTTCTCTATCAGGAAATTTCAGATCATACCAGAGCAGTGCATTTCAAATTATCTATGGTGAAGGATACATTGTTAATTACCAGTCCATCATAGACTGATACTTTAGTAAATACAATAAATTACTAGAAAAACTAAAAACATATAAAATGCAAGGTTTTTAAATATTAGATTCAGCTAATCAACTTGCTGTAGAAATTTCTAAATATTTACTCTTATTTTCTATCCAGCTGACCCCTGAATAACACAGGTTTGAACTGTGTGGGTCCACTCACATATGGATTTTCTTCCACCTCTGTCACCAAGACAGTAAAATCAACTCTTCCTGTTCCTCCTCAGACTACTCCATGTGAAGATAGTATGAAGACCTTTATGATGATCCACTAATGAATAGTAACAACATTTTCTTTCCCTTATTATTTTCTTAGTAACATTTTCTTTTCTATAGCTCATTTTATTGTAAGAATACAGTATATACTACATATAACAAAAATGTGTTGACTGTTTATGTTATTGGTAAGGCTTCTAGTCAACAGTACACTATTAAGAGTTCAGTTTTGGGGGAGTTGAAAATTATATGCAGAATTTGGACTGCGTGGAGATCAGCGGCCCTAACCCTTGCCTTTTTCAGGTTTTGTTGTTGTTGTTTTTGAGATGGAGTCTTGCTCTGTCATCCAGGCTGGAATGCAGTGGAGCAATCTCGGCTCACCACAACCTCCGCCTCCCAGGTTCAAGTGATTCTCCTGCCTCAGCCTACCGAGTAGCTGGGATTATAGGCATGAGCCACCACGCCCGGCTAATTTTTCTTATTTTTAGTAGAGGCGGGGTTTCACCATGTTGGCCAGGCTGGTGTCGAACTCCTGACCTCAGATCATCCACCCGCCTCAGCCTCCCAAAGTGCTGGGATTACAAGCGTGAGCCACCGCGCCCGGCCCACCCTTGCTTATTTCATCACAGACCAGAAACAGTTTTATACTATAATAGCTCTGCTACAAAGAACATATTCAGTAGCATCGTAGTATAGGATTTTTCTTCAATCTAATGGACTAGGAGGACACATGGATTTGATAATAAGACTTGCTTAAGCCATTAACACAATGAATAACTTCCTACTTTTACCTACCAGTCTTCAGTCATATTATATCAACTGTTACTTTAAATCTTAAACTTTACTGATATTATTATGCATTTTTAAATTTGCTTTTAAAAGCTTTTAAAAGCTTTTTCCTAATGTTTTTCTACTAATAATATATACTGCTTATATTGATTACTAATATTCTACAATACAGGAGTAGTATCTTTAAAAAACTTTTTCCAAGCCATGTAAAAAAGCCTATGTTTCTATGATCTTCTTGAAGATGGTTATTTTTTAAAATTACTACTACTCATTTCTACTTTTAAGACATTTTTAAAGTGCCAGCACTAAACTGATTAAACCAGAAAGGAAGATATCTTATAAACATATTACTGAAAGCAAAATGATTCACAAAATATCAACCAAAAATCTGCTTGAAACACACCATCTTTACACATGACTTTGGTAACTTGTAATAAAAGATTAAATTCCAGACTTACCACAGGATTGGGTTTGGGAGTATATGACCGTGGAGATTTAATTCCAGTGAGCAGTTTGCCCTTCACAGTAGGAGATAAAACTTCTGGCTGAGGCAATAACAATGGTTTCATAGGCTCAATGACAGAAGGCGTGGGGATATAAACTGGTTCTGGATCTACTTCACCTTCTACTTTTACCCATAATGGGTAATGTCGAACAGGCTGTTCAGGCTCTGTCTCACATATAGCTTAACAAAAAAGAAGGGTAAGGTTTTAGGTACTTTTGGCAACAAAAGATCAATACTGAGGCACTGCCAAAACAAAATACGCTCCCTCACAAAAGGCAGTAACTCGTTAAAATAATCAAATAGACGACCCCCTCCCCAAACAAAGGGCATTTAGTGGTATTTATATACTTTCATTTATTCATCTTTAAATATTTATTGAACACCAGCTATCAACCAGATACTGTTTTAGGCATTAGAATGAACACAGCTATGAATAAAACAAAGTTCTTGCCCTCAGAGTTTAAAATCCAGTAGGGGAAGACAAACCCATAAATATATAATATCAAGTAATGGTAAGCCATGTAGAAAAACACAGCAAGGTAATTAAGGAATGAAGAATTAAAACAAGAGTTGCCATTATATTTAGGGTCAGAGAAGACCTTACTGAAAAAAAATTTTTTTTTTTTTTTTTGAGACAGAGTCTTGTTCTGTCACCTAGGGTGGAGTGCAATGGCGCAATCTTGGCTCATGGCAACCTCTGCCTCCCATGTTCAGGAGATTCTCATGCCTCAGCCACCTGAGTAGCTGGGATTACAGGTATATGCCACCACACCTGGCTAATTTTTATATTTTTGGTAGAGATGGGGTTTTGTCATGTTGGCCAGGCTGGTCTCGAACTCCTGGCCTCAAGTGATCCACCCAACCTTGGCCTCCCACAGTGCCAGATTACAGTTGTGAGCCACCATGCCTAGTCAAAAAGATAACTTTTAACCACACTTTATTTCCTAAATAATAACAACAAACATTTACTGAACCTTATTATTCAATAGTTCTAAGCATTGTTCTAAGCACCTGTGCTAAGCACTTCATGTGTTTTAACTCCAACAACTCCTGAGGTAGGTATCATTCCCATGGTACAGAAGCTGAGGTGCAGGGATGTCCAACCAGTGAGAGGCAGGGATGTCCAACCAGTAAGAGGCAGAACCAGAATCAAACCCTGTCTATCTGGCTCCAGAGACCAAGCTGTCACTACTGCATTCTAATAACAAATTGTAATCAAAAGACAGCCTGAACTCAGTACAGGAGTAAAAACACTTATATCAATATAGACGCAATGAAACCCAACTGAGGTAAAATCATACTATCAAGAAGTTCTGTATGCCATTCTACAATTTACATCAAAATGTCATGTTATAGACCAATATATGCATTTTTACTTGTTAATAAATAATCCCCCAAAAAATGTGCACAAAGGAAAATATGCATTGATTACTTAACTAAATTAAAAAGAAGATCTAGGTTAAGAGGCTCCTGGGTTTACTTATTTATTTATTTATTTATTTATTTTTTTTTTTTTTTTTTTTTTGAGACGGAGTCTCGCTCTGTCGCCCAGGCTGGAGTGCAGTGGCGGGATCTCGGCTCACTGCAAGCTCCGCCTCCCGGGTTCACGCCATTCTCCTGCCTCAGCCTCCCAAGTAGCTGGGACTACAGGCGCCCGCCACTACGCCCGGCTAATTTTTTGTATTTTTAGTAGAGACGGGGTTTCACCGTTTTTTAGCCGGGATGGTCTCGATCTCCTGACCTCGTGATCCGCCCGCCTCGGCCTCCCAAAGTGCTGGGATTACAGGCGTGAGCCACCGCGCCCGGCCCTACTTATTTATTTTTTTAAGAGTACAAGTCTCACTCTGTTGCCCAAGTAGTGGCACAATCATGGCTCACTGTAGCCTCCTGGCTAAAGTGATCTTCCTGCCTCAGGCTCCCAAGTAGCTAGGTCTACAGGTACATGCCACCATGCCTGCATAGGTCTTTAAAAATAAATTTTAGGTCTTTAAAAAAAGGTTTAGTTGTTAAGAGTTAATTAAAGGTAATATAAAGAAAAAAAATTTTCTTTTTAGAGACCAGGTCTCACTATGTTACCCAGGCCTGTTTTGAACTCCTGGCCTCATGCAATCCTGCGGCCTCAGCCTCCTGAGTCACTGGGATTACAGGCATGAGCTACTACGCCCAGCACTACTGGTTTTATTCTTTAAGTAAACTGCCCATTCCCATAAAGCAGCCGTAGTGAAGTAAATGTATTTCTGCATTTTAATGGTTAGTCCTCACAGAGGACATGTAGCTGGTTCAAAGCCAAAGACCCAAAAACTTTCACCTAGAGTCACATAAAATATGACTGAGTGGCATTCATACTTAATTCAAATACTTACTTCAATTAATCTTTCATGACAAAGCAGAATCTAAGCTGCTACCTGATTTTCGTAAGTAGTATATTTGCTCTGAACATTAATAACAACTGGTAAAGAACAACTTTGTCTAAGGGGCTCCTGAGGTAAACATACGGGCACAATCACAAAATTTGAATAAAGGTTTAAAAATTAAAAAGGGGGTGGGAGGTGGGGACAACAAAGCTAGAAAGTGATTGAGTCAATTAGCCAGCTGCAGTCTCTGTCAACTACCTTTTAAAATTTAGCTCCTTTATAACATAATTCACCAATGTTTCTGGTTGTTTTTTATTTTGAGACAGAATTTGAGACTCTGTCACCCAGGCTGGAGTGTACTGGCACCACCATGGCTCTCCATAGCCCTGGCCTCCCTGACTCAAGAGATCATCTCACTGCCTCATCTTATAGCTGAGACTACAAGCACACACCACTTGGCTAATTTTTTAATTTTAACTTTTTTATAGAGATGGCACAAAGGTTTCTAGACACCAATATTCATTTATGCATTCAAATATTTGAATTTCTACTACGTATCAGACTTTGCAGATACAACAATGAATAAAACTGACAAAAATCCTTGCTTTCAGGTAGCTTTTGGGGGGAAGTAAGATGAGACAGGCAATATGATGAATACGGAAAATGTGTTGGAATATGGTTAGGTACTTAAGAGAAAAAACAGGAAAGGAAATAGGTAGCATGTGTAGTAAGTATGTACAAGTATGTCTTTTGAGGCTTGCCCTCCCAGTGAAGGTGGTATTAAGAGGTTCTACCACACATTTAATAAAAACTTTCTTGTTCAGTGTAGCTAATTATTTTGTACACGCATTAATTATAAGACAAAAACAAAAGCACCTTTAGGGCAAGCAAGACATCTTGGACTTCTATCAATAATCTTTTAAGGATTTTCTAAGCCTCCATAAACTAAGCATTATACTAAGCAAAGGTCCCTTTTCATCTTTTCCTTTTGAAATAATAGCTACAAAATACACAGTACAGTACTTCAAAAAAAAAAAAAACTCTTAAGATACCAAGAATGATTATTCATATTTCTCTTAATATCTCACAGGCAATCAAAGACAATTTTAAAATTTCAACTGTGAATAAGTAGGAAATGGTTAATCTGTCACCAGAATGGGAAAAAATGAGAAATGGAGCTTCCAATAAATAGGGGAGTTCATAAAAGGATTTGACTGAGAGGGGTAGAGTTCAGTTCTGTTTATGACATGTTTTAAATTGGAAGGACAACAACATACTAAAAATGGGGTAGGGAGCCAGATGCAGTAGCTCACACCTATAATCCCAATACAGATGCCAAGGTGGGAGGATCTCTTGAGGCCAGGAGCCCAAAACCAGCCTGGGCAACATAGCAAGACCCTGTCTCTACAGAATATAAAAAGCTTTAGCTGGGCATGGTGGCATGTACCTGTAGTCCTAGCTACTCCAGAGGCTAAGACGGAAGGACCGCTTGAGCCAGGGAGATCAAGGATATAGTTAGCTATGATCAAGACACAGCACTCCAGCCTGGGTGACAGAGCAAGACCCTCTCTCTCAAAAATATATGTAAATAAATAAAATAGCATGGGAATTAAAAACCAGGACCATCATTGGCAGAGACTAGTAGAATTGAAGCCATGAAAACAGGCTCCCTACAAAGGCAAGAACAAAATACTGATCCCTCACACTCACTGGCCCACTGTTCACTTGATTCCTTTATACAGCCTGGGATCCAAGATACAGCACCTCTTTATTTCCCCTTATAATGACACTAGAGATTCTCCTACTCTTTCCCTGAAACTCAGGAAAAAAAAAGAACAACACTCAGCAGGAAAAGGTGGAATTAAGGGGAGAAGCTGAGTAGCACATATTCATTGACAGGAGCCAAGAATAGAAATCAGTTTTAACAAAGAAATGGTCTCCTCATTTCTACTGAAATGCCTCCTAATATATATTACCCAAGTCCCCTAGCTTTATCACTCTGTCTTCTGGCTTCTCAGTAAGCCTTTTGTTCATGACACTTAAAACATTACAGGAATTCAGTTACTCGTGGGACTTAAAATTACAATAAATATGTATCTTTTCACCACATACCTGTTTTATCAAATTGACAGTAACCTCTTAGAGCGATGGACTTGTTTTAATTGCCTATATTCTACCTCCTCACTCCTAGCAGTGTCCATAGTAGTTGCACCATAAATGAAAAGCATTACACTTAGAAGACCTACAAGAACTGCCATGCTAATACAGCACACTAACACACCATGCTCCTCTTCCTCTGATTTTTGTAGGCATTTTGGATCTCTTTATAATGAAATATAGCATTTATAAAGAAATGTACATAAACAGTATACAGCTCAATACATATTAAGAACTATACATCCATGTAAACACCATACAAGAAATAGAACAGTGCTATCAATTCCAGAACCCTTTCTCAATCACAATCCCTCCCCTTCCTATAAAAAAGGCACTTAAATGATAGCTACCTCTTTGCTTTCCTTTTTTGAATGTCAAAGTATAACACCTAAATATCATACCTTAATTTTGCCTACTTTAGACCGGGCACACTGGCTCACACCTGCAATCCCAGCACTTTGGGAGGCCGAGGCAGGCGGATCACGAGGTCAGCAGATTGAGACCATCTTGGCTAACATGGTGAAACCCCGTTTCTACTAAAAATACAAAAAATTAGCCGGGTGTGGTGGCGGGCGCCTGTAGTCCCAGCTACTCGGGAGGCTGAGGCAGGAGAATGGTGTGAACCCGGGAGGCGGAGTTTGCAGTGAGCCGAGGTCGCACCACTGCACTCCAGCCTGGGCGAGAGAGCAAGACTCCGTCTCAAAAAAAAAAAAAAAAAAAAAAAAATTGGCCTACTTTAAAAGTTTATATTAATGGAATCAAAGATACATTCTTTTACCTGGCGTTTTTCCCCTTCAACATTATATTTGTAAAATTCATCTATGCTGAAACACACAGTTGTAATTCATTTATTTTCACTGTGGTATGTTATTTCACTGAATATTCATACTACTGTTTATTCTTCTATTGTTATTAGACATTTGGGGTTGTTTTCAGGTTTTAAATACTGTGAGAATCATGTAAATATTCTTATATAATACAGTTCTGCTTGTTACTCTGGAGTCAAACTGCTAGATCAAGGGCTATGAATCTTCAACTTCAGTAGATACTGCCCAACTATTTTCCAAAGCGGTTACACCTATTTATTTCCCCATCAGCAGTGTAGGAGATTTCCCATTGTTCATTGTCTTTATCAATAGTTGGTATTAGTAGAGGCTTGTAATGATAACCATTCTGGCAGGTGTCTAGTAGAATCTCATCATGGATTTAATTTGGATTTCCCCAACTACAAATGAGCCATTCAACATTCCACTTTATGAAATGCTTCTAAAACTCTTGCTCATTTTTTCTACAGGAGTGTTTATTATTAATTTGTAGACACCTTTATATATTTTGGATATAGGTCCTTAGATATTACAAATATCTGCTTTTATTTATTTTTGAGACAGAGTCTCGTTCTATCTCCCAGGCTGGAGTGCAGTGGCACAATCTCGGCTCACTGCAACCTCCATCTCCCAGGTTCAAGCGATTTTTGTGCCTCAGCCTCCTGAGTAGCTGGGATTAGAGGCACACCCTATCACACCTGGCTAATTTTTGTATTTTTGGTAGAGATGGGGTTTCACCATGTTGGCCAGGCTGGTCTCGAATTCCTGACCACAAGTAATCCACCCACCTCAGCCTCCCAAAGTGCTGGAATCACAGGCGTGAGACACCGTGCCCAGCCTCTGAATTTCTTATTTTAAAGTTGTCAAATGGCTTGATCTTTTCCCTAAGAATTGGTTTTCTTCTGTCATGTTTAAGAAATTTTTTCCTAATATGAGATCCTGTATACATTTGCCTGTATCTTCTAAATGCTGTATTGTTTAGTCATTGAAAATTAGGTGTATAACGTACCTACAAATTATTTCCATATATGGTGTGAGAAACGAATAAAGTTTCTATTTTTCCCATACGGATGTACAATAATCCTATCACCATTTGGTGAAAAGATCATTCTTTCTTTATTTCTTCGCCACTTCTGTCAAATCAAGAGTCCATTTATGTTTGAATCTGTTTACAGTATTATTTTATTTTATTTTATTTTGAGACAGAGTCTCACTTTGTCGTCCAGTGCAACAGTGCAATCTCGGCTCACTGCAACCTCAGCTTCCCGGGTTCAAGAGATTCTCGTGGCTCAGCCTCCAGAGTAGCTGGGATTACAGGCGCACACCACCATGCCCGGCTAATTTTTTGTATTTTTAGT
Source organism: Homo sapiens (assembly GCF_000001405.40). Lineage (NCBI taxonomy): Eukaryota > Metazoa > Chordata > Mammalia > Primates > Hominidae > Homo > Homo sapiens. Next base: position 41,720,666 of record NC_000015.10, on the reverse strand, counting down.
AGAGACGGGGTTTCGCCATGTTGCACAGGCTGGTTTCGAACTCCTGAGCTCAGGCAATCTGCCCACCTCGGCCTCTCAAAGTGCTAGGATTACAGGTGTAAGCCATCGCGTCTGGCCTTAGTTTTTATTTTTGAGACAACATCTCACTCTGTCACCCAGGCTGGAGTGCAGTGGCACTATCACGGCTCACTGCAGGCTCAACCTCCTGGCCATACTTTTGCCTCAGCCTACTGCACAGCTGGGACAACAGGCCTGAGCCACCATGCCATCAGCCAAAATTTTTTTTATTTTTAGTAGAGATGGAAGTATTGCTATGTTGCTCAGGCAGGTCTCGAACTCCTGGGCTCAAGCGATCCTCCTGCCTTGGCCCCACAAAGTGCTGGGATGACAAGGCATGAGCCACAGCACCCAGCCTGTAGCCTCTCTATTCTGTTCTACTTGTCTATTCATTTTATGACAAGCCAATATCACCCATATCACGTGGTAATTTTGTAACTCTTGACATACAATAAAATCCTTCCATTCTGCCACTGTTCTTCAAGATTGACCTGGTTATTTCTAGATTCTTCGCATTTCCATATAAATTATAAGTTCTGCTTTTCATGTTTCACATAAAAAGCTATCAGAGTTTTGATTAGGACTGAAATAAGATTACAGATGAAAGTGAGAAGCAGCATTTTTCCGAGGTTCACTTGCTAAGTTATTTTTTAAATAAAAAATGTTGAATTTTTATCAATTTAACCATATTCATTAATTCATTAATATCATAATCTCATTTAATCCGTTATACAGCAAATTACATAAATATTCATATCTAAATCAAATTTCTACCCCTAATCACTAATATGTATTTTATACATATGGACATATTTACTAATTACAACATATGATGTCACCATAATATAGAACATTAATTTTTTTTTTGAGACAGGGTCTCACTCTGTCACCCAGACTGGAGATGCAGTGGCATAATTTCAGTTCACTGCAACCTCTGCCTCCCAGGCTCAAGTGATCCTCCCACCTCAGCCCCCCAAGTAGCTCGGACTACAGGTGCATACCACCACACCAGGCTAATTTTTTGTATTTTTGGTAGAGACAGGGTTTCGCCATGTTGCCCAGGCTGGTCATGAACTCCTGAGCTCAGATGATTCACTAGTCTCGGCCTCCTGAAGTGCTGGGATTACAGGCATGAGCCACCACGTGTGGCCAGGTACATTCTTTATCAAAGTTGTTTGGACTATTCTAAGTCCTCTGTTTTTCATAAAAATTTTAGAAACTTGCCAATTTCTATCCCCCAGAAGCCTGTTAGGATTTTGATTGGAATAGCATCAGCAGATCTATAGGCCAATTTGTGAAAAGTATCTTACCAAGAGTGTCTTCTGATAAATGAAAACAATATATTTTTCCATTTATTTAGGCCTCTTAAAATCACTCTCAGCAATATCTTATAGTTTTTAGTATATAGGTTTTAGGCATCTTTTATCAAAGTTATCCTTAAGTGTCTCTTCTCGTTGGATGCTATTTTAAATGGTATTTTTTTAATCTCAACTTATCTCAATTTCCAATTGTTCATTGCTTATATGTACAAACATGTTGCATACTGATAATGTATGCTGCAACCTCATTAAACTGACTTACAGTTCTAGTAGCTTATTTTGTAGATTCCCTAGGATTTTCCTATCCATGAATAAAGCCAATTTTTACTTCTTCCTTTCCAATCTGGATACCTCTCTCTTTATCATGCCCTTACTGCACTGGCTAGGACCTCCTGTACATAACGTTAAACAGAAGTGGTAAAAATGGGCATTCTTCCTCATTCCCAGTCTTTGGGAGAGAACAATAAGTCTTTTATCATTAATATGTCAATTGTAATATTTTTCAAAGATTATTTTATCCAGTTGAGAAAATTCCTTGCTATTCCTAGTGTGCTGAGAATTTTTACCAGAAATGAATTTTGTCAATCTTTCAAAAATATCTCTTAATCAGGTGGAGCTTGAACACACCAGAAATTTGTCATTGCCATCTCAACCAAAACTGGCATTAGCAATGTAAAAATCCCAAAACATCTTATTGATGCTCACTTCGAGAAGCAGTTGCAGAAGCCCAGACACCAGGAAGGTGAGATCTCTGACACAGAAAAAGAGAACTACAAGACTACAGAGCAGTGCAAGATTGATCAGAAAGCTGTGGACTCACAAATTGTACGAAAAATCAAAGCTATTCCTCAGCTCCAGGGCTACCTGCGATCTGTGTTTGCCCTGACGAATGGAATTTATCCTCACAAATTGGTGTTTTAAACTTCTTAAGAACCTAACTAAATAATACTATACATGTATATATATATGTATATATATATATATATATACACACACACACACACTACATATACACTACATATATCAAGATATCTATCTATATATAGTGAGATAGATATATATCTTGAGATGATAAATGTTGAATTTTTATCAATTTAACCACATTCACTAATATCATAAATGATCTCATTTAATCTGTTATATGGCAAATTACATAAATATTCATATCTAAATCAAATTTCTATCCTTAATATGTATTTTATACATATGGACATATTTACTAATTACAACATATGATGTCACCATAATTTAGAACATTAATTTTTTTTTTTTTTTTGAGACAGGGTCTCACTCTGTCACCCAGACTGGTCTTTTTTTAAGTCCACTGTAATGGCAAAGTATACTGATTGATTTTTCAAATGTTAAACAAATCCCACACTTCTAGGATACACCCCACTTAGTCATGATGCAGTATTCTTTAAATATACTGTTGGATTTGAGTTGCTAAACTTTTATTTAGAAATTTTACATCTATGTTCATAAGGGTTATCAGTCTACAGTTTTCTTGTAAAGTCTTCTTATGGATTGAATATCAGGGTAATGCTGGTTTCATAAGATGACACCATTTTATGGAAGACTGTATCAAATGGGATTTAGTCTTTAATGTTTTATAGAATTCAACAGTGAAGCAACTCAGACCAGAATTATTATTGCAGGGTTTTCCACTACAAGTTCAATTCTCTAATAAGTATAAGGCAAGCAGTCACCTATTTCTTCTTGAGTGAGTTTTGTAGCTTGTGTCTTTTAAAGAGTTTTTCCATTTCATCTGAGTTCTCCATTTACTGACATAAAGTTGTTCATAATATTGCCATATCATCCTTTCAATGTCTGTACTGAAGTCACCTTTCATTCCTAATAATGGTAATTAGTATGTTCTCTTTATTCCTCAGTCTGGCTACAAGTATCAATTTTATTGATTTTTTTTCTTTATATTGTTAATTTATAGGTATATTAAGTGGGCTAAGAAAACAGAAATGACAAGTTTTATTCTTTCCCTTGGTACTACCCACAACAGCTAGGCACAGTACCTCTGCACAGCCAGCAGTATTTTTTGACAAACCAAAGGATAAGCAGGTGATAAAAGTAAAGGCCACTGGGGTCTACAACAAGGAGGCAGAATTAAAATTTCAGAAATTGTACAAGGCAGAAAAAGCATGAGGACTTGGCAGTCCCCTACAACTCACTTAGTATCTTTATGACCTTGGAGAACAAGTCACTAAGCACTCAATTAGCTCATTTCTAAAATGGAGAATGAAGCCTCCTTATCATATAAGGTTGAAGGTTTAAATGATAGAACCTTCATAGAGAGCTATGCATAACAGTGTCCAATAATGTTACCCATCTTTTTTTCAGCAATGGATTGAACCATTACAAAAAAATTTTTAAGTCTGTTACAATGACAAAAAAAAAGTATTAAATGCTGAGATTTTATGCATTGAGAAGACTAATTTTTTATATATTAACTATATAATAAAAACACACAAAAAACTGTGCTAAAGAATATAAAAAGAAACAAGTCTTCCATCATACCCAGTGTTGCAGTGACAAGTGACTACTTTTAAACATTTATGTTTATTTTTAGTGGTTACACTCAATCATTCTAAATAAAATGCTTATACCTCAATTTCATAACTTACTTTTTTTTACCCTCAGTTTCCACCTATCTTTTTGCAAAACATACTAAAGGATTTCAACTTTTCCAGTTTTTATATTTTTTCTTTGTCCATTTTTGGTATCGGCAACATGTTTACCTCTAAGAACTCTTTCCTGTTTCTACTCCTTTTACATATCAGTTGTTAACAAAAATATCACCCCTCCTTTTTCTTTTTCTTTTTTTTGATACGGAGTCTCGCTTTGTCGCCCAGGCTGGAGTGCAGTGGCACAATCTCGGCTCACTGCAAGCTCTGCCTCCCGGGTTCACACCATTCTCCTGCCTCAGCCTCCGGAGTAGCTGGGACTACAGGTGCCCGCCACCACGCCTGGCTAATTTTTTTTTTTTTGTATTTTTAGTAGAGACGGGGTTTCACCGTGTTAGCCAGGACAGTCTCGATCTCCTGACCTCGTGATCTGCCCGCCTCAGCCGTCCAAAGTGCTGGGATTACAGGCCTGCGCCACCGTGCCCAGCCATCCCTCCTTTTTCATCCTTCCCTAACAGCACAAGAAAACTGATGGCTCCTAGATAGGGAATAGCAAGCTTTGCTTTTTATAATGAACTGTACCAGTAAGAAAACAAAAAAATACTTTAATAATTGGCTATCGGAGTTTAATTATAGTCAAGGATAGGGCACAGGATGAAGACAATAATCAAAAAGCAGTAAAGCCTAAGAGGTAAGCACTATTCCTGCTTATGTGGGCTTCCGTATTTTATTTTTGTTGCTTTGAAATGGAAATGCTTGTCTTAAGCATAAGAAGGGAGTAAACTCAGTAAGGAGATATGGGTAGAACTAAACTAATAAATCTACACTATGCTTCATTTTAAACCTTTAAAATCTTATTTACACAAAGATCATTTAGGTATTTAAATACACTATATCTCACTTAAATGCTAAAATAGAAATAAGAATACCCTGGCACTGGTCACAAAACAGGAGAGGCCAGAAAGAGATCCAGTCATTAATATATTTTAATTTATTATATTACAGGTGACATTTTAATTCAGTAGGAAAAGTATATTTCTCAATAAGTGATAGTACAACGGCTAGGCATTTGGGGGAAATATGATTCCCTACTACAAATCCCACATCAAATAAATTCAGCTATATTAACAACTTATTTTTTTTAAGTCCAAAAAAGTACTAGAAGAAATATAATTAAATATTTTTATAATCTCAAGGTAGAGAAAGACTTTCTAAACAAGACTTTAAAGACAGAAACCAAGCCCTTTGGGAGGCCGAGGTGGGCCGATCATAAAGTCAGGTGTTCGAGACCAGCCTGGCCAATATGGTGAAACCCCGTCTCTACTAAAAATAGAAAAATTAGCCAGGTGTGGTGGTGCATGCCTGTAGTCCCAGCTACTTGGGAGGCTGAGGCAGAAGAATTGCTTGAACCCAAGAGGTGGAGGTTGCAGTGAGCCGAGATCGTGCCACTGCACTCCAGCCTGGGCAACAGAGTGAGACTCTGTCTCAAAAAAAGAAAAAAGAAAAAAAAAAAAAAAGACAGAAACCATAAAAAGAAAAGACTGCCAAGTTTAACTATCACTGCTTTTTCACTGGGGGCGGGTGGGCAGTGGGGGAGGGAACCTTGAACAAAACGAAAATGTAAATTACAAAATTATAACCTAGAAAATATAAAGCTTCTGCAAACTAAAGGAAAAAAACACACTCCAATAAAAGTTAGCAAAGAATTCAAAAAGGCAATTTACAGAAAAAAAGTTTATGATAAATGGTCAATAAATCTATCATAGAAGAAATACAAATCTAAAACAAAATATCAATTTCTGCCTATCCATATGACAGTTTTAAAAGTTGTAAAATATTCAGTGTTAGAACAGAAAACTAATTGGGTACAGTGGCTCATGCCTATTATAATCCTAGCACTTTGGGAGGCTAAGGCAGGAAGATTGCCTGAGCTCAGGAGTTCAAGACCAGCCTACGCAACATGGTGAAACCCCGTCTCTACTAAAATATAAAAAAATTAGCTGGACACCTATAATCCCAGCTACTCAGGAGGCTGGGGCAGGAAAATCATTTGAACCCAGGAGGTGGAGGTTGCAGTGAGCTGAGACCATGCCACTGCACTCCAGCCTGGGCAACAGAGCAAGAGAACAGAAAACTGGCACCATCCAGTATCTGACTACTGGCATACGTCTGAAGTTGGCACAAGTCTAGTGACATCTACAAATGTTTAACATGTACACACTGTCACAGCAATTCCACTTTTAATAGCCTGTCTTGAACATGGATGTTCATCACCGTACAGCTTATAATAAAGAAAACCCAAAAAGGCTAACTATCCAACCAAAGGGATTATAACAACATGAAGCCATTAAAACTAACATTATAAAATTAGATCTACAATTGTTGATGTGGAAAGCAGAACATGACGTTATGATGGAACATACACTGAAATATTAATCATCATCTCTGATTGAAATGAACACAGAGCAACAGGAAGTGTAAACATAAATTGCCAAGAAAAGGAGTATTAATCCCCTGATAAACTAAGAAACCTGTTTCAATTATACGGTAAAATCATTTCAATACATTTGAACAAAATACAAAGATATAACAGAAACGAAAAAATCAATAATGAAATAATATGTAACTTGGGTCTACATCTACATCATATTTTATCCTCTCCCACCAAAAAAAAACCCAATTTTCAACACAGTACATGATGTTCAGCTTTACCACAATCCTACTTTGTCCCCAAATCTCCAACCATGAGCAGAGGGTCTTTTTGCAAACTTCTCCTTTTAGAAAACATGATGCATTATATGGATCATCTATAGTCTTTCCAAGGAACGTACGTGTGTCTACCTGTGTGTGTGTGCACATGCGCACAATCCAGAAAATGGAAGAAACTCAAAGATCAAGGGCATTCTAGAAAACCAAGTAACAGTATGATTTAAATTTAGCACAAAAAAGCAATTCTCAGAGAACAATTCAACTTAAAAAAGGTGTGTGTTTGTGTGCATCTCAGATAGCCAGTCAGAAAGAGCATGTAAGGATAATAAGAAGTCTCAAAGCTCTTATTGGATAATTGATCGGGATTAAGGTAGGTTGTATTATTCTAAAATAACCATACTTTTCCAAAAACTGATATGGCACAGTTTTAACTCTCAATTAATACTCACTGTATTCTAGCTTCTTTCTCTTCTTTTTCTCTTTCAATTGTTCCTCCTCCTCCCTGATTCCTTCTTCCTCCTCCCTTGCCTCCTCTCCCAGAGTATCATAAAATACTGGATCTCGATGAGCAGCCTTCCTCTGAAAATGCTTAGTTTTGGATCCTCCTTTAACAAGTACAACTTTTCTTTTCAAACAAGTACAACCAAACATGCAGTCTGGTCGGCGGCAGTGAGCAGGTTGGCGCTTCTCCAAAGCTAGACTGGAACATACACAACCCAGTCGACAGAAGTCATTGTTGCAGGGAGGGGCTCGTTTCCTTATGATTGTGTGGATAGGTTTAGTTTTGAGGGATGCCTAAAGTCAAAGGAGAAAATTGTAATTCCACTAAACCATCCCCCTACACCACCACCAACTTATGGTCATATACTGGACTGCATTACTCTCTGATTTTAAGTACTAACAGCACAGGACTAATGCAGATTCAAAGGACAGAACATGAATCTAACCAGGGCTCTAAACAATCTGCCATTCTAATGCTTAGTACAGACAATTATGGGCAAAACTATCAAGGATGGATTTATTTTCAATATAAATTATACATAATGTTCTAACGCAAAGATTAACAAAGGTTGAGACCCATGGGCCAAATCCAGCCTGTGTCATAAAGTTTCACTGGAACGCAACCAGGCTAATTCATACACATACCGTCTGAAGAACTACAACAGCAGAGTTCAGTAACTCCTATAGAGAGTGTATGGTCTGCAAAGCCTTAAATATTTACTATTTGGCCCTTTACAGAAAAAGTTTGCTGGTCCCTATTGTAGGGTAATTAATAAAAAAAGAATAGGACAATACATAAATAAAAGTCTTTATGAAGGATTAATAACGAATAAAATAATCTGCATTTAGTTCCAACATCTGATGATCTTCAGTTCCAGAATTCAGTCATAGAATTACAAAATGGAAAGTAAAAAAAGTAATGATGAAGGCCAGGCGCAGTGGCTCATGCTTGTAATCCTAGCACTTTGGGAGGCCGAGGCAGGCAGATAGCTTGAGCCCAGGAGTTTGAGACCAGCCTGGATAACATGGCAAAACCCCATTTGTATTTTTAATATAATACAAAAAATTAGCCAGGCGTGGTAGTGCACACCTACAGGCCCCAGCTACTCAGGAGGCTAAGGTGGGAGGACCACAGTGAGCTGTGATCACGCCACTAAACTCCAGCCTGGGCAACAAGAGTGAGACATTGTCTCAAAAACAAATAAATAAATAAATAAATGTGCTGTGGCATCATTTCACATGCACCAGAGGCTGCTAAGATAGGTACATCATCAATAGATCAAAAATTCCTTCCTGCAACCCTTGCCATAAAACTTCTAAAATATAAAAATAAAAATAAATAAGTGAAAAATTATTAATACAAAATTTCACAAAAGATAAAGGTTTCTCTCCAGAGGTTTTTAATTTTCAATTTCCTGGGATTTAGTATCTTTTAAAAGCATAATTTTCAGGCCGGGCGTGGTGACTCATGCCTGTAATCCCAGCATTTTGTGAGGTGAGACAGGTGGATCACCTAAGGTCAGGAGCTCGAGACCAGTCTAACTAACATGGCGAAAACGTGTCTCTACTAAAAATACAAAAATTAGCCAGGTGCAGTGGTATGTGCCTATAGTCCCAGCTACTCGAAAGGCTGAGGCAGGAGAATAGCTTGAACCCAGGAGGCGGAGGTTGCAGTGAGCTGAGATCCTGCCACTGCACTCCAGCCTGGGCAACAGAGCGAGACTCCATCTCAAAAAATAAAAAATAAAAGCACAATTTTCAAAGTTGTTTTAACAAGATCAGCCAATGTACTTGCCCATATGTTGGAAAATGAAATCAGAGATTTTCAGAATGGTCAGTTGCCTTTATACAGGAGAGAGAGGTTATTCAAAAGTGCAATTGTACTCTCTCTCTCTGATGGCAGGAGAAATCTACACCTGAGTATCTAGTTGGTAAAGAACAAATGGGGAAGACATAGCCTTAGTTCCCATGAAGGTTCTAAATGCTAAAAACTAGCTGATCACCCTGCCAAAAAGTACCATTCCCATTTCCCCTCACTAACCTCGCTCTTTCTAGCCAAGCACTAATATACCTCCAGAAAACAGCAGCTACTTACTTGAGCTGTAAGTAGAGTTGTTAAGGATACATCTGCTCGCTCTTCTGTGATGTATGTCCTTGGTTTTCCTTCCCAAAGTGCACAGTCTTCCAGGTCCATTAGCTTCACCTGAGATTTAGACAAGCCTGGAGGGCGACTTCCCTGTTGCTGTTGCTGCTGCTGCTGTGCCTGCCGCAAACTAATCTGCTTTGGAAATATATTTTCATCCAAAGTTGGCACAACAAAGTTATTCGCCTGATTTTCTGAGATGATGCCTGAAGAATTCTTGGTAACCTTATCTCCTAGAATCACATGAGAGTATTTCTGCTTTGGTGAAACAGGGTATGGTAAAATGGATTTATAAGATGATTTAGTTCGGCCACTGAAAGTTGCCTGTCTGTTTTGAGACTTTGCCTTTCGAGAGACAGGGGGTACAGAATGAGGTTTCAAAGAATAAGAGGTAGAAGGGGAAATAGTAGATTGCTTCTTTAGTACACTATCAAGTGTTCGTACATAACTGGTACTCTTAGTGGGAAGCTGGTACACCACAGGAGATGTGGGAGCATTAGAAGAAAAACCCATGCTTGTTTCCATCAGCTTGCCTTCATTTTCCAAGTATTCATCTAGCTTATCACTACAGAAAGCAGAACGATTTTTCAGTGAACTTTCTGAATTTCCACCTAGAAATAAGAAAACATAAAATGCTTAAAGAAATCTAGGACAGATTTATGAATCTCCATAAAAACACTAAAAATGGCCAAGAATATTGAGCTACAAGATAGTGAATCTTCTAAACTATCCCTTAGCTGGGCACAGTGACTCCCACCTGTAATCCCAGTACTTTGACAGGAAGAAGCAAAACGATCGCTACAGGCTAGGAGTTCAAGACCAGCCTAAGTAACGTAACAAGGACCCTGTCCCTAAAAACATAAATAAATTTTTTAAAATAAATACTTAATAAACAAACTATCCCTCCTCAGAAAGAAAAAATAAATAAAACCAAGTGAAGAGAATGAGTCTCAGATATTAATGACATTAAAATCCATTCTCTAGTCTTGGGCACTAAAAACATTAAAATCCATTCTCTAAAATTATGTCTTACTCTAAAACTATCACATTATATTATTTATTGAGGCACTAATTCTTACAAAGTGCTAACAATGTATTTAACCTAAGAATCTTCAATCTTTGACAATCTTTGACCTGATTAAAGAGACCAAAGATAAGTAAAAACGTAACAGGGAGCCTGTGCACAGTGGCTCACTCCTGCAATCCCAGCGCTTTGGGAGGCTGAGGCAGGCAGATCACCTGAGGTCGGGAGTTCGAGACCAGCCTGACCAACATGGAGAAAACCCGTCTCTACTAAAAATACAAAATTAGCTGAGCATGGTGGCACATGCCTGCAATGCAATCCCCAGATACTCAGGAGGCTGAAGCAGGAGAATTGCTTGAACCCGAGACGGGGAGGTTGCGGTGAGCCGAGATCACGCCACTGCACTCCAGCTGGGCAACAAGACCAAAACTCCATCTCAAAAAAAAAGAAAAGAAAAGAAAAACACATAACAGGGGAAAAAAAAAAAAAAAGAAATTAAAGCAGGCCTCAACAGAATGCCAAAAGATTATTTATGAGAGTGAGACTGAGCACGGGGGTTCATGCCTGTAATCCCGGCACTTAGTGAGGCCAAGGCAGGTGGATTTCTTGAGCTCAGGAGTTCAAGACCAGGCTGGGCAACATCACAAACCCCAGCTCTACAAAAACTTAGCCAGGCATGGTGGCGCACACCTGTGGTCACAGCTATTCTGGAGGCTGAGCAGGGAGAATCACTTGAGCCCAGGAGGTCAAGGCTGCAGTGAGCTGAGATTGGACCACTGCACTCCAACCTGGGCAATGGAGCAAGACCCCGTCTTTAAAAAGCGAGGGAGAAAGACTGGAATGCCTGGAGTGTGATACAAAACATTAGAGAAAAAGGAAGACCACAAGAAGAGGCGTGTAAAATTTACTTGGGTTTTTGTTTGTTTGTTTGAGACAGGGTCTCGCTCTGTCACTCCGGCTGGAGTGCAGTGGTGTGATCTTGGCTCACTGCAGCCTCAACCTCCCTGGGCTCAAGTGATCCTCCCACCTCAGCCCCGCAAGTAGCTCGGACTACAGGAATGCGCCACCACATCTGGCTGTTTTTGCATTTTTTTGTAGAGAGGGGTTTTCACCATGTTGCCCAGGCTGGTCTCGAATTCCTGAGCTCAGGCAATCCGCTTGCTTCGGCCTCCCAAAGTGCTGGTAGATTACAGGCATGAGCCACCATGCCCAACCACAAAATTTAGTTTTTAAGAAACAAAAAAATTAAGTACAGAGACATGAATTACATTGTTATAAATACTGTGAAAAGATCAAAAGGTGAGAAAAGTATTTTGGAAAACTGGCATATTTATCTGGTTAAATTGCAAACGAATGCAGTGAACAAGGAAAAGCACTAAGAACGGAGACCAAGAGGGATACAGTCAAAATGCTTGGATTAGTTTAGTTTGAAGTATAAGACTATAGGAAATCACTATAAAACTCTGAAGTATACAGTTCTAAACTAATGCTTGAGAATGTTTTTTGTAACTGCAGAAACAGAAATAACAGAAATGCTGTTAAAAAGGCTGCAGCAATTATTTAAGCCTGACTGAACCTCAGGGTTGTGACTACAGGAAAATGGGTAGCAGACAGAAAACAGCAAGACAAGTATTTTCAGTTCATTTTAAACCATGGAAGGCTTGGGCGCGGCAGCTCACGCCTGTAATCCCAGCACTTTGGGAGGCCGAGGCGGACGGATCACCTGAGGTCAGGAGTTCCAGACCAGCCTGGCCAACATGGTGAAGCCCTGTATCTACTAAAAATACAAAAAATTAGCCAGCCGTGGTGGCACATGCCTATAGTCCCAGCTGTTTGGGAGGCTGAGGCAGAAGAATCTCTTGAACCTGGGAGGTGGAGGTTGCAGTGAGTCAAGATCACACCATCGCACTCCAGCCTGGGCAACAAGAGCAAAACTCAGTCTCAACAACAACAACAACAAAAAACCCATGGCGAGAAGGAATGAAGAAAAACAACCAAGACTTACTTTTAACAAAAGGTTTCTGGCTACATGTTTCAGAACATTTAAAAAATTTTAAAAAACTAATTACCTTCATTCCTAGATGCAGAAGCACTATGAAATTTTCCCCTCCATCCCTTGATCTTAGTGAAATCATTGGTTTTCCCTGTCCTAGAAACAAAGGGAAATCCCGCATCTATAAAAGAAAAAGTCAAACAGATGACCAAAATTCTAGCAGGCCAATATTATGGACCTAGTTAATTAATAAAACTTTAATTTGGTAAGTGTATAAATCACTTATCAAAACTATAACAACAGACAAAAGATCTATCTTAGACTAATGTTAAATGTCACCAATAAAGGTAGCTTTTTACTTACGTTACAAATAACGTAAACTTCAAGAAAAATAGTGTTTGACTTTACAAATGTTACATACTCACCAGGAGAGGCAGGGTTGGTTCCTGTAAGGTTCCAAAAAGGAAAGCTAGTAGCTGGAGCCAAAGGTAACTGTACTCCCAAGTATTTAAGATCAATGCTCATTGTTGGATCCACTGAATTCAATTTTAAGCCCACTAAAAGAAAAAAGGAAATCATATTTCCATAGATTAATCAGAAATCATATTATCTCCCTTCTTTGTTTTTAACTTGTGCCTGGGAGATGGCGGGGGGGTAAGGTCGAGAGAGAAAGGAGATAGTGAAGAGCAAAAACAATGAAAAAAACAAACTGTAGCAGATTCAATTTAAGGTGGCCCCATGATCCATGACATCTGGTATTACACATTTGTATAACTCCCCTCACCCCGACTATGGTAGGCAGGGCCTGTAATTTGTTTCTTATCAATAAAATGTGGTAAGGGAGATGGGACGTGCATGATAATGTGCATGTGATAACACAAGTTATCCATCTTGCTGGAGCTGCAATGAAATAAATTTTGCCAATGAGCTGAGGGAAACTGGAAGCAGATCCCTCTCCAACCAAGTCTCTGAGAAACCAGGCCTGGCCAATATTTTGACTGTAGCCTTGTGAGACCCTAAGCAGAGGACCCAACTAAGCTATGCCCAGACTGCTGACACATAGAAACTGTGATACAGTAAATATATCGTTTTAAGTTGCTAAGTTTGTGATAATTTATTAAGCAAGGTAACTAATTAAAAAAGAGCAAAATTCAGATCTCTTGTGCTTTAACTCTTTGTGGTCCAGAGACTGTCTAAGGCCTCTATTACAAACTCACCATAGACTAAGCTGCTGGCCTGATTATGGCTACTGGTTCTCTAGTCCTTATTAATGACATTTATGGTTAATCAAGCCTAAAAATATTATGACTTCCTTATTTATAGGTTAAGAGGCAATATTTTGGGAAGGTATTTAACTTAAATTTTAATAAAACTGAAGCCAAAAGAAGTTCAAAGTGAAGCGTTAATTATTGGCCGGAGCTGGTGGCTCACACTTGCAATCCCAGCACTTTGAGAGGCCAAGGCAGACAGATCACTTGAGGTCAGGAGTTCGAGACCAGCCTGGCCAACATGGTGAAACCTCATCTCTACTACAAGTACAAAATTAGCCAGGTGTGGTGGCATGTGCCTGTAGCTACTCAGGAGGCTGAGGCAGGAGAATCACTTGAACCTGGGAGACAGAGATTGCAAGGAGCCGAGATGATGCCACTGCGCTCCAGCCTGGGAGACAGAGTAAGACTCTATCTCAAAAAAAAAAAAAGGGAAAAAAAAAAAGCTAAGTGTTAAGTATCATAGTAAAGCCATTAAAAGTCACAGGCGTAAGTTTCCAGTAAAAAGCTCACGTAGTGCTGGTTCTCTAACAGGTAAAGACATTAGGTAGGTTATGAACCCCATGTATCCTATACATAAAATCTATCTGAACAAAAGATGGCAAGCCAGGCACTGTGGCGTGCACCTGTAGGCCCAACTACTTGGAAAGCTGAGGTGGGAAGACCACATCTCTTAAAAAAAAAAAAAAAGACAGCTATTTTGTTTTAGTTTGCAATTCCAGTTCTTTAACATATCTTTATTGTATTACATATTTATTTATTCATTTTTTTTTTTTTTTTGAGATGGAGTCTCACTCTGTTGCCCAGACTAGAGTGCAATGGTGTAATCTCGGCTCACTGCAACCTCCGCCTTCCTGGTTCAAACGATTCTCCTGCCTCAGCCTCCCAAGTAGCTGGGATTACAGGCGTGTGCCACCAGGCCCGGCTAATTTTTGTATTTTTAGTAGAGACGGGGTTTCACCATATTGGTCAGGCTGCTCTCGAAATCCTGACCTCGTAATCCGCCCGCCTCGGCCTCCCAAAGTGCTGGGATTACAGGCCTGAGCCACCGCACCTGGCCTGTATTACATATTTATTGTATTTAATCACACAGTATGATTAAAACATCAATCAAATAAAACAGCCTTTCCTCATGTTCCCAATCAACTACGGGAAATATAGGATAATGAGTCAAAACAATGATTTCTAATCTTGCCTTTACTACTTTTTAATTGTATGACTTGGGCTAAACTTCTCTTTAGTTTTCTCAACAGTAAAATGAACACCAATCCACCACATTCAGTTGTATGCTTTGAGAATCTACTGCACTTTCTCTGTAAAGCAGGTGATCTCAGAGAGATAAAAGACATTTTGCAGGCCTGGCATTTCAGCTCACACCTGTAATCCCTGCACTTTGGGAGGCCAAAGAGGAAGGACTGGTTGAGCCCGAAAGTTCAAGATGAGTCTGGGCAACAGGTTAAGACCCCATTTCTACAAAAAATTTAAAAATTAGCTGGGTGTAATGGCACGTGCCTGTGATCCCAGCTACTCAGAAGACTGAGGTGGGAGGACTGCTTGAGCCCAGGAGGTTGAGGGTACTGCAAGCCATGATCGTGCCACTGCATTCCATCCAGCCTAGGCAAAAAAGCAAAATCCTGTCTTGAAAAAAAAAAAGACCTCAAGAAGCTTTAGTGTTATGTTTTCCCAACTGACTTTCAGTAGGTAGCATAGGGTAAATAAGTCCCTACGAGAGGTAAACAAAAAGAAATCTGAGGCCGGACATGGTGGCTCACAGCTGTAATCCCAGCACTTTGGGAGGTTGAGGTGGGCAGATCACCTGAGGTCATGCAAGAAAATCCTTCCCCAAGTAACAGACAACTGAGACCTAGACTCAGCTGATTTCATATGAAATGGGCATAAAAACTTTAGCTTGCAGAAAATAATTTGGCTGAATAATTCATAGAAAGCATATTGTGAAAAACCTATTATCTTTTTATATTTTTATTCAACCAGAGCCTACTTAGAACCTAAAATCTTGTCTACATGTCAGTTTAAACTATATTTCTAAATCGTTTTGCTTCATTTCACCATATTAGAAGCTACTTCTTAAAAATGTGTTATAATGTCATTACAAAAAAAGACTCATAAAGATAAAGCTGAAAAGAGATAACCTTTAGATTCAAGCAAAGACAGATTCACCTACAATAAGATATAGCCAAAAATGCCAACTGCTAGCTAAAACCACTGAAATACAAAAGTACACTCAAGATGTTTATAGTTCTATAAACACCTATATAAGTAGTAAACACAGAATAGAAAAGCACATATTATAAGGAAAACTCCAGCTAATCACCAATTTTTTTTGTTTTGTTTTGTTTTTGAGACGGAGTCTTGCTCTGTCACCCAGGCTGGAGTGCAGTGGCACGATCTCCACTCACTGCAAGCTCCGCCTCCCAGGTTCAAGCCATTCTCCTGCTTCAGCCTCCCCAGCAGCTGGGACTACAGGTGCCCACCACCACTCTTGGCTAATTTTTTGTATTTTTAGTAGAGACAGGGTTTCACCGTGTTACCAGGATGGTCTCGATCTCCTGACCTTGTGATCCACCCGCCTTGGCCTCCCAAAGTGCTGGGATTACAGGCGTGAGCCACCGCGCCTGGCCGCTAATCACTAATTTAATGTAACATTCAGAATTTTTTTTTTTTTACTGCAGGGCACCATGGCTCACACTTGTAATTCCAGCTACTTGGGAGGATGGGCTGAAGCCAGGAGTTTGAGACAAGCCTAGGCAAAACTGGGAGACCCCATCTCTAAAAAAAAATATTTTAAGGAAAAATAAAGCATTTTTATTAAATTACTAAAAAAGGAAGAGGAAGACAGTTCTTGAAATATTGTCATTACTCATAAAGGAAATTAACATTAAAACCGGCCAGACATAATGGCTCATGCCTATAATCCCACCACTTCAGGAGGCCAAGGCGGGCAGACCTCTTGAGCTGAAGAGTTCGAGACCAGGCTGGGCAACATGGCAAAACCCCATCTCTACAAAAAAATACCAAAAAAAATTAGCCAGGTGTGGTGGCATGTGCTTGTAGTCCCAGCTACTTGGGGGGCTGACATGTGATCACTGGGGCTCAGGAGGTCGAGACTGCAGTGAGCCATGTTCACATCACTGCACTATAGCCTAGGCTGGGTGACAAAGCGAGACCCTGTCTCAAAAACAACAACCAAAAACCAAAACAAAACATTAAAACTGACAAGAGTCCACACTGATAAGTGAATTTTTTATTTTTATTTTTTGAGACAGTCTCGCTCTGTTGCCCAGGCTGGAGTGCAGTGGCAGGATCTCCACTCACTGCAACCTCCATCTCCCAGTTTCAAGCAATTCTCCTGCCTCAGCCTCCAGAGTAACTGGGATTACAGGCACGCACCACCACACCCAGTAAATTTTGTATTTTTAGTAGAGATGGAGTTTCATCTAAGTGAATTTTTTAAAAAGAAGAATAGATAAATCTCTGGTGCAAAATAACTACAAATAACTTATATAGATAGGCTACACTCAAGGAGGTACAATATAACTTCTTGCACATTAAGTGTGAGCTAAGCATAATGACTTCCTTCCAAAGAGTACAATATGGAGAGAAAGGGAGGGTGGGGAGTGGGGGGGGGGGTAACTTCACAATGAATAAACTGACAATATCTTAGCCAGGTGATCAAGGTCAACATCAATAGTGATAAATCATGTTAATGTATGTACTCTTGATATGATGAGATGATAAGTCTCAACTGAGGGACATCTATAAAAATACCTGACTCTTCAAAACTGTCAAGGTCATTAAACACAAAATCTGAGAAACTGTCACAACCAGGAAGATCCTAAGGAGACATCACTACTAAAAGTCTTGTGGTATCCTGAATGGGATCCTAGATGCAAAAAAAAGGACATTGGGTAAAAACTAAGGAAATCTGAATAAAGTATGAACTTTAAATAGTAATATATCAGTACTGGTTCACTAACTGTAACAAATGTACCAATCTTATGTTAGATATTAATAGGAGAAATTCTGGATACTGAGAGAATTAGGAATGGGGGGAAAAAAAATAGGTATTCTCTGCACTGTGTTCTTAATTTTTCTATAAATCTAAAACTCTTCCAAAACATAAAGCTTTAATAAAAAACTGACAATAATTGACTTGGTAGCAATGAAGGAGAAATGCTTTAAACACACTTTTAAAATGCAAAGACAGACGATAATTTCAGATAAGCTAACAGACTTAAAAAGCAGACCAATGTAGATACAGTAAATATAGCAAACAAAAATATAGTACCACGGAAAGAAAAATTAAGAATCTTATTTTATTTTTAAGTAAAACTACCAACAACAATATAACATTTTCCCAGGCTTAATCAACACTGCTTTCCCAATTTTAAAGCAAATTCAAAAAGCTTTTCTAGTTTTTCAAGGGTTTTCAGCTCAGAAGAAGTTTAACTGCTATTTTCTAATTAATGAAATTATAGTTAATAGCAGGACAAGGAAATATGACATTAAGTTGAAATTCAACAAATTATTTCAAGAATCAAATTTTAGAGATGAACCTGGAATACTTTCATTCTCTTCAGAGCCCTGGGATTGGCATCACCCAGTTAATACAAATATTTAGCCAAATTAACTTACTCTTCAGAAACTGTTTAAGTCCAGCTTTTTTTTTTTTTTTTGAGACAATGTCTCACTGTGTCGCCCAGGCTGGAGTGTGGTGGCGCGATCTCGGCTCACTGCAAGCTCCGCCTCCCGGGTTTTCAAGCAATTCTCCTGCCTCAGCCTCCCAAGTAGCTGGGATTGCAGGTGCTCACCACCACACCTGGCTAATTTTTTGTATTTTTAGTAGAGACGGAGTTTCGCCACGTTGGCCAGGCTAGTCTCGAACTCCCAACCTCAAGTGATCCACCCGCCTTGGCCTCTCAAAGTGCTGGGATTACAGACTTGAGCCACCGAGCCTGGCCCAAGTATGGCTTTTTAAAGGAAGCCAAGGTTGGGGAGAAAAATATGCTAAAATAAAATAGAGGAAAAAAAACCCAAAACAGGACTCCACTTCACACATTGAAAAGTAAGTACCAGACAGATTACAGATTTAATTGTTTTTCAAAAAAACAAAACTGTGTCAGCATGTAGTTGAATAAATTTTAAAAACCTTAGGATTAAATACAAACTTGCACCAAATGTAGAATCTATAAAGAAGGTGAAAAGTAATAGCTCAGACACCTTTTGTTTGGCTGTGTTTTTAAAGCTTTGAGTTAGGTGCCCAAAAAACTATTAGCTGCCACCACTTCAGAGACATCACATAGCCACTCCAGCTTCTACTGAACTATGAGCAGACCTGAGAATTTTGGGCCCATTTTTCCATATGACAACAATCCACTGATGCAGCTGTCCCTTTAGAAGAAGTGCCTGTACTCTACCCGACCAGAGTCCAACTCTACCCCCCAAATTCAGGCTAATTTCACTATATATGTTACCTAGTCAGTTTCCATAAACACTGGCCTTTGAACACCCCATTCCATTAAGGAAACGATTACAAATTTGACTAAGATGTCTATAAAAGAAAGAAAAACAGTCAAAGCTTAGCCAACCAGCAAATACTAGGCAAATAAACCAGAGCAAAAGGACCAGCTGCAAGCACTGAATATATTTAACTCTAGAACTAAGATTTTTAAAATGTGGGAGATTAAGTTAAAAGAACACAATATAAATGTCATAATATTTCTACATTATCAAGAAAATAACAAAAAAAATGGAAGTGGAAAAGGGAGAAGACAGGTTAAGTTAAAGATAGGGAGAAATGAAGAAAGGAAAAGGGGAGAAAAAAAGATAGGGAGAAATAAGATAATATTATTTAAATAAAATAGCAGAAGCTAAAGCTGACAATAAACAGCAGCAAACGTTATCTGCAAGATTGCTATGATGTGACTGTCTATTACAATCCACAGCAATCAGCCCACATTGATTGACTGAGACTGGGATCTGCACACTTTTAAGATCGCACTGTCACACAAGCTGCCTTCCATTAAAGCAAAAATTCTTCAAGTATTACCATTTGATTTAGAAACGGAATGACCAGCATATAAATCTTTTGTTTGATAACTTATAATGTTTAGACTCTCAGGTAAATGAACTACTTATAGTGTAAATAGTCTAGACACCCTTCTGAAAATTAATGAGTCAAAAATTCAAAAAACTACTCCAAGATGCCTATCTAAAATCAAAGATAGTCGTAAGAAACTAAAAATTGGGGCACAGCCTAAAATTTTTCATTACACCCCAAAACAGGAAAATTGGTAGTGATCATGATGTTAATAACCATAGTAGATATGTTTTTTTAAAGATTAAGCAACATAATCAAGGTCAAGATAATGCATTACAATAAAATAAAGATAAAAATGAAAACTGCAGCCATAAAAAAGAATGAGTTCATGCCCTTTGCAGGGACATGGATGAAGCTGGAAGCCATTATTCTAAGCAAACTAACATAGGAACAGAAAACCAAACACTGCATGTTTTCACTCGTAAGTGGGAGATGAACAATGAGAACACATGGATGCAAGGAGGGGAACATCACACACCAGAGCCTGTTGGTGGGGAGGGAGAGCATTAGGACAAACACCTAATGCATGCAGGGCTTAAAACCTAGATGACAGGGCCGGGCGCGGTGGCTCACGCCTGTAATCTCAGCACTTTGGGAGGCCGAGGCGGGCAGATCATGAGGTCAGGAGATCGAGACCATCCTGGTTAACACAGTGAAACCCCGTCTCTACTAAAAATACAAAAAAAATTAGCCGGGCATGGTAGCAGGCGCCTGTAGTCCCAGCTACTTGGGAGGCTGAGGCAGGAGAGTGGTGTGAACCCAGGAGGCAGAGCTTGCAGTGAGCTGAGATCGTGCCACTGCACTCCAGCCTGGGCGAGAGCGAGACTGCGCATCAAAAAAAAAAAAAAAAAAAAAAACCTCGATGACAGGTTGATAGGTACAGGAAACCACCATAGCACATGTATAACTATGTAACCTGCACATTCTGTACACGTATCCCAGAACTCAAAGTAAAATTTTAAAAAAAAAAGATAATGAAAATTTTAAATTAACTTCCCAGTGGTACATCAAATATATAAAATAGATGTTTGCAGCCAAAACATGAGACAGAAAAGTATTCTACTGTTTACACACCTAAATATACTACTAAAGGACAAGGAAGACCCTTCCTCCAAAATTATAAAAACAAACACATAATTGGGAGGCCGAGGCGGGCGGATCACAAGGTCAGGAGATCAAGACCATCCTGGCTAACACGGTGAAACCGTCTCTACTAAAAATACAAAAAAATTAGCCAGGCGCGGTGGCAGGCGCCTGTGGTCCCAGCTACTTGGGAGGCTGAGGCAGGAGAATGGCATGAACCCAGGAGGCGGAGCTTGCAGTGAGCAGAGATTGCACCACTGCACTCCAGCCGCCTGGGCGACAGAGCGAAACTCCGTCTCAAACAAACACACACACACACACATAAACAAAAGCAACCAAATTAAGATGAGAAACGGGAAGGGGAGAATACCAGGTTATAAGAATGAACAAAGAAAATATCACTTGCTTTACCATGATACATTTTTTTCTTACATAAGATATTAGACATGGTTTTTAAACTAAAGGGAAGAATTATGGAGACAGAGAAGAGAAAAATATGCAAACTGAAAGACGTGCTGAAAGAAATGAAATCAAGGCTAGAAAGAAAGAGGAAAAAACAGAAAAAAAGAGATGAGAAAGAGAGAGGAAAAAGAGGAGAAACAGTAGGGAAGAAAGAAAAAAAGAAAACAAAAAAAAAGAAGTCGCTAGTCTATTACCTTCTTGAAGACCAGGATGTATCACCTGCTTGTGCCGCAAAGTCTTCAAATCTTCTATCAATTCCTTTTCCAACTGGGAAATTCTTGCTCTGTAACCTACACCCAAAATAAATAGTAATAAAATAAGCTACTGTACACTACAGACAAATGAATGTTGCATGTTTCATTGCTGGAGCCCAAACCACAAATACAACTCTTTTTATACTATTTTATAATACCTGAGTCATTTGTGGTTGATGCCTGGAGACTAGAAGATTCTTCTGTTGTCCCATCAACTGCATGAATGTCTAGAGCTTCCTATACATCAAAAAAAAAAAAAAATAGTAGTTCATATTGCTTCTGAAAACTTAAATGTAAAACAGGATTAAAAAAAACTTAAAGACCAGAAGGAAAATATCTCCATGCCTACAGTTACGCTAACATTGGCAGAACAGGAGCAATTTTTTCATACTTTTTGATATTTTCTAAGTGTTCTACATTAATATTACTTTAATAATCAGAAGGGGAAAAGGGGGAAGTAAAAAAATGTGAATACGATGTCATACTGAGCTAACTGACCTCAAAGTATACGCCAATTTGCATGTTCACTTCTCAGAGCCTATATTCAGATAGCTTACTCAGCTAACAAGAAGGGAGGAAAAGAACAGGTAGAAGGGATTAAATATCCAACATCTGTGTAGTCAATTAAGAAAGACAGCCTGGCACAGTGGCTCACGCCTATAATCCCAGCACTTTGGGAGGCCGAGGCAGGTGGATCACAAGGTCAGGAGATTGAGACCATCCTGGCCACATGGTGAAACCCTGTCTCTACTAAAATAAAAAAAATAGCTGGGCATGGTGATGCACACCTGTAGTCCCAGCTACTCGGGAGGCTGAGGCAGGGGAACTGCTTGAACCCGGGAAACAGAGGTTGCAGTGAGCCAAGATTGTGCCACTGCACTCCAGCTGGTGACAGAGCAAGATTCCGTCTCAAAAAAAAAAAAAAAAAGAGGCCAGGGGCAGTGGCTCACGCTTGTAATTCCAGCACTTTGGGAGGCTGAGGCAGGAGGATCACGAGGCCAGGAGATCGAGACCATCCTGGCTAATATGGTGAAACCCCGTCTCTACTAAAAATACAAAAAAAATTAGCCGGGCATGGTGGCGAGCACCTGTAGTCCCAGCTACTCGGGAGTCTGAGGCAGGGGAATGGCAAGAACACAGGAGGCGGAGTTTGCAGTGAGCCAAGATTGCGCTACTGCACTCCAGCATGAGCCACAGACCGAGACTCCATCTCAAAAAATAAATAAAAAAAGACTGGGCTTCTATAAAAATTTCCAAGAAAAATAATCTGGTTGAAGAGTCAGAGTGGAATAAACAGAGACTTCAATGTGTAAGACAGGAGAGTTAAGATGACTGTTAATATTTGGTTCTCCAATGGTACTCTACTACTACTACTGAAAACCAGGGCCAGGAGCGGTGGCTCATGCATGTAATCCCAGCACTTTGGGAGGCTGAAGCAGGCAGACTGCTGGAGGCCAGAAGTTAGAAATTAGCTGGCCAACATTGCAAAACCCCGTCTCTACCAAAATTACAAAAATTAGCTGGGTGTGGTGGCACACGCCTGTAATCCCAGCTACTCGTGAGGCTGGGGCACGAGAATGGCTTGAACTCGGGAGACGGAGATTGCAGTGAGCTGAGATCGTGCCACTGAACTCCAGCCTGGGCAACAGAGCAAGACTCTGTCTCAAAAAAAAAAAAAAAAGAAAAGAAAAATAAAAGAAAACCAGGAGGTAAAAGAAATGGAGCGTCACCAAAGAGTTAGTAAATATTTCATGTATTTTTAGTCCTTTCCAAAATCCATAATGATGAAAATTCCAGTAAGACCCGAAGACTTTTTTTAAACACAGCTATGCAAAAATCGTAAACTGAAATCTAAGCAAGACATACTTTTTTAAGTCTATTCAAATGAAGTATCTTAAGTTATTCCTATTAACTAAACCAAACATTTTGGAGACACTTCCCTCCCAACTCCACCCCCCATACACCCTCACAAATAGATATCACAAAACTAGATTGTAAATCGAGTTACTTACAAGCCAGTATACAATTCAAGTATGACTAATTAGCCTTAAAGAATCCTGAAAATTACAATCTTACCTTTGATTCAAAGGAAACAAAGAGAACACCATCCACATCTTCCAGATCAGGCTTCACATCTGGAAAGGTACTCCCAGGGCTTACAGGTGTATTCTTTGTAGAAATTAAAGACTTTCCTGTGTTCTTAGGTGGTCGTCCTGCCTTACAGAGTTTCAATTTTCGTGGCCTTCCTCTTTTTCCAGGGACATTTGGAGAGGCATTCTGATTAGCATTCACTACCTTTGCGGCTGTTGCAATCTTAAGCATAGTTGTTCTCTTTCTGCCCAAGTCCTCTTTTCCTGAAAGTGAGTCTCCAACTGAATCCTTTGAATCGTCGAGTATTCTTTCTGTGCTAATGCTGTCAGATATATCAGGATATTTCCACTGAGGCTCTTTCAGTAAGGGATATTTTTGTACCACTCTGAGATCTGGTGAATGTTTTCTAAGACCATTTTCTGATTCCTTGCCTAAGCAGAAGGCAGTCTCATTGGAATTTTCAATGTATGTAGGCAAATATTCCAATTCTGCCAACATAGAAGATTTATCCTTTCGAGATGTGGAAAGCATGTTATCGGGGAGTTCAGAAATCTTAACTGTGCTTCTGGTGACAGCACAGGGCTCCAGATAGACTACTGGCATCTTTCCAGTGTCTAATTTGAACATTTTAGCTTTAGCAACACCTGATGGGCTGCTTGGAAGCCATTTAGAAGATAGATGGTCAGCTTCTGGGTTGTCAACTTTATTGTGCCTCTTTAGCTGTTTCTCTAGTATAGGATCATCATCACTGTTTGAGTATACATCCGTCTCTTCATCTGTCTCTTCCTGTTTCACAGTGACCCCTTCTGGGCACTCACCAAGTTCGTAGTCATAATCATCTAGAGGTTCCTCTTTAATAACAACATTGAAGCTTCCGTTCTGGTCTAACGGTGAGGCTACACGGGAGTCATCTTCAAAACTGCTGGCAATAAGACTGGAGAGAGAGAGGAGAAAGGGATTTTAAAAGTACAAAATGATCCATTAACAAGACTTGAAGAGAAAAAAAAAAAAAGATGTTAGGAATCCAAGTAACACATCAGATTTCCTGAGCCATTCCTCAAAAACACTCAAAAACTCTAAAAATCCACACGGTGATTAACAACCCTGTAAAGCGAACACACATCCATCACAACTAAGAATTGCAACACAAACCGGAAAGGGCCATTAAACTGCCAGCTGATATTTTCCTGTATGTTTTGAGATTAAATTCACATAACATAAAACATAATATTGCAGCAATTTTAGAGTATACAATTCATTGGTTTTTAGTATAGTCATGATGTTGCCAGATGATTTTCCAACTTTAAAATTGAAAAACTCACTTTCAATATAAAGAATTCACCACTAATTCTTCCAAAATAAAAGATAGGGAGTTAAAGGCAAATACGTATGACCCAGATATATTGTGTATAATTCATCCAAAAACAACATAAACATCTAGTTTCCCCCTCCTCCCAATCATCCATT
Organism: Homo sapiens; assembly: GCF_000001405.40. NCBI lineage: Eukaryota > Metazoa > Chordata > Mammalia > Primates > Hominidae > Homo > Homo sapiens. The sequence goes on along the minus strand of NC_000015.10, from coordinate 41,695,541 downwards.
GAAAGCCTAAGAACTGTACCAATGTATCTTGAGAATATGGTAGAAATAAAAAATTGGGCAGGAGCGATGGCTCACGCCTGTAATCCCACTACTTTGGGAGGCTGAGGCAGGCGGATCACAAGGTCAAGAGATTGAGACCATTCTGGCCAACATGGTGAAACCCCATCTCTACTAAAAATACAAAAATTAGCTCAGCGTGGTAGCACATGCCAGTAGTCCCAGCTACTCAAGAGGCTGAGGCAGAATAATCGCTTGAACCCGGGAGGCGGAGGTTGCAGAGAGCCGAGATTGTGCCACTGCCTCCAGCCTGGCGACAGAGCAAGACCCTGTGTCAAAAAAGAAAAAAAAAAAAAAGATTCCACATAAAGTAATGACGAATTAAAATTCTCAGACTCAGAAATTCTAAAACTGCACCTCTCATTTCCCCCCACCTCAAAATATCCATACAAGTCAACACGTTAGCAGCACAGGAAAGCAGGATGAAAACTGCTTTGAGAAAAACTATACACACCACTATATATATTCACTAACAAATAACATGTAACAAAGGATTGTGGGCATTTTTTTTTAAATAGTTCAAAGCCTATGACTGAAAACAGCATTTATAGCCAGGCATGGTGGCACACGCCTGTAGTACCAGCTATTCAGAAGACTGAGGTGCCAGGACTGCTTGTGCCCAGGAGTTCGAGGCTGCAGTGAGCTACAATTGCACCACTGAATTAAACCCTGGAGCCGGGCGCAGTGGCTCACGCCTGTAATCCCAGTGCTTTGGGAGGCCGAGGCAGGTGGATCACGAGGTCAGGAGATCAAGACCATCCTGGCTAACACGGTGCTAAAAATACAAAAAATCAGCTGGGCGTGGTGGCGGGCGCCTGTAGTCCCAGCTACTCGGGAGGCTGAGGCAGGAGAATGGTGTGAACCTGGGAGGCGGAGCTTGCAGTGAGCCGAGATCGTGCCACTGCACTCCAGCCTGGGCAACTGAGCAAGACTCCGTCTCAAAAAAAAAAAAGAAAAAAAGCCTGGGCAACAGAGCAGGATGCCTCCTCTAAAATAAATAAACAAAAAATTTAAAATTTCAAAAATAAGAAAACAGCATTTACACAACTAAAATATTTTCTTCTGATCAGTCACTTTTTTTTTCCCTGAGATGGGGTCTTGCTCTGTCACCCAGGCTGGAGTACAGTGGCAACCTCCACCTCCAAGGTTCAAACAATTCTCCTGCCTTGGCCTCCCGAACAGCTGTGATTATAGGCATGCACCAACACGCCCGGCTAATTTTTGTATTTTTAGTAGAGATAGGGTTTTACCATGTTGGCCAGGCTGGTCTCGAACTCCTAACCTCGTGATCCGCCCACCTCAGCCTCCCAAAGTGTTGGGATTACAGGTGTGAGCCACCACGCCCGGCCCAGTCACTTTTTAAAAAGTTAGGTAGGTAGGTTTCCATTAATAGTGTGAAATAGCTCAGAGCAGACTGACCCTCCTCCACTTAGAACTAGAAAAGTTACACTAAACAGTTTTTTCCCCCCAGAATATTTCTTAAAATCTAAGAAATATTTTCTTAGATTTCTTGCAGAAATCACTGCAAGGCAGTGATTTGAGGGGCAAAATCACAAGAAAAGGCAATAAAATTAAATATCCCCAATAATCGAGACACTTTCACATCCATTACTTTTATTACTGAATTTATCTTCCTAAAATATTGAACTATATTGACGTTACTTGCCTGTCCAAAAGCATTTCAAAGGCTTCTGAAACTAAAGAAAAAAGTATAAATATCTGGGATGCTTTTCTAAGCCCAATATAATTTATCCTCAGCCATTTCAGCCTCATCTTAAACAATAACCTGCAGTATACTCCATAGGATCCAATCACACAGAAAATATTACATTAGTGTCTCAGTCCAATAAAATACATTTTCAACACCAAGCCATCATTAATGAAGTACTATTTTTTTCACTACTTGCTAACCCAGTGTCTTCATAAAACTTTATAAAACTTAAAATAGGCACAAGCAACCATTACATGAATGTGTAGTTACTTGTTCCTTGCACAATTTCTACTTAAGATTTTAACCTTACTTGAAAATCCTCCATCATCATTCTCAGTAAACTATCACAAGAACGAAAAACCAAACACCGCATATTCTCACTCATAGGTGGGAATTGAACAATGAGAACGCATGGACACAGAAAGGGGAACATCACACTTTGGGGACTGTTGTGGGGTGGGGGGAGGGGGGAGGGATAGCATTGGGAGATATACCTAATGCTAGATGACGAGTTAGTGGGTGCAGTGCACCAGCATGGCACATGTATACATATGTAACTAACCTGCACATTGTGCACATGTACCCTAAAACTTCAAGTATAATAATAATAAAAAAAAGAAAATCCTCCAATAGAAGCCGGGTGTGGTGGCTCGTGCCTGTAATCCTAACACTTTGGGAGGCCGAGGCAGGCAGACTGCCTGAGCTCAGGAGTTTGAGACCACTCTGGGGGCAACATGGTGAAACCTCATCTGTACTAAAATATTTTTTAAAAAATTGGCTGGGCGCAGTGGCTCACGCCTATAATCCTAGCACTTTGGGAGGCTGATGCAGGTGGACTACCTGAGGTCAGGAGTTCAACATGGTAAAACCCCGTCTCTACTAAAAATACAAAACATTAGCTGGATGCAGTGGCACACACCTGTAATCCCAGCTACTCGGGAGGCTGAGGCTGGAAAATCGCTTGAAACCAGGAGGCAGAGGTTGCAGTGAGCCAAGATCGCACCACTGCACTCCAGCCTGGGTGACAGAGTGAGACTCCGTCTCAAAAAAAGAAAAAGGAAATCCTCCAATGGAAGATTTCCACCTCCAGTTAGAATGTGGAAGATCACAAAATATCATCACTTTTGCCATAACCATGAGAAAACACTAAATTATTTTTCTTACAAGATACTGAAGACCTCTAGACATAAATAAGCCTAAATGAAGTGAATTACAGAAGAAGATCAGCCTTCTCTAGGTGACCGGAGATAGCTACTGCTTTCAACCCTAAGCAGCATTTGCACTGTGTGAAGATACAGTAAGGAGAGAAAAAAGCAACTATAGGCAAAGGATCTTTGCAAAAACACAGAGAAACCAACTTTTAATGCCCGAGCATGGGCAGAATCTCGAGGACCCCAAATAGGAAACTAGTCCTCACTGCTGTCCAATTACCACCCCCTCCAGAGGACTTCTGCAGAACAAACAGCAGTGCCGCAGAAAGGCTGGCCTGGAAATAAGAGAACATGTAGTCTACCAATGCTTAGGTCCTAAGGTCCTGCCAGGGATAGGAGACCAACCACTCCTCCCTTGACACAGCTGAAACGAGAGGTGAGCTGAAATTTACTAAAATAGGAAGCCACTTGAAATCACCTAGACTGAAGGACAGAGAAACAAACAAAACAAAACAAAACAAAAAAGTGTCAGAGATCTCTGGGACAACATAAAATGATCTAACATACTAGTAACTGCCCTGCCAAAAAGACAAGAGAAACAAAGTGAAGAAATACTTGAAGAGAAAATGAACAAAAATCTTCCAAAAGCAAAAGATTTTAACCCACAGATCCAAGAAGCTCAGTAAGCAACAATGGGGACGAATAGAAGGAAAAAAAAAAAGTCATATCTAGGCACATCAAGGTCAGGCTGCTGAAAATGAAAGATGAAGAGAAAAATACTGAAAGCAGCAGAGGGAAAAACAGACATTACACTGGAGGAACAACAAAGAGAACAACAGACTGACTAGTGACTCAATGGAAACTATGTAAGTCAGAAGACAATATACTTTACCGCCAATCATGAAGTGTTGAAAGAAAAACTAATGTTCTATACCTACCAAAAGAAGCCTTTAAAATTGAAGACATTTTCAGACAGCTGAGATCATTCAGATTGCATAAAAATACTCCTCAGCTCTCAAATAAGACAAATATATCAGTTCTTGCCACGTCTACTTACTTGTACTAGAGATTCTATCAGGATGATTAGGCAAGAAAAAGAAATAAAAGGCATCCAGATTGTAGAGGAAAAAGCAAAACTATCTCTATTCACAGGTAAATGATCTTGTATATGGAAAATACTAAAGAATCCACTAAAAAACTATTAGAACTAATAAATCAGTTTAGCAAGATTCCAGGATCCAAGACACACACACACACAAATTGTTTTTCTACAAACTAGCAATGAATGTCAAAAGTGAAATGAGGAAGTAATTCCATTTTACAATAGCATCAACAAGAATAAAATATTTAGGAATAAATTTAACAAAAGAAGTTTAAGACTTATACATGGAAAACTATAAAACACTGTTGAAACAAATTAAAGACCAAAATAAATAGAAAAATATCCCACGTTTATGGACAAAAAATATTTCATATTGGTAAAACAGCAATAATCCCTAAAGTGATCTACAAATTCAATGCAGTATCTACCAAAACTCCATCTGTGATTTTTTTTTTCAGAAAGGGACAAACTGACCCTAAAATTCACAAGAAAATGCAAGGGAGCCACCAAAAAAAAAAAAAAAAAACAAAGCAATCTTGAAAATTAGAAACAAAGTTCTCAGAGGACTCACACTTCCAGGTTTCAGCTTAGTACAAAGCTACAGTAATTAAGACAGTGTGTCTATTAGTTTGGTTTGGTTTTGAGACAAGGTCCCACTGTGTCACCTAGGCTAGAGTGCAATGGTGCAATCATACCTCACTGCAACCTCAAATTCCTGGAAACAAGTGATCCTCCCACTTTAGCCTCTCGAGTAGCTGGGACTACAGACACATACCACCACACCACTCAGCTATTATTTTTATTTTTTTGTAGAGACAGGTTCTCTTTAGTAGAGACAGGGTTTCACCATGTTGACCAGGCTGGTCTCAAACTCCTGGGCTCAAGCTATCCTACTGCCTTGGCCTCCCAAAGTGCTGAGATTTTAAGCATGATCCACCGTGCCCAGTCAACAGTGTGATATTGACATTAAGACTAGATATACAGATCAACTAACAGAATTGAGAGTCCAGAAATAAATGCCCACATTTATGTCAACTGATTCAATTGCCAAGGTGCCAAGACAATTCAAGAGAGGAAAGAATGGTCTTTTCAACACCAAAAAACTGTGTTCACGCAAAGACTTGTATACAAATGTTCACAGCAACATTATTCGTAACAGCCAAAAACTAAAAACCTTACTGTCCAACTGATGAATAAAAAAAATGTGGTAATGTCCACACAATATTATTTGACAATAAAAAGAAACGAAGTACAGATACATGCTACACATGGATGAACCTTAAAAACATCAAGCTAAGTAAAACAAGCCAGGCACAAAAGACCACATATTAAATGATTCCATTTATATAAAATATCCAAAATAGGCAAATCTACAGAGACAGAGACAGGTGGTTGTGTTGGATTGGGTGGAGCTGGGGAGTGGTTGAGGGAAAATGGGAAGTTACTTTTAATGGGTTTTCTTTCTGGGGTGCTGGTAATGTCCTAAAACTGACTGCAGCACTGAAGTAACGGTTGTGCAATCCTGTGAATATATTAAAAACCATTGAACTCTACACTTTCAGTTGGTAGGTGAATTTTATGTAGATTTTATTGTATGTGAATTATATCTCAATTTTTAAAGTTTTTAAAAAATAACTATTAAAGGAAGTTCTTCAGACTGTTAGAAAATGAAACAATATGGGCCAGGTGTGGTGGCTGAGGCTGAGGTGGACAGATCACTTGAGGCCAGGAGTTCAAGACCAGCCTGGCCTACATGGCAAAACCCTGTCTCTACTAAAAATACAAAAATTAGTCGGGTGTGGTGGTGCATACCTGTAGTCCCAGCTACTCAGGAGGCTAAAGCAGGAAAATCACCTGAACCTGGTAGGCAGAGGTTGCAGTGAGCTGAGATCACATCACTGCACTCCAGCCTGGGTGACAGAGTGAGACTCTATCTCAAAAAAAAGAAAAAAAAAAAAGAAAAAGAAAATGAACCAAAATAAACACAGATCCAGAAACAGATGAAAACAAATAAATAAATACGTAAATATAAAAGACTTTTCTTATATTATTTAAATGACTACTGACTTTTTTTATTTTTAAGGAGAGAAGGAGAGAGGGAAAGAGGAGAAAGAGAGGGAGAGAGAAAGAAAAGGAGAGAAGGAGAAAGGGAGAAAGGAAGGGAGGAAGGAGGAGGGAGAAGAGAGGGAGAGAGGTAGGGAGAGAAAGGAAGAGGGAGAGAGGGTAAGGGAAGGCAAGAGAGGATGAGAGCGAGCCACAGAGAGAGGGAGAGGGTACACACCAACTACTGACTGTTTAAAGCAAATAAAGTAACAAGGTTTAGAGGCTTATATCACATAGAAGGACATCAAATATAAGTGCATTAGCAGTTCATTATTCAAATTATATTCAATAAATTAAGGATGCACATTGTAATCCATATAACACTGCTATATACTGAATTGTGTCCCCCACCAAATTTGTATGTGGAAGCCCAAACAGGGCTTTAGGAGAAAATTAGGGTTAAAAGAGGTTTTAAGGGTAGGACTCTAATCCAACAGGATGGTGGGCTTATAAGAAGAGGAAGAGAGACATCCCCCGCTCCCCCCATGTGTGGACATAATAAGAAAGCAGCTATATATGTATACAAGCCAAGATGAGACATGAGAAACCAAACCCTGCCAGAACTTTGATCTTGGACTTTCTAGCCTCCAGAACTGTGAAAAAAATAAAACTTCTGTTGCTTAAGCCAGCCAATCTACGATATTTTGTTATGGCAGCCTGAGTAGACAAATGCAACCACTAAAAAAATTACAAAGAGGTAATTTTTATATAAATGGAATTTGAAAAGCTCAATCCACACAAAAACAGGGAAAGATAAACAGATAAGAGAAGCAGGAAATAGCAAGATGACATGGTTAAAACTCAGCTACATAAGTAATGGCATTAAATGTAAATGAACAAAACAGTCCAATTAAAAGCCAAAGGTTAAAACAGTGGATAAAGAAACAAGTCCAACTATCAGCTATTTAAAAGAGTCGCAATGTAAATTCAAGGAAGAAGAATTAAAGTACAAGGAGGGAAAAAGATAAACCATGCAAAAACTTATTAGAAGGAAACCAATATGGCTCAATAACATCAAACAAAGTAGACTTTAAAATAAGGAGTTTTAGGCTGGGCACGGTGGCTCATGTCTATAATCTCAGCACTCTGGTAGGCAGGTGGATCACCTGAGCTCAGGAGTTCAAGACCAGCCTGGGCAACACAGTGAAACCCCATCTCTACTAAAATACAAAAAATTAGGTTGGCATGGCAGTGTGTGCCAGTAATCACAGCTACTTGGGAAGCTGAGGCAGGAGAATCGCTTGAACCCGGGAGGCAGATGTTGCAGTGAGCCAACATCGCACCACTGCACTCCAGCCTCAGTGACAGAGCGAGGTTCCATCTCAAAATAAAATAGTTTTATCAGAGATAAAGAGGCACATAATTAAAATTTTGAGTTCAATTAACCAAGAAAACATAAACAACCCTAGAAGTATATGTACCTAATCATATATTAGCTTCAAAGTATTTGAAGCAAAAATCTATAGTACCAAAAAGAGAAACAGACAAATCCACAAATACGGTGGGAGATTTTAACCCATCTTTCTCAGTAACTGACATTAAAAAAATCAGGACAGAAGAACTGAATAACACTATCAATCAAACTTACTTGATAAGCCTTTATAGAATATTATATCCAACAACTGTACAATACACACATCCTTTTCAAGTATACATGAAGTATCAATCAGAAACAGATGACACCCTAGACAATAAAGCAAACCCTTGATAATTTCCAAAGGTTTTAAGCCATATGTTCTTTGACAACAACGGAATCAAACTACAAATCAGTAACAAACTTATCAACATACCAAATGTGTAGAATGTACCTAAAGTAGTGCTCAAGAGTCAAACGAATAGTTTAAAATACATACAAATGAAAAAGTCTAAAATCAATTATCTAAGACAGGAGTTGATCATTTTTTTCTGTAAAGGGCTAAACAGTAAAAATTTTAGGCTTTGCATTCCATACAGTCTCTACTGCAACTACTCAAGCTACAGACAATACATAAACAAAATAAAATAAATACAAATACAAAATACAAATACAAAAGACAAGCATGACTGTCTTCCAAAAAACAGGACACTGAAATTTGAACTTTAATTTTCACATCACAAATAACTATTTTTTTTCCCCAATCACTGAAAACTGTTAAAAATCATTCTTAGCTTACAAGCCAAGTAAAAACCAACGGTAGGCACATATGATCCATGGGTCTTAGTCCACCAAACCCTAATCTAAGGCAAATTAAACCAAAAACAAGTAGAACAAAGGAGTTAATGATGAGAGAAAAATCAATGAAATAGAAAAAAACAAAGAACTTGAAGTCATGATTTGAATTCTGCCAACAAGAAAACTCTGTGGCTTCACTGATAAATTCTATCAAATACATAATGAAAAAAAAAACAGCAATCTTGCACAAACTCAGCACATACAGAAAACAGAACACTTTGCAACGTGTTTTATGAGGTAACCATAACCCTACTGCTAACACATCAGAAATAAAACTATAAACAAATATCCCACATGAATTTGGTGCAAAAATCCTCAATAAAATATTAGCAAATTGAAACCAGTAATATTAAAAAGGATGATATCATCATGGCCAGGTAATGTTTAGCCCAAGAATGTAAGATCACCCCTCCCCTCTAAATCAATGTTAATTCACCATATTAACAAAATAAAGGAGAAAAAACATATGGTATTTCAATGGATTTAGAAAAATCATTTGATGAAATTCAACACTCATTCTTAACAATATTCAGGAAAATGGGTAACAGTAGGAAAGTATTTCAACATGATAAAGAGCACTACACAAAAACTACACCCAACATGCTATAAAAAATACAGAATGAGTTTCTCTAAGATCAGGAGACATGAATGACCACTCAAAAAAAAAATTTTTTTTTTAAGACAGCATCTCACTCTGTTGCCCATGCAGTGGTACAACCATGGCTCACTGCAACCTCAACCTCCCAGGCTCAACTCAAGCAATCCTCCCACCTCAGCCTCTCAAGTAGCTGGGCCTACAGGTGTGTGCCACCATGCCCAGCTAATTATTTTTTTAAGTTTTTATAGAGATGGGGGTGAGCTGGGTGGGTGTCACTATGTTTCCAGGGCTGCTTTCAAGCTCCTGGGCTCAAGTGATCCTCCTACCTCGGCCTCCCAAAGTGCTGGAATTAAAGGCGTGAGCCACCACACCCTGCCTCAAAATTTATTTTCAACACAGTACTGGGAGTCCAAGCAATGCAATAAAGCAAGAGAGAGAACAGGCATAAAGATTGGAAAGAAGATGTAAAACTAAATTTGTTCACAGGTAACACTGTACATGTAGAAAATTTCTAAAGGACTCTATAAATTAGTAAAACTCAGCTGGATTTCTATATACTATCAAAAAATTGGGAAATTATTATTATTATTTTTTTTTTTTTTTGAGACAGAGTCTCACTCTGTCACCCAGGCTGGAGTGCAGTGGCACGATCTCGGCTCCCTGCAAGCTCCGCCTCCCGGGTACACGCCATTCTCCTGCCTCAGCCTCCTGAGTAGCTGGGACTACAGGTGCCCGCAACCACACCCAGCTAATTTCTTTTTGTATTTTTAGTAGAGACGGGGTTTCACCGTGTTAGCCAGGATGGTCTCCATCTCCTGACCTCATGATCCTCCTGATCCTCCCGCCTCGGCCTCCCAAAGTGCTGGAATTACAAGCATGAGCCACCACGTCCAGCCAAAACTGGAAAATTATTTTAAATGCCAATTACAAGGATCATTTTTTAAAGCACCTAGGAATAAGTTTAATTAAAGACTGAAAAGAATGAATTATGGTTGAGATAAACTAAACAAGATCTAAATAAACAGAGATATATACCTTGTTTAACAGAATATTCAATGATGTCAAGATATCAAGTCTTTTCAACTGGATCTATTATTCAAGGCAATTCCAGCGGGTTTTTTCACAGAAACTGAAAAGCTGACTCAAAATTTATGTGGAAATACAAAGAACCCAGGACAACCAAAATAATGGGGGGTTCAAAGGCTTACCTTACCAGATTCTAAGACTTATTATAAATCTACTACCATTAAGACAGCACGGTATTGCCCAAAATAATAGAAAACATAGACAAATAAATCAATGAAACAGAATTTAGTATAAAATAAACCTACCTGTGCGCATATAGTCAGCTGATTTTCCTAAGCAACAATGCAACTTAATGGAGAAAATTATTTTCAATAAGTGATGCTAGAGCACCTAGCCATCTGCATGGAAAAATACGAACCCTGACCCTTCACAGCATGTACAAAAATTATTAATAATTCAAGACAGATCACAGAATTAAATGTGAAAACCAAAACAACTTCCCCCTTTCAAACATTTCACTTAACTGGTGAAAACAGCTCTCTCTTTATCAATTTTTTTAAAACTTTACTGTATAAGTTACATAATATAAAAGCCACCCACATTTTAAGTGTTAACTCAATAATTTTTAATAAATGTATAGTTATTAGCCATTACCAAAATCCAGTTTCCCTTTATCTGTTTTTAAAGATTAAGCAAGCAAAAACTACAGAAAAGCCACAAGCCAATCAATTTCCATAATCAAGCCCACTCTTTTCCCTTTCCCAGTTATCTCAGTTCTTATGTATATCACATATAAATGACATTCTATATCAAGTAATTTAAGATTAATGCTTAAATAACTTGCTATTTTTCTCTCGATATCTTCACATTTCAAGACATAACTCTCATAATGTAGAAAAAAATTTTTTATCTTCTTTTCATTTAGCACACAACATGCATTTGTTCGCAGTAGCTGGGAAACCTCTGAGGCTAGATCTGGGCTGCTACTGCAATAACTGCTTTCACATCTTCCTGAGAAATTGAACTTGGTAAGTTATAAACACTCTCAGAAAGGATTTCTTCTATTTTCCAACAAAAACTTTATACATGATGAATGAAATCTTGCCTTGGGGAAAAAATTTCACAAACAGTTAAGTTTCATTCTTCTGAGAAGTCTCTTCTATCCAAATAAATTAGGCAAAAGAATACCTAGGCAAAATCAATGAATTACAAACAACAGTTAATTAAAAGGATTTTTTTTGTTGGCATTATGTAATCAATGCAACAAATAACACTACATATTAATGTGTGACGAACACCAGCCACTCTAAGACACATTAAGAAAGTTTTAAATACTCATGATAAAACTCATTCACTTAACATTTGCTGAGTGCCCAGTAATGCCAGACATTTTGTTAGGCACAGAGATTAACAAAGTAAATAAAGCACTGTCTCTACATTCAAGGAATTTACAGGCCAGTGCAGGAGACAGACAAGTAGACAATATGATGCAATTTAACAGATGCTATAATAAACATACATATAGGCAATAAGGGTGCACACAGGAAGAACCCATATTATAACGCCTTCCGTAAAACTGGTGCTTAGCATGCCGTATGTAACTAACCTGCACATCCTGCACATGTATCCAGGAACTTAAAATAAAATAAAAATAATTTTTTTTAAAAAAAGGAAAGGGAAAAAAAACAAAACTGGTGCTTAGGCCATGCACGGTGGGTCACGCCTGTAATCCCAGCAGTTTGTGAGGTCAAGACGGGCAGATTGCTTGAGCTCAGGAGTTCAAGACCAGCCTGGGCAACATGGCGAAACCCCATCTCTACAAAAATTACAAAAAATAATTAGCCAAGTGTTCATGCCTGTAGTCCCAACTACCTACCTATGGGGCTGATGTGGGATGATCACTTGACCCCAGGAGGTCAAGGCTGCAGTGAGCCAAGATCGCGCCACTGCACTCCAGCCTGGGTGACAAAGTGAGACCCTATCTCCAAAAAAAAAAAAAAAAAAATTGGGGATTCATTAATAGAACAAAGAACTAAGAAATCCACTGGAAAAGAGAAATGTAGAGTACAGAAGAAAATAAAAGAGCTCTTGGCAGGCTGAGGCACGAGGACTACTTGAGCCCAGGAGGCAGGGACCAACCTGGGAAACACAGTGAGACCTTGTATCTACAAAAAATAAAAATAAAAAATTAGCCAGGTGTGGTGGTGCACACCTGTAGTCAGTCCCAACTACTCAGGAGGCTGAGGTGAGAGGATCACTTGAGGAGACCAAGAGACCAAGCTTGCAGTGAGCCATGGATTGTGTCCCAGCACTCCAGCCTGGGTAACAAAGCAAAACCCTGTCTCAATTTAAAAAAATAAAGCACAGTACAAAGATGAGAACCACCACACCAAGGTTTATAACTGAAATTTCATAATATGAGGGATCAATAAAAGGTTCTGAAAGCAGAAGGGGGCAAGGTTACATTCAAATCACCAGAGCAAAACATGCCATCAAACTTCTCAACAGGAAACCGGGAGGCAACAACACATTTTCAAAGAACTCGTTACAGAAACAATTTTATAAAGTTTGAGAAGCAGAATAAAGCCAATTCCCAACACGTAAGAAGAAATTGAGGGGTGAAGAGAGATGAGGCTGGGAACTCTTTTCATCGTAAGTAATTTTACTTAAACATCTTAAAATTCTATGTTCTACAGATACTTTCTAAAGAAACTACTGAAAAATGAACTTCACAAAACAACAAAAACAACACAAACCAGTAAAGACAGCTTAAGATACAGGACACAAAAGAACGTACATGAGGCCGGGTGCAGTGGCTCACACTTGTAATCCCAGCACTTTGGGAGGCTGAGGCAGGAGGATCACTTGAGGTCAGGAGCTCAAGACCAGCCTGGCCAAAATGGTGAAACCCCATCTCTACCAAAACCACAAAAATTAGCCGGGCGTGGAAGCATGAGCCTGTAGTCCCAGCTACTTGGGAGGCTGAGGCAGGAGAATCCCTTGAACCCAGGTGGCAGAGGTTGCAGTGAGCCAAGATCACACCACTGCACTCCAGCCTGGGTGACAGAGCGAGATTCCATCTCAAAAAAATAAATAAATAAATAAAAAGAACCTATATGAAAATAGCAAATGTAAAGTTAGCAGGATGATAGCAAAGGAAAATCCCAAGATGGCAGCTTGGTAGGGGCCTAGAGTACAACCAGATCAGATTGGCAAAGGAGAATAAAGAGCTCCCGAAGAAGTATGCAGAGGAGGTACACACAAAAATTTACTTTCAATAGATGAATATGTGTATGCACATATATGTACGTGTGTGTGTATGTGTATGAATGAACCAAAAGATTTTATTAAATAATGTAGGTAGAAGGGGGGTGCAGTGGCTCACACCTATAATCCCAACACTTTGGGTGGCTGAGGCAGGCAGATCACCTGAGGTCAGGAGTTCGAGACCAGCCTAACCAACATGGAGAAACCTCATCTCTACTAAAAATACAAAATTAGCCGGGCATGGTGGCACATGCCTGTAATCCCAGCTACTCCGGAGGCTGAGGCAAGAGAATCGCTTGAACCTGGGAGGCAGCGGTTGCAGTAAGCCGAGATCGCACCATTGCACTCCAGCCTGGGCAATAAGAGCAAAACTCCATCTCGGAAAAACAAAAAAACAAATGTGGGTAGAATAAGCACCAGTACATATAAACTACAAATATATTTTTTAAAAAAGCAATAATTAACTACTACAAAACAAAGTTATAAAAGAAAATTAACTCATAGCATGACATTTGGCTCAGCAGTATAGAATATTTATCTCATAACATAAAAAAATGGATTATTTGGCCAAGCATGGTGCCTCACACCTGTAATCCCAGCACTTTGGGAGGCCAAGGCAGGAAGATCACTTCAGCACAGGAGTTCAAGACCAGCCTGGGAAACATGGTGAAATCCTATCTCTACAAAAATAAAAAAATTAACCAAGCGAGGAGGCACACACTTATAGTCTCAGCTACTCGGGAGGCTGAGGTGGGAGGATCACTTGAGCCTGGAAGGTTGAGGCTGCAGTGAACTGTGATCACCCACTACACTCCAGCCTGGGCAACCAAGTGAGACTCCGTCTCAAAAAGAAAGAAAAATTAGTTGACCAAAAATTATGATAATGACACTAACAGAATTAAAAAAAAAAAAAAACAGAGTATACTACAAGGATTTAAAAACAGTAACAACTAAACGGCCCATATATTGTACTAGAAAATAATTTTAAATGGATTACATGTAAAATTGATAATTATTTGGCATTATGCATATGACCTAGACAGAGGCAAATACCACAAGAAATAGCTAAAATGGAAAAACTAATTTCCTCTATAAAGAAAACTAGGGGGTGAAAAATGGTAAAGCCAAGTCACTACTATTTTTCATCATAAGTGGTTTTATTTAATCTTTTTACATTATGTATTATGTATTTGCTGTATAATGAGCTTGTCTGGTCTTTGTCCAGGGTTCCTGGTACAAAGCTTCTAAAATCTTTGGTATTTCCAGAGTGACAGAAGGGACTGTCATTCATGAACCCACTGGCTCACACCTGAGTTTAAGCTAATGACATGACCTGTAGTAGACCCCCTAAATAGATCCAGGATGGCACTGGTCTCCAAAAACAACAACACTGTGATTAAAGAACTGGGACTCTGAGCCAGCTCAACCTCTAGGGTGGGGAAAAGAACTGAAGATTAAGTTCAATCACAGATTTTGTCAATTACCCCTATGTAATGAACCCCCAAAATTTTGAATACCAAAGCTTAATAAAGCTTCCTGGCTGGTGAACACACTGATGTCCCAGAAGGGTGATGTACCCTATATGTTTCCATGGGGAGAGGGCATGGAAGCTCTGCATGTGAGACCCTCCCAGACCTTGTTCTTTACGTCTCATTAGGCTGGTCCTAACTTGTATTCTTTACAGCAAAATTCTAATTCTAAATACAGTGTTTTCCTGAGTTCTATGAGTCTAGTGAATTAGTGAACCTGAGAGAGATTGTGAGAATCTCAGGATTTGTAGCCAACTGGTGAAAAGTACAGGTGGCCTAGGATCTCCAGTTGTGGTTAATGTCTCAACTAGGTGCAGTCTTGTTGGGGACCATGCATTTCAACCTATGGAGACCAACTATGGGTTCTTATTCAATGCATCAGGGGGGGTTAAAACAGAATAGTACTATTTTTACTTAATTTTTTAAATTGTAAGGCAACTGTGTACCTCTGAAAAGTTAAGTAGATTAGTAACATTATTGAATTTCCTTTTAAAAATTATAATTCTGACAAGGGCAAAACTAGAAGAAAGAATGCTGCAACAACCTGAGCAATATACTCAAGAGACAGAGTAAGAAATGCATCAAAGTAAAGAACCAACAATGACTAGTTAGAAAAACGCCTTACCACAGAGGTGGAATACAGTAGGACCATGGTCAGGCAGTTACCATCATAAAGCTATACCAATTAAAACAATGTGATTTGGGCCTTACGTGTAGACAAACTGATCAAGGGAAGAAAACAGTGTCCAAGAATATACACACACGTACACAATCATCTGAGTAACCCCAACGGTCAATAAATAATACAAAAAGGTGTTCAACTTTGCTAATCACTAGAAAAAGACAAACTACAACCATAATGCTCCCACTTTTGCCACTATTTGCCACCTACTACTGAAAGTCCTATTTAGAGCAATTAGACAAGAAAAAGAAAAAAAAACATATTCAAATTGTCAAGGAGTTTGTAAAGATATCTCTTTTAATAGATGGTGCAATCTTATATAGAGAAACTTTCAAAAACCCACATATACACACAAAAAAAACGCACTCAGTCCCCCCCACAACACAACACACACACACAAGCCACTCACTTAATAAACAATTCAGCAAAGTTGAAGGATACAAACTCAACACACAAAAATCAATTGTATTTCTACACAATGAACAATATGCAATACAAAACAGCAATGGGCAATATAAAAAGAAAAGGAAATCACTCAATATATAATAGCATCAAAAAGAATAAAATACTTAGGAATAGATTTAACTAAGAAAGCAAAACACTTTTACATTGAAAACCATAAAAGCATTATTGAAAAAAATTAAAATGGAAAGATATCCCATGTTCATGAATAGGAAGACAACCCAAAGTGTTGAACGAATTCAACAAAATCCTTATCAAAATCCCAACGGGATTTTTCAGAAGTAGAAAATGAAACCTCGGCCCAGCGCGGTGGCTCATGCCTATAATCCCTGTAATCCCAGCACTTTGGGAGGCCAAGGCGGGCGGATCACAAGGTCAGGGGTTTAAGACCAGCCTGGCCAATATGGTGAAACCCCATCTCCACTAAAAATACAAAAAATTAGCCGGGCACAGTGGTGCGCACCTGTAGTCCCAGCTACTCAGGAGGCTGACACAGGAGAATTGCTTAAACACAGGAGGCGGAGGTTGCAGCGAGCCGAGATCACACCACTGCATTCCAGCCTGGGAAACAGAGCAAGACTCAGTCTCAAAAAAGAAAAAGAAAAGAAAATGGAATCTCAAGGGGCTTTAAATAGCAAAAACAATTTTGAAAAATAAGAACAAAGTTGGTGGTCTCACACTGCCCAATTTGAAAATGTCTAGTAATCAAAATAATGTGACACTGGCATAAAGATAAACATAAACATATAGGCGAACAGAATACAGAGAGCTGAGAAATCAATCTGCACATATGTGGGCAATTGATTTTCAACAGGTGCAAAGACCATTCAATGGGAAAAGGACAGTCTTTTCATTTTGTGGTTTTTTTTTTTTTTGAGATGGAGTCTTGCTCTGCTGCCCAGGCTGGAGGACAGTGGTGCAATCTCAGCTCACTGCAACCTCCGCCTCCCGGGTTCAAGCGATTCTCCTGCCTCAGCCTCCTGAGTAGCTGGGACTACAGGTGTGCGCCACCATGCCCGGATAATTTTTTTTGTATTTTTAGTAGAGACAGGGTTTCACTATGTTGGCCACACTGGTCCCCAACTTCTGACCTCGTGATCCGCCCGCCTCAGCCTCCCAAAGTGCTGGGATTACAGGCATGAGCCACAGCACCCGGCCAGGACAGTCTTTTCAATGAATGGTGACGGGAAACTGGATACACACATGCAAAAGAATGAAGCTGAAGCCTTACCTTACACCACTAATAAAAACACTCCGGCGTGGTGGCTCATGCCTGTAATCCCAACACTTTGGGAGGCTGAGGCGGGCAGATCACTTGAGGTCAGGAGTTCGACACCAGCCTAGCCAACACAGCCAAACCTCATCTCTACTAAAAATACAAAAATTAGCTGGGCATGGTGGCCAGCGCCTGTAATCCCAGCTACTCAGGAGGCTGAGGCAGGAGAATCGCTTGAACCTGGGAGGCACAGGTTGCAGTGAGTCGAGATCACACCACTGCACTCCAGCCTGGGTGACAGAGCAAGACTCTGTCTCAAAAAAAAAAAAAAAAAATTCAAAATTGATTGCAGACCTAAACTTAAGAGGTAAAACTATAAAACTCTTAGTAAGAAACATAAGGGAAACTCTTTCTAATGTTAGATTTGGCAATGGTTTCTTAAGCATAACATCAAAAGCACAGGTAAGAGAATAAAGAATAGGAAAATTGTACTTCATTAAAATTAAAAACTTGTGCATCAAAACACACTATATAAGAATGAAAAGACAACCCACAGAATGAGAGAAAAGATTTGCAAATCATTTATCTAATGGATTAATATCCAAAATATATAAAGAACTCCTGCATCTCAATAACAAAATAACGACTCAATTTTTAAATGGGCAAAGCACTTGAATAAACATTTCTCCTTATACAAATGGTAAATAAATGTGAAAAAATGCCTATCATAACATGTTAATCATTAGGGAAATGCAAATTAAAAACAACGAGCTATCCCTTCATACCCATTAAGATGGCTATTATTAAAAACAGTTAAGTGCTGGCCAGGATAAGCAGAAATTAGAACACTTGTGCACTGTTGATGGGAATATAGAGTGGTTCAGTCACTTTGGAAAACAGTATTGCGGTTCCTCAAAAAATTAAAAATAGAATTACCATATGATCCAGCAATTCTACTTCTAGGTATATACCCGAAAGAATTCATTGGCCAGGTGCAGTGGCTCACTCCTGTAATCCAGCACTTGAGAGGCTGAGGTGGCTGGATCACCTGAGGTCAGGAGTTCGAAACCAGCCTGGCCAACATGGCGAAACCCCACCTCTAATAAAAATACAAAAATTAGCTGGGTGCGGTGGCACGTGCCTGTAATCGCAGCTACTCTGGAGGCTAGGGTGGGAGGATCGCTTGGACACAGGAGGCAGAGGTTGCTGTGAGCCAAGATCACACCTCTGCAATCCTGCCTGGGGGCGACAGAGCGAGACTCAATCTCCAAAAAAAAAGAATTCGTAACTCCATTATTCACAATAGAAAAAAGGTAGAAGCTATCCAAGTGTCCACCAACAGATAAATGAGATAAGGCCAAAGAGATCAGGCAAGTGGCCTTTAAGTGCAATGGAAAGCCACTGAAGAATTTTAAGAGGGAACATAATCCCCGTAAGTCATATTTTTCAAAGATCCTTCTGTCTACCAAATAGAGCATGGGATTTTGGGGGGGAAAGCAGCTGGGAAACCAGGTAGATGTTATGCAGTGGGGATGGTATTTTGGACAATAAAGATGATACAAAAATCAGCAGGCTCATGTACTATGGGTAGGGATATAAATGGTTATAACCTTTTAGAATATAATTTAGCAATTAATTAAAATTTAAAATCTTGATCTAGGCAATTCCATTCCTAAGAATTAATCACTGTATTTGCAAAAGTATATAAAAAATGTGTGTAAGAAATTTTACTGAAGCATTATTTGTAGTGGCTAAAAAAACTAAAACAATTTCAAGGTCCATCAACACAGAACTGATTAAATACATCTTATAGATACTAATACACCCCTTAAAAATGCCTGCCATAGAATGTACAATGTTGAGAAAAAAAACCAGGATTCTAGATTGTGGGAACAGTATTTTTGTAAAACTGTTCATATTTGTCTAATATTGACATTTGTGAATTAATTCTTGTTTTAAATATATCAAACCAGGCCAGGCACGGTGGCTCACGCCTGTAATCCCGGCACTTGGGGAGGCCAAGGCGGGCAGATCATGAGACCGGCCTGGCCAACGTAGTGAAATCTCTACATAAAATTAGCCAGGTTTGGTGGCGGGTGCCTGAAATCCCAGCTACTCGGGAGGCTGAGGCAGGAGAATCACTTGAACCCAGGACATGGAGGTTGCAGTGAGCCAAGATTGCACCACTGGACTCCAGCTGGCACAACAGTGCGAGACTTCGTCTCAAAAAAAAAAAAATCAAACCAGAGTGACTCTCTCTATAATAATGTCATTCTCACTCACTTGCATTCTGATGAGCTTTCTTGTGAGAAAAATATATGTGCCAGAAACTCCAGGTGCACCCATGGTAGTGTGCAATCAACTAACCAAACAGAAAAACATCTGAAAACTATGTCACACATGGAAAAGCTGAATGATCTGTGCTTAGGTTGGAATTATGTAAAACCTAAGATCCATAATGCAGGAATTTGTTTTATTTGGTACTTAGAAAAGTACCTGAAACTAAAAGGTATTCTGTTACACTTAGTGAATGACTGAATAAAAGATAACAGAAATCATAAAGGAGTATAATTTTTTCCCAAATGTTTGAAGGTCACGTAAAAGAGGGTATGAATTGATTTTGCCCTCTACAGCTATAATTTTTTTAAAAAGAAGAAATAGGTAAACATACAAAAGGGGATGGCAAAGATGAATTTCTACTTACAGGAAATAAGCAGTCATCCATTAATGGAATTAGAAGCCTCTAAAGAGCCGGGCACAGTGGCTCACTCCCGTAATCCCAACAATTTCAGAGGCTGAGGTAGGAGGATCCTTGTAGCCAGGAGTTTGAGACGAGCCTGGCCAACATAGCAAGATCCCATTTCTACATAAATCTTTTTTAAAAATTAACTGGGCGTGGTGGTGCATGCCTGTAGTCCCAGCTACTAGGGAGGCTGAGACAGCAGGATCAGTAAAGCCCAAGAGGTCAAGGCTACATCAAGCCATGAACCTGCCACTGCACTCCAGCCTGGGAAACAAACAGCAAGATCCTGACTCAAAAAAAAAGAAAGGGGAAAAAAAAAAGCAGCAATAGCCTCTAAAGATAGTGAAACCAGAATAGCTAAAAACAAAAAAGACAATACCACATGTGCTAACAAAGATGTAGAAGTAACAGGAAGTCTCATCATACATTTTTGGTGGAAGTATAAGCTGGTATGATCCTTTTGGAAAATTCTGGCAGTGTCTACTAAAAGTATGCCTACTGTATGACCCAGCAATTCTCCTCCTAGACATGTAACAAAAAGAAACTAGTGCGTATGTCCACCAAAGACACGTGTAAGAAAGTTCGTACTAGTTTTATTCATAACAGTCAAAAACTAGAAACAATCCAAATATACATCAATAGGAGAATAACTTAACAGATTTATGTAAGGAGGCAAAAACAATGCAGAGGTTTCCGATTTGAATGACTATCATAGCTAATGCAAAAAAAAGGGGAGGATTTAAAGTAAAAAGAAAAATTCAGCTGGAATTCTCTATAATAATGAACATTTTGATCTAGAGGTCTGGAACTAAGAAGAGAGACAAATAAGCTAGAAACATCAGTGGCTTTAAAAATATTCACTATTGGCCGGGCGCCGTGGCTCACGCCTGTAATCCCAACACTTTGGGAGGCCAAGGCGGGCGGATCAAGAGGTCAAGAGATCGAGACCATCCTGACCAACATGGTGAAACCCCGTCTCTACTAAAAATACAAAAAATAGTTGGCTGTGGTGGCATGCGTCTATAGTCCCAACTACTCAGGAGGCTGAGGCAGGAGAATCACTTGAACCCAGGAGGCGGAGGTTGCAGTGAGCCCAGATCACGCCACTACGTTTCAGCCTGGGTGACACAGCAAGACTCTGTCTAAAAAAAAAAATAAAAATAAAAATAAGAATAATCACTATTAAGCTGGGCATAGTGGCTCATGCCTATAATCCTAACACTTTGGGAGGCTGAGGTGAGCAGGCCACTTGAGGTCAGGAGTTCAAGACCAGCCTGGCCAACATGCTGAAACCCCACCTCTACTGAAAATACAAAAAAATTAGTCGGGCATGGTGGTAGGCACCTGTAATCCCAGCTACCCCAGAGGCTGAGGCAGGAAAATTGCTTGAACCTGGGAGGCAGAAGTGCAGTGAGCCAAGATCGCGCCACTATATTCCAGCTGAGGCAATAGAGCCAGACTCTGTCTAAAAATAAAAATAAAAAATAATAATTGGTCAGATGTAGTGGCTCACCCCTGTAATCCAGCACTTGGGAAGCTGAGGTAGGTGGGTCACCTGAGGTCAAGAGTTCAAAACCAGCCTGGCCAACATGGCAAAAGCCCACCTCTACTAAAACTACAAAAATTAGCCGGGTGTGGTAGCATGTGCCTGTAATCCCAGCTACTCGGGAGGCTGAGGCAGGAGAATTGCTTGAACCCAAGAGGCGGAGGTTTCCGTGAGTCGAGATCGCGCCACTGCGCTTCAGCCTGGGTGACAGAGCAAGACTCCGTCTCAAAACATAACAATAATCAGTATTAGATGGGAGAAGAGGTCAAAGTCATAGATAAGACTACAAGATGGCCAGGGATGGGGTAGCTCACGCCTGTAATTCCAGCACTTTGGGAGGTTGAGGCAGGTGGATCACCTGAGGTCATGAGTTCGAGACCAGTCTGACCAACATGGTGAAACCCCGTCTCTACTAAAAATACAAAACTTAGCCAGGCATGGTGGCACATGCCTGTAATCCCAGCTACTCCAGAGGCTGAGGCAGGAGAATCACTTGAACCCAGGAAGCAGAGGTTGCATTGAACCGAGATCGTACCACTGCACTCCAGCCTGGAAAACAAGAGCAAAACTCCATCTCAAAAAAAAAAAAAAAAAAAGAAAGAAAGAAAAAGACTACAACAGCTGGGCATGGTAGCTCACGCCTGTAATCCTACCACTTTGGGAAGCTGAGGCAGGAGGATCACTTGAGGCCAGGAGTTCAAGACCAGCCTGGCCAACATGGTGAAACGCCATCTCTACTAAAAATACAAAAATTAGCCAGGCATGGTGGCATGCACCTGTAATTCCAGCTAATCCAGAGGCTGAGGCACAAGAATCGCTTGAACCCAGGAGGCAGAGGTTGCAGCAAGCCAAGATCACACCACTGCACTTCAGCCTGGGCAACAGGGCAAGACTCTGTCTCAAAAAAGAAAAAAAAAGAAAGAAAGAAAAACTAAGGACTACGAGAGCATAATACTAGGAAATAACCTTCATGTAATAAATATCTGAATATATTATAATATAAGGAGTCAGTAAGAATAACTGAAAGAAGGGAAAAAATCAAGAGTTAGGAGAACCACGTGAATGGTATGGTAAAAGCCAAGGAAGCAAAAATAAGAGTTTAAAGTAGGAGAAAAATGGTCAAGCAACCGCAAATGTAGCAAATAAAGCCTGAATAAAGATCAGTGTGTTTACCAATAACATTAGCTAAAACAAAGAATGACAGAGCAATCATATATCAGTAACTGAATAGAAAATGGGAAAATAGTGTGTGTGTGTGTGTGTGTGTGTGCACACGCATGTGTATATAATTTTTTAAACCCTTAAATCAGAGGTTGGCAAATTTTTCCTGTAAAGGAACAGATAGTAAATATTTTACGCTTTACAAGCATCTATGGTCTCTGTCACATATTCTTGTATACATACTAAAATAGGCTATAGGCCAGATTTGTCCAACTCCTGCCTAAAAATAATTTCTGCTCCCGTATCAAGCATTTAGAAAAAAAGTTTACATATAGCTAAATACCATTTTCACACACAAAGATAATGCTATTTCTTGGAGCATGATTCAAGTTGCTTTTCTCCCTTTAGTGACAGAGATACTATACGTTAATAAATCTGAACCACTCTCTTGATCCATTAAAATCAAAGGCTTAACCATATGTAATCCCAACAGCTGCTTTCTATAACAAAAAAATAAGCCTGGCTGGGTGTGGCAGCTCATGCCTGTAATCCCAGAACTGTGAAAGGCCAAGGCTGACAGATCGCTTCAGCTCATGAGTTTGAGACCAGCCTGGGCAACATGGCAAAACCTCTTCTCTACTAAAAATACAAAAAATTAGCCAGGGATGGTGGTGCATGCCTGTAGTCCCAGCTATTCAGGAGGCTGAGGTAGGAGAATCACCCAAGTCCAGGAAGTCAGGGCTGCAGTGAGCCGTGAATGCACTACTGCACCCATTCTAAGTGACAGAGCCATACACTATCTCGAAAAACAAACAAACATACGTCTGACCCTTTCACCTAACAAACTCCTTCAGGCCCTATCCTCCAAAGGAATTTCAATAAATTCTGCATCATCCAACGGTACAATAAACTGTTTCTGGATAACAAGGGTAAAAATATAATTTGTGGTCAACTGTTTAAATCTTATTTTAATTATGTTAGATAATCAAGATGATTAAGCTGTGGCTGAAGAATCAAGTTTAAAGATGGCATCCACCAGCTGCAATTACAAACAATACCACAGCAAAAAGTATAACCTGAAAGAACCTTTCCCCTTTGACAAAAAAACTATGCATTGCTTGAGCAGCACTTCCTCCTGCTGCAACAATCCTTAGAAAAAGCAAAGCAATAACCAGCTCATAGACAAGACAAGGGGAACTCATGAGCACGGAGATTCCAAATTCAAAAAATAGTAGCTGTTAGTGGCCTACAATTTTAGCAAGAAAAGGAAAGTAAAGGAAATTTGTGTGCAGGGATTTCTTTACTTTTGCTGAACTTGGGTTTAAAACTCAAAATAAGGCAAGTTCAGGCCGGGCGCGGTGGCTCACATCTGTAATTCCAACACTTTGGGAGGCGGAGGCGGGTGGATCACCTGAGGTCAGGAGTTTGAGACCAGCCTGGCCAACATGGTGAAACCCCATCTCTACTAAAAAATATATAAAAAATTTAGCCGGGCATGGTGGCACACACCTGCAATCCCAGCTACTTGGGAGGCTGAGGCAGGAGAATCGCTTGAACCTGGGAGCCAGAGGTTGCAGTGAGCCGAGATGACACCACTGCACTCCAGCCCGGGCGACAGGGTGAGACTTCGTCTCAAAAAAAATAAACAAACAAAAATAAGGCAAGTTCAAACAAAAAGAAAAAACAGCATCATTCACAATAGTCAAATTCAAGTTTTGCTTTTTGGAACTTTGTGAAATCCTCCCCCCCATCTCATCCCAAATATTTTGGATTTGTGGTTAGTTGAATACACAGCTGCAGCCTCCACGGAATACTGATTGTATAGACAACTCATGATTACAGGCAACTTTCTGTATCTGAGGAGGACTGGTGCCAGGACCCTCCCCAGATACCAAAATCTGAGGATACTCAAGTCCCTTAGTTGGCCAGCTATAACTGTGGATGCAGAACCAGTAGATGTGGTGGGCCTACTATAATTGAAGAAGGGAAGAAAAATAACGCCAAATCATAATGGAAACAAAACTTATCTATATAAGGCACAAAATGGATTCAGAGTCGTTATTTGTATCTAATATTTGTGAATTTACTGCCTGAGGGATATCCTAATCCATAAATTGCCCAACCAAAGAAGAAGCTTAAAATTATTACTTGTTAAAACAGTATTGCTTACGGCCGGGCACGGTGGCTCACGCCTGTAATCCCAGCACCTTGGGAGGCCGAGGCGGGCAGATCATGAGGTCAGGAGATCGAGACCATCCTGGCTAACACAGTGAAACCCTGTCTCTACCAAAAATATAGAAAAATTAGCCGGGCGTGGTGACGGGCGCCTGTAGTCCCAGCTACTTGGGAGGCTGAGGCAGGAGAATGGCGTGAACCCAGGAGGCGGAGCTTGCAGTGAGCGGAGATCATGCCACTGCACTCCAGCCTGGGCGACAGAGCGAGACTCCATCTCAAAAAAAATAGTATGCTTACTCTTTCTTTAAAATTTACCTGGCATAACTGAAGCTTTGTACCCTTTGACCAACATCTTTCAGTCTCTCTCTACCCCCTGGCATCCACCATTCTACTTTCTACTTTTATGAATATTTTGCAGTATTTGTCTTTTTTTGTTTTGCCTATTTCACTTAGCATAGTATTCTCTAGGCTCATCTATGTTGTCATAATTGGTATGATTTTCTTTTTTTTATTGAGATGGAGTCTCAAATGTAGTCAGGTGTTGGTATTCTTGGGTGGTCCTGGAACCAATCCCCCAAGGATATCAAGGAACATTCTAAATACATATGAATAATTCTGATAAGTTATCCAATTTGCCTACAATTCTAGATCCTGAACCCAACTGATTCTCATTACAGAAAAATGATGTCACTTCACAGAATGTAAAAGCAGTTGTAGTATATTTTATAGTGGCTTACATTTATCAACATCTGTAGCATTCCACAGAACCAAGATGTTAAATCCAACACCTGGCCCATCTCAATCTTCCTTTTATTTCTAAGAACAGAAAAACTACTACTTACCATTCAGAAATCTCTTGCTTCAATTGAGGAACTTCACTAAGTGCTGAATCAGTATCCATGAAACCAAGAAAGTCTCGTTTTATATTAAGGGAAGTCTTCTCCAAACCCTTGCCTGATGTTTCATGACCCCTTGACAAAGGATCCAAATCACCTGGTTGTATCTCTGACCCCTGACCTTCTGTAAGACGGACCCGATGACCAGAAGAACTGGAAATATTATTCCCTTCTTGGTCAGAGCTGTTCTTTTGTTTTCCATCTCTCTGGGGCTTATTATTCAGCCCATCATCCCGAAAGCCTTTGGCAAATGGATTGTAATCTATTTTCAGCTGAGTAATCTGAATGTTCTGATAAGCTGTTACTGCAAAGAATTCAGTCTGTGGGAAGGTAAAAGTGTGGACACCAGGGCCATTTAATTGTATCACCTCCACAGCCTTTTCTGCAGGCACCAAATGAAGCCTCGGCAGGTAACGATGCATAGAGTGCAAGATGATATGCCCTTCTTGGTCCAGTGTATTGTTGGTAAGTTTGAGTTTATAGAAAGATACTGGTTGATGCATCCAATAATGACCTGTGGAAGGAGATTCTGGATGAATGAAAACCCTCCCCAAAACATGAGGTTCAGCCTTCCCACTAGGTTCCCACCAACGACCATTCCACTTATAACGATGGTTATCCACAGGAGATATATCCATGACAAGAATATACTTCAAATTTGAATCTAAACCTGTTATCCAATAACGACAGTAAGGAAACATGCGTCTTCCTTGCTTGGTCAGAATCATCTCTGTGCTTCGATGATAGAACTCATTCCACATACTATTGTTATCGAGGGTAACAGTGATTCCACCCACAGTACAATCAGCTGGAAGGCAAATCTTCCCTTTAGATTTTACTGGTGATGACACACTACTAGCCAAAGCACAGGCATCCTGATTAGTAACCAAAATTCCTTGATCAGTTTTGCCATTTCCTGGCTGCTTTAAGATGACAAAGAAGGTAGGTGCTGCTCCTGCCACTGTTCCACCATCTTGATTAGCCAATATAATCTGCTGTTTCTCCTCCATGATTTCAGTAGGAAACTCAGTAGTAAGACAACTGTAATCACCACATAGTCACAATGGCCTTCCCATCCTAAGAAACAAGCAAAAAAAAACCAAAAACAAAAAACACCCTTTAATCAAGTGAGTATTTATTTCTTGAACAAAAATACAAGAACGATTATGTTATCCCCAAAATATTCCTAAATTCTTCTAAGACTTTGCTTCTAAGCTTTTCTTTCAATCACAGTAAGAATATTTACTCTGGAATATCTAATCATTTTTTAAAGTTCATTTTAATCTAATTAGTTAAGGTGCTTATATCCTAATCCTCTAACAATTCACTATAAATACTATAATCTCACACAAAGAAACAAAAGAGTATATTCATTATTAAAAAAGTATACAAAATTAAAAAGTTAAATTTGAAGGTTATGCATTTTTAAAGCATCCTAACACTTTATGAATTTACCAGAAGATTCCTTTATATAGCAAGTTCCCCAGTGATGAGTAAATTAAATAAGTAAAGTTCCATTTTCATCCCAAAGAGCTAATTGTACAGAATTAGTTCTTCATATGGTTCAGAAGACATGGTTCCATAAATAAGTAAAAAGCTATCTAACTTCTTAGTACACACGTTTAAAGAAGCCATGACAAATCACTGGAACTCAATGGACCTTACACTGAAATAAATTCCAGATGACTCTAATATTTAATTTTTTTATTCCTAAATCCTGAGAAAAGTTTTTTGATAAGACACAAAATCTAAAACCAGTAAGGCCAAAAAAAAAAAAAGTGATAAATTTAATACTATATGATGCCAGGTGTGGTGGCTCACACCTGCAATCCCAGCACTTTGAGAGGCTGAGGCCAGTGGATCATTTAAAGCCAGGAATTCGAGACTAGCCTGGCCAACATGGCGAAACCCCATCTCTATTAAAAATTAAAAAATTAGCCTGGTGTGGTGGTGCACGCCTGTAGTCCCAGCTACTCAGGAGGCTGAGGCATGAGAATCACTTGATCCTAGGAGGCAGAAGGTGCACTGAGCCAAGATCACGCCACTGCACTCCAGCCTGGGTGACAGGGAAAGACTCCGTCTCAAAGAAATAAAAATAAAATAAAATTTAATATTCTGTAAATTTTTTAATCTGGCAAAATCATTTAAGCAAAATCAAAAAGCAAACTAACCAGGAAAAGGTATTTGCAACTTATAAAGAACTCCTTTCCCTAATATAAAAAGGGGGCTGGACATGGTGACTCACACCTATAATCCCAGCACTTTGGGAGGCCAAGGCAGGAGGATTGCTTGAAGTCAGGAGTCCCAGACCAGCCTGTCCAACGTAGTGAAAGTCCGTCTCTATTAAAAAATAATAGCGGCGGGGGAGCAGTGGCTCACGCCTGTAATCCAAGCACTCTGGGAGGCCAAGGAGGTCAGATCACTTGAGGTCAGGAGCTCAAGACCAGCCTGGCCAACATGGTGAAACCCTGTCTCTACTAAAAATAAAAAAATTAGCTAGGCATGGTGGTGTGCGCCCATAATCCCAGGTACTCGGGAGGCTAAGACAAGAGAATTGCTTGAACCCAGGAGGTGGAGTTGCAGCGAGCCAAGATGGCACCACTGCACTTCAGCCTGGGTGACAGAGCGAGACTCTGACTCAAAAAAAAAAATAAAAATACATTAACAGTAATAATAATTTTTAAAGGCTTCCTACAAATCAACAAGACCAAATACCTAACAGAAAAATGAGTAAAGGATAATAAACGCAAATGGCTATGAATATGTACATAGTTAAGAGGAAAGCAAATTAAAGTCATCTTGAGATACTGTTTTTTTACTTATCAGACTGGCAAAAATCAAAGCCTGGTAGTGCTGGAAAGGGTTAGGTCAACCAGCATTCTCCCCTAAGCAGTTACTGGGAGTATAAAATAATAGAATCTCTAAGAGAGGGCAACTTGAAAATATCAAAAGTACAAATCCATATATCATCCTATGACAAAGAATTGTTCCCAGGACTTTAAGTTTTCTTAATTCACTGTTAAAACCCACTATAGGACTTTATTTTAAATACACACACCTGTGATAAATGATATCTATACAAGATTATCCCCTGCATTCCCACTTATAACAGCAAAAGACTAGACAGGAAGAGAGAAGTCCTTAAAATGGTAAAACAAATGATGACACATCCATAGAGTGGAATGTTAACAGTCACAAAAGAGAATGTATAAGCTTAATGAATGCATGCAAAAAGTATCTACAAGATATATTAAGCGTAAAATGTTCAGAAGAGTTGTAAATTATGCCACACATCTTTTAAAAGTTTTTTATTGTACCTCTTAAACTTCAGACAGGGAGAACACGTGCAGGTTTGTTTACATGAGTCTACTGCATAATATAAGGTTTGGGCTTCTAATGATCCCATCATCCAAGCAGTGAACATAGTACCTGATAGGTAGTTTTTCAACCCTTGTAAAAGATTTTTCCTTTTTAAAATCAAAGAAATAGACAGTATTTCGGTCTTTAAAATAAATAAAAAGCCAAAGAATGAAAAAGAACATGTACATATTTGCTTTACACAGACTATCTCTGGAAAGACAGAAAAGAAAACAGTAGTATTGGTCATATCCAAGGAAAACTTGATGACTTGGAAAAGATACCCTTTTACACTTTGTAAATTTTGTGTCTTGTGAACACACAACCTTTAAAAACTAAAACACAGGCCAGGTGGGCAGGTGCAGTGGCTCACACCGGTAATTCCATCACTTTAGGAGGCCCATGTGGGAGTAACGTTTGAGGTCAAGAGTTCAAGACCAGCCTGGTCAAAATAGCCAGTCAGTCTCTACCAAAAAAAAAAAAAAAATAGCAGGTATGGTGGCCAGGAGGCTGAGGCAGGAGGACACCTTCAGCAGCCCTGGAAGTTCAGGTTGCAGTGAGCCATAACCATATCACTGCACTCCAGCCTAGGAGACAGAGTGAGACCCCGTCTCTTTAAAAAAATAAAAAATAAAGTTAAAATTAGTTAATTATTAAAGGTTATAAAGAAAAAGGTCACATATATTGTATGATTCCATTTATATGAGATGTCCAACACAGGCAAATCTAGAGAAACAAAGTAGATTAGTGGTTTCAGGGGAAGGGGTAACTGGGACTAACTGCTAATGGGTGTGGGATTTCTTTTTGGTGTATACTTTAAAATGATGAATTATATGTTATGTGAATTATATCTCAATAAAAAGTTATAATAAAGAAATGAGGCCGGCCATGGTGGCTCATGCCTATAATGCCAGCACGTTGGGAGGCTGAGGCAGGAGGATCGCTTAAGCCCAGGAGTTTGAGACCAACCTGGAAAACACAGTGAGACTCCATCTCTACAATGGTGTGTAGCTGTAGTCCCAGCTACTTGAGTGGCTGAGGTGAGAGGATCCCTCGAGCCTGGGGGTGGGGAGGCCAAGGCTGCAGTGAGCTGTGATGGTGCCACTGCACTCCAGTCTAGATGACAGAGTGAGACCCTGTCTCAAAAAAAAAAAACCAAAACGAAATCTGATTGCTAAAATCAACCGAACTCATATGCCAAATTAAAGCTACAGCTTCCAGTTTTTATACAAAAAGGAAGATGCTACATCACCACCACTCCTGTGTAAGTGGGTCAGTAATCTTAATCAAATTCAGCCACTTATTAGTCTTCTTCATTATAATTAAAAAGTATTTTACCTTTCATCAGAGCTAATGATGAGCAGCAAAAGCACCTAATCTGAATTTTACCTCTTCTTACAAGATTGGTCATACAGCTCCAAAGCTTAAAATATCTGTTAGTCTACAGATAATAGATATTTTTAAAATCACGACTTCAAAAGGTTTACTATTGTTTCCTATTATGACTAGAGATAAAAATAGAAATTCACTTCCCAACACTAAAGCACTAATATCAGGAAAGGTCAGGAACAACAACAACAAAAAATCTCTCCTCTGATGTGAAGTTTATTTTTAAAAGAGATAAAATGTACAGTGATTCTTTTCAAAAGCTGCCTCAAGCTTTTACCTATGAAGTTGATTGGTTTTCTAAAACTAACACACTTAGGCGATACCTATCAGAGACTGACAAAACAAAACTAAACGGAAGTCACAAATAAGGTAAAATATTAAAGCTTAAAGAACTGGCAAAAAAAAAATACCTCTACAATGATGTATAATTCAAACAATGCAAACTCCTAGCTTGTACTTATTAATTCATAAACTTCAAGGTTTTATTACAAATCACCAACTATTTTTGTGAATAAGTATGCAAAACATCCTTTGTGTGTATGTGTTCCACGTGAGCACAACATCCTTAGGTGCATTTCATATGACTAAGGCAGCAAAGAAGTATATGAAAAAAAATCTAGTTATCCCAAACCTATAAATTACATGAAAAGGTGCCGAATTTATTAAACATCTTTCTATAAACTAAAATTTTGGTTTTCAGATCATTACCAGTAAAACCAAGACAGAGAAGTTTTAACCAATTCTTTAAAAATTACTGTCTTTTAAAGATTAATCTATGAAATGTCAAAGATGCAGTTGACAAAAACCCAGTTTGGTGAAAATCAGACTGCACTTGAAGTAAATTTTACACTAACTTTATATACACACACTGAGTTTTTCTTTCTGCCGAAGCAAAATATTAGTGCAGAGAAGTCATATCAACCTATTTCAACTTTGTGCACAGGCATATAATAAAAAAATGTAAAAATGTGCCTGAAGACAGGAAAATAAACTTCTGACTTATGATTTGTATAAGGCCGGTTTTTTAACTCCACTAATCAAATTAATCCATTAGTTGATGAAAATGCATTGAATTAAAGACTTAATTTATGACTAAAACCATCTCTATCTTGAGCCATAACAGCTACTGGTTTAAGAACATGGAATGAAATTCTTATTCTACATCAATCTAGGCACAGATTCCACTTCGCTATAAGCATATGCCTAGGTTTGGAGCTACCATATGAATTTTCTTTTTTTTCTAAGATAAATATTGTAAAACATTTGAATTTTCTAATCAAAGGGCAGTCAATTAAGGATATTCAGCTGTTTCAGACACACCAAGACCACTCTAAAGTCTACTTAAGCCAACCGCAAAACTCAAATGTACTTTAGAAAGGGGTAGGCTAGGCCGGGAGCGGTGGCTCGCGCTTGTAATCCCAGCACTTTGAGGGGCTGAGGCGGGCGAATCACCTGATGTCAGGAGTTCAAGATCAGCCTGGCCAACATGACAAAACCCTCTCTCTACAAAAAATACAAAAAATTAGCCGGGCGTCGTGTTGCGCACCTGTAGTCCCAGCTACTCGGGAGGATGAGGCAGGAGGTTGCAATGAGCCGAGATAGCACCACTGCATTCTAGCCTTGGAGATAGTGTGAGACTCGGTCTCAAAATAATAACAACAACAACAACAACAATAATAATAATAAAGAAAAGAAAAGGGTAGGCTACTCATGAAGAAATAAATCTTCTAGCAACATCCTAAAAATACTCTGGGAAACTAAAAGCTTTAATGAAAACCACAATTTTGGTATATATATACCTTAACATTCAAAAACTTTCAATTCGGCTTTTCAACATCAAATTTTTTTTTTATCTAGATAAAATAGCTACAATAAAAAGCCAACAAAATAAGTTGTGGAGGGGAAAATTCAGTAACACTCTGAAATGTCACACCAGAAGACATATACACACACAAAAGCTATCATAGAAAACATTTTTTAGGTAAGTAATCTAACAAGTTCCATAAATTGTTACAATTTCAGACTCCCTATTTTAATGTCTTTTCACCAGTGACCTCTTTGGGAAATGTTTATCTACTAAAGCAATGATCCTCATACAACTCACAAAATACACTAGTTTTACTAGATAGTTTCCTAATTCAATGATTAATGTACTGTGCTCAACCCCAAAAATTAGTTACACAAAATCAAAATTCCAAGTCAATACCATTATTTAAAAACACAAATATTCAAATGCTAAGCAACACATTCTGAACGTTTTCCAAATTGCTACAAACTTCTACAACCTTTCATACAATAAATACAGTAGTATGGCAGGCACCAAGATGTTAGTATATTCCTTAATATGATCCTTCACTATAAGAATATGGTTAAATTACATTTGTGAAACTCAAATTTCAAGAGAACAGGTTCACTCAGATTTCAGTATTTAGCCAATAAACACTGGGTCAAGAAATTTTAAGTTTCTTAAAAACAGAATGTGGATATAAATATAATAAAATGAAAGCAAATGGTGGCAAAGACAGTAAAATAGCCAACTATTAATACTTTCTTAATCGCTCTTAACCATCATTTGCTTATTTTTACTAATTTAATAAATGGTACTTGCCATTTATTAAGAACTACTCACTTCGGAACAGACAATATCCTGGGCATTTTATCGTCACAACCTTATAGGGCAAATGTCAAAATATTATCTGAAACACTTTTAGGTTTTAAGGCACAGAATTGCACCTGCGTAAGAGAGTACTGCCTCCTTCTCTTCCCAGATATCATTTGTTACTGCTAGCCGCAGGAGTATTTTTTATTCCTAAGAATGGACCCTAACTACAACTCAGGGCCAGAAAGCTGACAGGTCTCTAGCAGTTGGGTAAGCAGAATTTGAAGAACTTTTAAGGCAGAAACTGGCAGTAGTCAAACTTGAAGTAAGTATGCCAAGGTACCCAGGGCACTGAATTTCCTCAAGTCTTTAGCCTGTGTTTTCTGTAAAGTGGACCCAACCCACTTAACCCACACAAACGCTAGAAACAACCGTTGGCGGCAAGAAACACTAGCGCTGTTCCGATACGCAGGAAAGTAAAAGGCTCGGTCTCACTGCCTTCCCCGAGAGGAGCAGACGCCGTCGACTATTAATGACCCACAAACCGCCGCTTTTCAACTGCAAAGGACAGCTGGCCAAGAACCACGTGAAAAAATGCCGCAAGGAAAGCTCTTCCGGGGAAGAGTCCCGACAGATCACGTGCCGCCGGCCGGAACCCGATGATCGCTCTGCGGGACCCAGCCGCGTTCTGTTACCTTGGAGACTACAGAACCAGCCACCAGACCCTCCCCTGCCAACCCCCTTCCCAGCAGCCGTCACGCCGCCCCCAGGCACTTTCCCTGCAGCCTAGCCGCGGCATCGTGCCCAAAAAGAACGAACAGAGCAAGCAGTTGTTAACCAGGGACTCAGCCGCATAAGCCTGGCAAGCTCTACAACAACACGCGCGGGTGGGCTCGAGACTTCTCATGATCCACGTGTTTGCTCCGGCGAGGCGAACCTTGGGAAAGTTATCTTCCCAATAAAAGAGTGCACTTTGGTTTCTCGTGTTGGTCTGCCATCAGTAACCCCTCCTTTCAGACCTCATTTACCCGTTCCTGCTTCCACCCCGGCCAGAGAAAGAAGGCATTCCCAGGGTTCGAAAGGCAAGGCAAAAATCTGTACAGCAAGACACTACCACTTTTGCACTCCCGACCCAGTCTGAAACGATCCCTAGTTTCCCCATATTCTTCTGACACATAGATCCCTCAACTTTGGCTACTGGAGCTTTGGGGGGGCGGTGGGGGGGTGATGTTAATGTCCCAGATACCTTGCACTGAGGGCAGAGACCTACTTGACCATTTAACAGAAACGGGAAACCCCATAAACAGAACTAGGTAAAAGGCTGCCCCACAGAGGAATAAAGAAAATAACACCTGCTCTTCCCACCTGTTTTCCCCTCCCTCATTTCTGCACTTACACACCACCGGTCCTTTGTTTACCAAGTCCCCACTCCTACAGCTCACTTCCTCGCCCTCCTTTATTAAACTTGACGTCCTGCCTCAAACAATTTGGCCGGAAATTACTTGTTAGAAAAGACGTTTGCACAGGTGTCAAAACGCTGCGCCAAGTTCTCAGAAAAGCGACGCCGACACCGTTTCCCTTGGAGTTCTAGAACCACGAGACCTAGGCTCTAAACTGAAAAGCGCGTAAGCGTGGCTCTCGACCTAGAGCCCGGCGCCGGGCGAGAAGTCGTCACGCGGACCGTACCACGCGGAGCGGCACCCCACACACGCGAGGGCAGGGCCGAGCCATGGGCGCTTCTCACCCCTCCCGCCTCGTGGCCGCTCTCTCTGGCGTCGATGTTCCCAGTTAGGTAGCTGAGCGACGCGGAAGTGAGGCCGGGGACGCGCGCGAGGTGACATGCGCAGCCTCGCTCAGGGACCACAGGGGCGCGCCAAAGGCGGCCCTGCGCAAGGCCCGGCCTGGCGAGGGCGTGCGAAGCTCTCTCAGCGGAACGTTTCTCACGCCGTTCAAATACACAAGAGCTTCAAACTCTCGAAAAACTCCAATCGGGCCAGTACTAAGCGATGCCCTCCACCCAGGCCCGAGAGTTACCGTGCGGGGCGTGGCCGGCCTCACCCGGAGTCCTTCACATCCCGCTGGGGGCGGGTTATTCTGTTCGGTTCGCACACCGTGTGTCCGCTCCAGCTGAAGAGCCTGCGCGCGCGCACCGGACGTCCACGTCACCGCGCACGCGCTCCTACCCGCTCGGAGCCCGCCGCGCAGGCGCAAAAGGAGACGCGAGCAGCACCTCCCTGACCCCTCCCCCAACACCAGGAGTCCAAACGGCCCCAGAGCAGCAGCAAGACCCTTGGGACCCGCCCCCCGAGTGGAAGCCGCTGCTTTTCCGGGTCCCTGCAACCCAGAAAAGCCTACTGAAGGTTCTAGAACCAAGAAAGGCGAGGCAGGAGGGAGGCACCTAAACTCCTCAGGCTTGCACACGAAGCCTTCGTGGAAACTGTGAAACCAATGCCCGGCGGGCCTTTCTCAACTGTGCCTTTCACCCTTTCCCTAGGGCTCCTCGCCGGCTCCGCCCCGGCCGCGCCCAGCCCCACCCACACGGGGCTCCGCAGACCCCCAACCTCCACAAGCCCGTCAAATGAATCTGAGGTCTTCCACCCCGGAGTACCGGGGCTTGGACAGCTCCAGAGCATTGGGAAACCTTGAAGCCAAAGACCTTGAGAGACGGATGGTCGAGTTTACAACATCCACAACCGAAGACGACTAGGAAAATGGGGAGGAGACCGAAAGACTCAGTGCGCAGTTGGAAAGCGAAGAGTTGCCACTAAATTGCCGGATATAAAGATGAAAGATATCTTGATAAAACAGGGAAACGATGCAGGAGTGTGTTATCTAAGCTTTAGTGCCTTGATCCTGTGCATTCAATTTTTGTTTCTTCAAGACATTTAAGCTATGAGGTGCAAAGAAAGTATTAGTGAATATCTATTATGTGTCAGGCAGTTGCTGAAGTAAATCAATGGACAGTATTTCTCCTAACCTTCAAAAAGTAGTTTTCTTTCTCCTTCTCTACTCCTTACCAGCTGTTCTTTCTTCTGTGCTCCTGACACCAGTAAAAAGGAAGCGTAGTTTCTTAAAAGGCAAAAAAGAAGTAGGGAGTAGGAGAGCAGATTTTGTGGTCAATGATCCAAAACTGCCTTCTTTGATAAGAATTAGCAAGCACTGAGAACCTACTACGTGACATGCTATGTGACAATACAAAACACTATGAAGGAGAATGAGAAGACTAAGGAAGGAGTCAACAGAAGGAGGCTTATCCAACACTACTGATCTGACCTACTTTTTACTTAGGAAGGTCATATTTCTCTACACTTTGCTCTTCCTGAGGAGATATACAACAACATTGACAGAAACTGCTGGAATAGTCTGAACTAGAAAACGTGTAGGCTACTTTAGAGACTTCTGAAGGCATTCTGAAACCCCAAGTCAGGCACGGTCAGCAAGAGCATTCAAGATCCTAGGCAAAATTGAAAAGTAACAGTTTAACACCTTCCTCCTCTTCCCTGAACCCAAGAACTTCTTTCCTACAAGCTGCCCTGTCAGAATCTCCCACCTTACCAAGAATGCCTTCCTCTCAAGGATCTGAGGTTTCCTCATAAAAATTTTCCATTTTCTGGGGAAGAAGTAAATTTATGTTGATTTAGCATTAAAATATATGATCATAAGGTGTGAATGACTGGTTAACAACCATGCATCCCCAAAGAGACAAGTTAACCCAAATGATCTCTCTAACTGGGGGATCTGTGAGGACAACTTGGGAAGAAGGGGAATGGAGATTCTCTTTTGGTACTCCTTCCCTACACCAGGCAAACATATAACTAAATACTAGATACTTTAAAAAAACAAAACAAAAAAAAAACGCTGAACTTTGAAGATTCAGTACTACAGATCTCGGTGGGAGAGGAAAACTATCCATAGTTTTTCAAAGTGGAGTCCGCCTAACCTAGAGAGGTCGGGAGATGTCAAGAATCTGAGGGTCCTATGAGAACTTTTAAGTGTTTTTAGATGATATTCTAAAAATAATCATACCACCACACACATTTCAGGGATCCAGTTTGGATTTACCATCATGCAGGTACCAAGTAACCGCTTGTTTTTCTTTTTTATTTTTTGTTTGCTTTGAGTAACCACTTAAATGGTTACATTCAACTTTTAATGCAGCATTCTCATACTAAAGTTCTTGGTTGTATACTTTGGATAATGTAAGAAATTTCCTCCTTTAAAAGGCATCCATATATAACCGAAGGTTTAAGAATGCCAAGCTAACTGCTAAAGTGATGCTCCTAAGTTCCACCTTTTTCAGTTATCATAGCTCAACTTATTGGTCCAGCCTAACACAAAAGTCTTTGCCTTGATTTTCCTAGACTGCACGTTCAAGTAGATTTTTCTGAATATTAAGGGGAAACAAACAAAAAACTAGAGAGAATGCATGCAATTAAACAGTCTGGCCTAGAATGTACACAGTTTTGATCCTAGATTGTTCTATAAACACATAGGCACTATCTCATTTACATGCACACTTTTCCTATTCAGCAAATATCTGAGTGCCTACTATATGCTGAGGATAGGGGAAAGGCTGGCACCCCATGCACTTTTCAGATGTCTACAGCAGAACCCCAAAGATTGGCACAACTTAAGTAACAGAATCCACCAAGACAAACTTCCTCATCCAATCTATTCAGATCCAATCCTTTCGGTTCTGATTTCTAAAACATCCTCTGTCAACTGACAAAAAGACCTCACTCTTCAGATGAAACCACTACCATGAACAAACTCCTGGACTATGGCCTTGTTTAAAATATCAATATAATAAAGAACATTCATAAAATAAGGGCTACATACAGACTGAGTTGCAAAAGATGCTTGTTTTTTTTTTTGTTTTGTTTTGTTTTTACAAAAAGTCCTTCGGCCAGGTGCGGTGGCTCAGTCCTGTAATCCTAGCACTTTGGGAGTCCGAGGCAGGCAGATTGCCTAAGGTCAGGGGTTCAAGACCAGTCTGGCCAACATGGTGAAACCCCGTCTCTACTAAAAATATAAAAAAATTAGCCGGGCATGGTGGCGTGCGCCCATAATCCCAGCCACACGGGAGGCTAAGGCAAGGGAATTGCTTGAACAAGGGAGGTGGAGGTTGCAGTGAGCCGAGATCGCGCCACCGCACTCCAGCCTGAACGACAGAGCAAGACTCCATCTCAAAAAAAAAAAAAAAAAAAAAAAAAAAAAAAAGGGCCTTCACTAGCCAACCTGAAAATTCAGGTCCTAGGCAGAGGGTAAAAAGAGAATCATAGACAACTCCATCCTTGCCCACCATTTAGTACTACAACTGAAATCAAGTCATGCTGGGGGGCAAAGTATGATTGCCACCAATATCTGTAATGAAGGAATTAAGGAATTAAAAATTAACGATTTAAGGAATTAAAAATGGCAAGATATCTGCCTTCAAGGAGCTAATAATGTACCCAAAGAGGAACTTTTAAGACTTTCTGGGCTGGGCGCAGTGGTTCACGCCTGTAATCCCAGCACTTTGGGAGGCAGAGGCAGAAGGCAGGTGGATCGCATGAACCCAGGAGTTCAAAACCAGCCTGGACAACATAGTGAGAACCCATCTCTGCAAAATATTAAAAAATTAGCCAAGTGTGGTGGTGCCTGCAGTCCCAGCTACTCAGGAGGCTGAAGTGAGAGAAATGCTTGACCACAGGAGGTCGAGGCTACAGTGAGCTGTGATTGTGCCACTGCACTCCAGTCTGGGCAACAGTGAGACCTACCCCCCAACCCTGTCTCTTAAAGAAAGAAAAGAGTTTCTTAATCAGCATAGTAATATTAAAAGCATGTTTTAGAAAATGTTAAGAGAAGGGAGGATGAAAAGAAGGACAGAAATGTTACGGAATATAATCAACATTCATTAAGAAACACCCACTGGCTCATGCCTGTAATCCCAGAACTTTGGGAGGCTGAGGTGGGACGGACTGTTTGAGCTCAGGAGTTTGAGAGCAGCCTGGGCAACATGGCAAGACCCTGTCTCTACCAAAAATAAAATAAAAATAAAAATAAAAATAAATAGCTGGGCCTGGTGGTGTGCATCTGCGGTCCCAGCCACTCAGGAGGGTGAGGTGGGAGGACTGTTTAAGCCCAGGGGGCAGAGGTTGCAGTGAGTCAAGATCATGCCACTGCACTCCAGCCTGGGTGTGAGAGAGAGAGAGAGAGAGAGAGAGAGAGAGAGAAGAGAGGAGAGGGAGAGAGAGAAAGAAACACCATTCCTCCTTGCTGCCCCACATCTCAAGCCCACATAACCACGTTCCTCACCCTTGCCTAAGAAGATTGCCCCAGATGCCTCCAGCCTAACTCTATTCACCCTTCATACTTAAGTTTAAATGTATTTTCTTTAAGACGCTTGCCCTAACCCTCATGATCAGGTAAGGTCTTCCAGTTATATGCTCTCATAGTACCCTGTATTTCTTTATGGCATTTACCACAACTGTGTTAATTATTTTTAAAACCACGTATTAATATGTCTTCCGCATTAGACCATTAGCTCCACTCTATTCCAGTGCTGATCACAATGCCTGGGATAGGGTGGACACATATTTGTTGAATAAATAAATAGAAGACCACAGATCCTCATTTTTTAGGCAAGTCTCAATATCAAATACTGATTCAGTGTCCAACAATGTGAGGTTTGGAAAACAGGGTCGTAATACATACTGAAGTTATATTACGTAGTTATATCCCTGGCTTTGGCAAACATTTCCCAAAGGGGTAGAGTTGTGATTTTAAAAAACTAGCACCCAGTGACTCTTATCCCAAATTATTTATCTTTAGGGGAATAGATAAATGTTGACAGGGCAGACACTTGAGGAGATACAAATATTTTTCTAGGAAAGTCTTATTGACTGCCCATTGACTGGATACAGTCTGCCCTCTGTATCTGTGGGTTCCACATCCACAGATTAAACCAATCATGGATCAAAAATATGTGGAAAAAATAAAACAAATAAATGACAATACAACAAAATAAAAAAAAGTATAACTATTTACAAAGCATTTAAATTATACTAGGTATTATAAGTAAAGATGATTTAAAGTATACGGGAAAAGCCAGACACGGTGGCTCACGCCTGTAATCTCAACACTTTGGGAGGCCAAGGTGGACGGATCACTTGAGGTCAGGAGTTCGAGATCAGCCTTGCCAACACAGCAAGGCTCCACTAAAAATACAAAAATTAGCCAGGCATGGTGGCACATGCCTGTAATCCCAGCTACTTGGGAGGCTGAGGCACAAGAATTGCTTGAACTCAGGAGGCGGAGGTTGCAGTTAGCTGACATCCTGCCACTGCACTCCAGCCTGGGTGAAAGAGCAAGACTCTGTCTCAAAAAAAAAAAAAAAAAAGTAAATTAAAAAAATAAAGTATATGGGAGGATGTACATGGGTTACATGCAAATACCATGCCATTTTATAGAAGAGACTTGAGCATCTGAGGATTTGGGTATCCTGCAGGGGACAGTATCTTGGAACCAATCCCCCACAGATACTGAGGGACAAATGTATTACCTAGAAAATCAACAAAAACAAACAGATCCTTAGAATAAATTGGAAAAAATGTTATGACACCATCTGGCAATAGAAGCAACAAGCTGTAATGGAGACTACCATCTGTTATATATTCATCTACAAGAAAAAATAGCAAATATATTAAAGAAAGGACACTTTAGTAACAGTGAATTTGTTTTACTAAATTCTAAAGGGAAAATGTCAGTCAGGCACAGTGGCTCGGGCCTGTAATCCCAGTACTTTGGGAGGAGGAGGTGGAAGGAATGCTTGAGCCCAAGAGTTTGAGACCAGCCTGGATAACATAGTGAGACTCCATCTTTATTTAAAAGATGGCACAGTGGCTCATGCCTGTAATCTCAGCACTTTGGAATTAGGCAAAAATCAAGAAGAAGCCTATGAGAGAAAAATATACTGGAAAATTGTTTACAAATGCATATGAAAGAAGCCATCCTTCCTTTACATGAAGGGCAATACTGCCTCAGGGAAAAGAGCTATGGTGATCAACGCAGGAATTCCCCAACTATTGGACATCACAGACCAGCAAGATATCCCAAAAAAGTATTTAGAGGACCATCATAAGGTGAACAAAATTTACCTTACAAAACATCCATCATCTATTATTACTATGATTTTTTTTAAAAAAAGATCATTTTCAGATTAAAAACCACTAGAAAGAACATCTCATTATAATAGTCTTTTTAATACACTTAGATAGATGAAAAATTCACTACATTGTCCTTATTCTGTGATATACCACTGAAAACAACTTTGCAGACAGGTATTTAGAAATAACTGATCAGCCGTACAGCAGCCTCCCTAGATAGCTAAGATTTGATGTTCACAGAAAAAAATACACACAACAGGACTGTGATGGAGTATAAGTCACTTTGCCAAGAAGTCAAGAGTCAGCTTCTCCTCATCAGTAACAATACAGAAGAGGATATTAGCCAAGAGACATCTCAGTTGAGACCGAAGGACAGCCACAAGATTAAGAAGCTACTTTGGGAATCAGGGTGGGGGAGACACTGAAAACAGGAAATCCTTTACGGTGGGGCAAGATCCTGGAACTTTGGTAACGGTACAGAACAGTGTAGTGAAACCAAGGTCAGACAGACCCACCCAATCACCACATAACTAGGAAAAACTGTGGAACACATGGTGGCAAAGGAAGAGGCAGGTTAAGTTACACTTAGTTTAAACTAAGCTCCAGGCATATCACATATATGAGGAAAAAAGGTGGGGGAAACTTGTTTTATTTGAAAAGTAAACCAAAAGGGTTTTTTTTTTCTTTTTTTTTTTTTTTAAGAGATGGGGTCTCACTCTGTCTCCCAGGCTGGATGGAGTGCAGTGGTATGATCACGGCTCACTGCAGCTTCAACCTCCTGGGCTCAAGTGATGCTCCTTCCTCAGCCTCCTGAGTAGCTGGGATTATAGGCCACGCCACCACAACTGGCTAATATATATATTTTTTAACGTAGAGATGGGGTCTTGCTAGGTTGGATTTTAAATATTACTTCAAAATATTTTATAATCTTGACCTTTACTAAAATTGTTAGCTGTGATCTAACCACTGGAAGGCAGGGAACACCTATTTTTTGTGTGGGTTTTTTTGTTTGTTTGTTTGTTGTTTTTTGTTGTTTTTTTTTCTGAGATGGAGTCTCGGTCTGTCACCCAGGCTGGAGTGCAATGGCATGATCTTGGCTCACTGCAACCTTGGCCTCCCGGGTTCAAGCAATTCTCCTGCCTCAGCCTCTCCAGTAGCTGAGATTACAGGCGCCCACCACCACACCCTGCTAATTTTTTTGTATATTTAGTAGAGATGGGGTTTAGCCATCTTGGCCAGGCTGGTCTCGAACTCCTGACCTCAGGTGATCCACCTGCCTCGGCCTCCCAAAGTGCTGGGATTACAGGCGTGAGCTACCACGCCCAGCTACACCTGTTTTAAAAAGAGGTAAAAGCTGTATGGAAATAGAGAACATAAAGATTATTCAAAGCAACTTGAATGCGGTGCAAATTATATGTATATAGATTATAAATTGTAGCGATTATACAGAGGCAGTATTTTTCATCTCATGACTAGTTCCACTCTACATTCTTGAGGTTCTCTATCCTTATTAGCATAAGTAAATAAGGCTACAATGAGTTAAACGAATATTTATTAAGCATCAACTATGTGCTAAGCCCTAAAACTGGGGAAAATGAATAAATAAAAACAAGTCCCCTGGGGAAAATGAATAAATAAAAACAAATCCCCTCAAAAAGCTCAAGCTCTGATTGAAAAGACAGAATAATCATATTGAAAAACTGTAGTTGGTAGTGTAGAAAAACCTCTGGAACACTATAGAAACATACAAAACCTACAAAGGGTATAAGTCCCAGCACTTTGGTAGGCCAAGACAGGAGGATCACTTGAGGCCAGAAGCTAGAGACCAGCCTGGCAACACAGTGAGACCCCGTCTCTCAAAAAAAAAAAAAAAAAATTTAATTAGCTGAGTGTGGTGGTGCATGCCTATAGTCCTAGCTACTCAGAGGCTGAGGTGGGAGGATCATTTGAGCCCAGAAGTTTGACGCTTCAGTGAACTATGACTGCACCACTACACTCTAGCCTAGGCATCAGAGTGAAAGGCGGGGAAAGGAGAGGGGAGAGGGGAGAAGGGAGAGGGAAGAGGAGAGAAGGGAGAGGTGAAAGAAGAGAGGGGAGGGGAGGGCAGAGGGGAGGGGAGGAAATAAGAGGGGAAAGAGGAGGCCAGGCACGGTGGCTCACGCCTGTAATCCCAGCACTTTCGGAGGCTGAGGCGGGTGGATCACGAGCTCAGGAGATTGAGACCATCCTGGCTAACACATGAAACCCCATCTCTACTAAAAATACAATAAAAAAAAAAAATTAGCCGGGCGAGGTGGCAGGCGCCTGTAGTCCCAGCTACTCAGGAGGCTGAGGCAGGAGAATGGCGTGAACCCAAGAGGAGGAGCTTGCAGTGAGCCAACATCGCACACTGCACTCCAGTCTGGGTGACAGAGCAAGAGACTCCGTCTCAAAAAAAAAAAAAAAAAAAAAAAGGTGGGGGGAAGAGGAGAGACGGGGGGAGGGAGAGGAAGGAGTGGAGAAGGGAAAGGGAGGGGAGAGGGAGACAGGAGCGGAGAGAAGAGGGGAGAGAAGAGGGGAAAAGAGGGGAGAGGAGAGGGGGAGGGGAGAGGAGAAGGGAAAGGAAGAGGGGGGGGAGAGGAGAGAAGAGGGGAAAGGAGAGGGGGAGGGGAGAGGAGGAGGGGAAGGAAGAGGGGAAGGGGAGAAGAGAAGGGGAAGGGGTAAGAGAGGGGAAGGGGTAAGAGAGGGGAAAGGGGGAATGGGGAGGAGAAGGGGGAAGGGAGAGGAGAGGGGAGAGGAGAGAAGAGGAGAGAGGAGAGGGGAAAAGGGAAAGGAAGGAGGAAAGGAGAAGAGAAGGAGAGGGAAGGGGAAGGAAGGGGAAGATGTACAGGGAAGGAAGGGGAAAGGGAAGAAAAAAAAGAAAGGGGACTTTTCTTTACGAAGAAGAGGAGACTTTTCAGCTGACTCTTGAAGGAGAAATAAAATTAGAAAGTGGAGGAAGACATTGCAATCAGTGGCTATGTAGTCAATGAACTACAATAAATTATCCAGAATTTGGAGATAGGGCTGCCTTTATAAGAGTAAAACACTGAAGATCAAAACAAGAGACAAAATTAAAACGAAGTAAGATCAGTAAACTTA
The DNA here is from genome assembly GCF_000001405.40 of Homo sapiens. NCBI lineage: Eukaryota > Metazoa > Chordata > Mammalia > Primates > Hominidae > Homo > Homo sapiens. The sequence goes on along the minus strand of NC_000015.10, from coordinate 41,651,292 downwards.
TCTCATAAGTACTATGGTCTGAATCTGTCCCCAGAAAGTTCCTGCATTGGAAACTTAATTTCTAACACAACAGTTGGGAGGTGGGGCCTTAGTAAGGAGTGACTGGGTCATGAGGTCAGGGCCCTCATGAATGGATTAATGTTGCTATCACAGGAGTGGGTTAGTTATCTCAAGAGTGGGTTGTTATAAAGTCAGTCCTGCCCCGGTGTCCCCCTCTATCTCACATGCTCCCTTCTGCCTTCCACCATATGATGACCCTCATCAGATCCCAGTGCCATACTCTTGGACTTCCCAGCCTCCAGAACTGTGAGCCAAATAAACCTCTATTGTTTATAAACTACCCACTCTGTGGTATCCTGTTATAGCAGAACAAAATGGACTAAGACCAGATGAAAATAACCTAGGTTACTTGGAAATGGGCTTCTATATTTGGAAAATATTTATCCAATCTACAAGTCCATGATGTTCATGATACATATTCACTCTTTTGAACATTTAGATCCCTACTCTGCACTATCAAATATTTATAAGAGGTATACAAAAGAAAAACTATAGGGCCAGGTACAGTGTCTCACGCCTGTAATCTCAGCACTTTTGGAGGCTAAGAGAAGCAGATCACTTGAGGTCAGGAGTTTGAGACCAGCCTGGCCAACATGGTGAAACCCTATCTCTACTAAAAATACAAAAGTTGGCCAGGCATGGTGGTGCACGCCTGTAATTCCATTTACTCGGGAGGCTGAGACAGATGAATTGCTTGAACCAGGGAGGTGGAGGTTACAGTGAGCCAAGATCACACCACTGCACTCCAGCCTGGGTGATGGAATGAGACTGTCTCAAAAAAAAATTAAAATTAAGAAAAACTATAGAAGCATAGTGGTAGGAGGAACTGACACTGAGGTATCAAGTAAGGCTTAGTGTTAAAGAATGTCTAGAAGTTGACAAAGCACACAAGGGAAGGAAGGGCATTCTAAGGAGAAGGAACAGCTTATGCAAAGGCACATGACAAAAAAGAACAGAGTATTCATTAATTCCTCAAGTCAAACATTTATTGAGCACTTACCATGTACATATCCTGGAACGCAAAGACATGATTCCTACCCTCAAAAGCTTACCATCAATTATCAGACAACTATTATCAGATAACCAATACTCAATGATGACAACAAAGAATAAAGAAAGCTACTGGCTCTCTGCCTGGGGTGTAATGGAAGTATAAACAAAAAGCAACTAAATTATACTGAGGGATCATAGAATAATTCTCATAGGAAGTAAAGAATTACTTTGGTTACTGGTTAACCAAAGTGGTGTGGAAGGCTGGGCGCGGTGGCTCACGCCTGTAATCCCAGCACTTTGGGAGACCAAGACAGGCAGATCACCTGAGGTCAGGAGTTCGACACCAGCCTGGCCAACATGGCGAAACCCCGTCTCTACTAAAAATAAAAAAAATTAGCCAGGTGTGGTGGCGGGTGCTTGTAATTCCAGCTACTCAGGAGGCTGAGGCAGGAGAATCACTTGAACCTGGGAGGCGGAGGTTGCAGTGAGCTGAAATTGCACCACTGAGCTCCAGCCTGGGTGACAGAGAGAGACTCCAGCTCAATAAACAAACAAACAAACAAACAAACAAGATGGTGTGGAAGATGACAATAAGACTAGAACCCAGTAAGACTTTTCTCCATATCCAACTACATATCCTCCTCTCCCTTCCTTCTACATCAAGTCAATCATCAAATCTTCCTGTTGATTCTACATCACTGACCTTCCTGACCATGATACGCTGTCAAAAACACCATGTATCTGTTCTTCCTAGAACTTACACAGGTCTATTTTTTATATTTATTTGTATAATTGTCTTCTCTCTCCTGTTCATCCCATCCCTACAAATTATAGACTATATGTCCTTTTTTTTTTTTTTTGAGACAGTCTCACTCTGTTGTCCAGGCTGGAGTGCAGTGGCATGATCTCAGCTCACTTGCAACCTCTGCCACCCAGGTTCAAGCGATTCTCTGCCTCAGCCTCCCGAATAGCTGGGATTACAGGTTCCTGCCACCATGACCAGCTAATTTTTGTATTTTCAGTAGAGACGAAGTTTCACCATCTTGGCCAGGCTGGTCTTGAACTCCTGACCTCATGATCCACCCGCCTCAGCCTCCCAAAGTGCTAGGATTACAGGTGTGAGCCACTATGCCCAGCCTGTATGTCCTTTTTAACCTCTACATTGTACCCTAAGATTCTATCAACAGTACCTTGCACATAGAAGCACTCAATTTAAAACATTTTGCACCCACACACTTCATTCCACCTTCATGCATCACCCTAGTCCAAACCACCAGCAGCTCTTACTCAGACTACTGCAACAGACTTTTCTTTTTTCTCTCTCTCCAGGCACTCATTCTGGCTCTCTCCTGTAATCCATTCTCCACACAGTATCAAGGGACCCTTTCTAAACATAAATCAGTTCATGCCATTTCTGCCATTTTTAACCTTCCATTAGCTTCCCATTTCATTTAGAATAAATCTAACATCCTTAGTATGGCCTACAGATCTCCGCGTTCACATCATTCTCCCCATAACACATCATACTCCAGGCACAATGACCTTCTATTTCTCAAATGCTCCAAACATTTTCTCAGAGAAGGGCTCTTACACTGCTTTTTCTATTTGCCTGAAACGCTTTGCTTCCAGTCCCCACAAACCTTCACCTGGGTAACACCTATACATCCTACCAGTTTGTCTAAATATCACTTCCTTAGCAATGCTATCCCTACTCCCTAATTTAAATTCTCTCTCAAAGTACCCTGTTCTATTCCCTCATAGTACTTACCAAAATGTATATTTACTTATGATTATTCAATGTCTCCTCCATGAATAACAGCTAACATATACACAGCATTTGCCATATATTAACTCATTTAATCCTAATAACCAGTGAAGCAGGCTGATGATGAAACTAAAAGGTTAAGTTAAAGATTAAACAGAGAGGTTAAGTAATTTGTTCAAGGTCACAAAGCAGTAAGGAGTCAAAACTTGAACCCAGACACTCTGGCTCCAAAGTTCACACTTTTAATGACTATGCTATAGAGTAAGCTTTGAGAGAACTAAATAACCATGTCTATTTTGTGCATCACTGCATATTCAGGTCAGGTGCCAGATACGAAGTAAGCATTCACATATTTGCAGAATGAATTTGTTAGTAAATAATTAAGAGGCAAATAATTATATTTAGAAGCATTAGGGAGAGGAATAAGAATAAAATGGGTTAGAGGCAATGATGATAGTGTCGATTCTGGACAAACTGAATTAAAGGCAGCTCAGGAACATCTTAATATCTGCTTAATTAGAATACCACAGGGAATCCATGGAGGGGCTGAAAGAGGTCCAGGAACAACCTAGAACAGTATGCAAAATTTAGTATGCGATGTACTTTTCTGGGGAGAAAGATATACCTTAATCAGATTATTAGGGGAGTATGTAATCCCCCAAAATATTTAGGAACCATTGATCTAAGTGGAAATGTCCAGTAGACACTGGAGATAAAAAAGGTGAACCTTAGCTAAATACAAAGATTTGGGAAGTAACTAAAGCCAGGGGTTTGAAAAAGCCCAAAAATGTAGAGTAAAATATTTCAGAGGGTTATGGTCAGAACAGACATTTAGATGACAGGTGGTGAAAAAAGAATCTAGGAAAAAGGAAGAGAAGAGTAGTCACAGAAATAAGAGAAAAATAGATGAGAGTAGAATTACAGAAGCTAAGGAGGGAGAATGTCTTAAAGAACAAGGAAGTGGCAGAGCCTCATAACCAAGGAGTCAAGGATTTAACAACAGAAAAATGTATTCCAGGAACTACACAGTTTCATAAGTGGAGTAGTACAACAGAATATTCACATATGCAAGGAGAGGAAGTAAATGAATATCAGGGTCTAGTGCTCAGGACAGAGAATCATACTGAAGAAATAGATTGGAAAATCAATGTATTTCAAACTATAAATGTAAGTGCAATTATTCAGGTAGCACATAGAGAAGTGGGGCTCTGATCTAGAATCTACGAATGAGCTTGCAGGCAGATGTCCTGTGAAACTCCTAAAATTGTAAGCACAAGTTTGTGTAAGGTACATACAAGCAATTTTTGACAAAGGGTCCATAAATTTTATCAATTTTCCGAGGGGTGTATGACCCAACAAAAGATAAAGAACCATAGAAGCTGAATGAGAAAAGAGAGCCAAGCTAGAAAATAGCCCTGGAGAACATCAACATATAAAAGAAACCTGAAGCTTATCCAATGGAAATAACAAATCTGAAGAAGTAAGTTGTACATGGAAGACAGGCAGTCTTCATGGATTTCAGACATTTTTTACTTGACATCATATATGCTCTATAAATATTTCTCTAACTTTTCTGACTGTGACTCAGTAAAAACTACATTGCTAACCAGTGTACACATACAGGTTACAGAAATAATTTTCCAGTAACCTGGAATGACACCAATACAGGTCCCCATAAACTTACAGTGGGGTGATATCTCAATTAACCCATCACAATTGAAAATATCATTAAGTCAAAAAACGCATTTTTTCCAGGGGGCGGGGGGTGACAGAGTCTCGTTCTGTTGCCCAGGCTGGAGTACAGCGGCATGATCTTGGCTCACTGCAACCTCCACCTCCCAGGTTCAAGCAATTCTCCCTCCAGTGGCTCACACCTGTAATCCCAGAACTTTGGGAGGCCAAGGTGGGTGGATCACTTGAGGCCAGGAGTTCGAGACCAACCTGGCCAACATGGCAGAACTTCCCCCTCCAACTAAAAATACACGCCTGTTACCCCAGCTACTGGGGAGGCTGAGGCATGAGAATCACTTGAACTCGGGAGGCAGAGATTGCAGTGAGCCGAGATCATGCCATTGCACTCCAGCCTGGGCAACAGAGCAAGACTCCATCTCCAAAAAAAGAAAAATAGAAAAAAATTAATAAATATTAATAAAATAAAATGGAATATCTCCTCACAGCTAAATTTCTTCACAAAAATAAAAACTACAAATGAGGATGCAACGAAAGTAAGCTTCTGAATATCACCTCTATTAGCCAAGCAAGGAAAGTCACTTAGCAATAGTTAGTTAACTAAATCACATCTGACTATAGCTGCCAAAGAATTGTATATCCAGAGAAAATAAACTTTTTCAGTTTATTTTCTGAAGCAGTGATTGAGCTTAGCAGAGGGAAATTTTTACTGCAATTTTTAAAATTCAGGGTGAGCTGAAATTTTTCTGAATGAGACCACCCACACCCACTATTTAATTGAACACTGAATGGCTCTGGAAATTAGCTTTTCTGACAGACTTCACCATGTGTCTCAATGAATTCAACCTAGTCAAATAGCAAAACAGTGATTATATGCAGAACTTATGCTGCCACAAAGTCATTTCAATAAAAATTAATATTGTTTGAACCACAAGTATTGTCAAAGTACATACACTTCCTGTGTTGTCCAGAATTAAAACAGTATGAGAGATGTCCATTCCCATACAAAGTTGTAGTGAATATATCTTCCAAGTTCAGCATTTTATACTTGCACCAGAACTTGGTGCAAGTGAAAAGGGAATTTCTCCATTTCAAAATCTATCTACTTGTGCAATTGGGGAGGTTCCATCTAGCCTTAAATTTAAAGTGATTAATCTTCAACTAATGTTTTAAAAATCAAAGAATCCAACAATTTTTTTTTTCAGACAGAGTCTCACTCTGTAGCCCAGGCTGGAGTGCAGTGGCACAATCTCAGCTCACTGCAACCTCCACCTCCCAGGTTCAAGAGATTCTCCTTCCTCAGTCTCCCGAGTAACTGGGATTACAGGCACATGCCACGCCCAGCTAATTTTTGTATTTTTAGTAGAGACAGGGTTTCACCACATGGGCCAGGCTGGTCTGGAGCTCCGCCCAAGTGATCTGCCGGTCTCAGCCTCCCAAAGTGCTGGGATTACAGGCGTGAGCCACCGCACTCGGCCCTAACAGAATTCTTAAAATGCCTTCCAAGAGACTAACAGGCTCAATTAGAAACACATGCTTGTGAATTGATATGAGTAATTGGCAGGACCTGTCTGTGAAAAATGACATTTTCTAAGATTAAATACATAAAACCTCATACAGATAAATAATAACAGATGAACATTTGCAACTGATTTTAAGGCTAAGGAACATTTACTTTGAACTTCAATTAAACAAATTGTTATCCTCCCCAAAAAAAGAATTCCATTCTTCTCATCTGTAGACATGTATTACCAAAATGAAAAAGTACTAAACAATTACATTTTTTATTTTCATCAATACAAAATTTGTGGAAATTTGTTTTTTCTTTTAATATATGTACCTACATAATACCCTATTTTGCCTCTTGGCCCACAGTGCCTAAAATACTTACTATGTGGCCCTCTACAGAAAAAGTTTGCAAACACCTGGGTTAACGTATTATCTCCAACTGATTAGCTATACAACACTGGACATCAGTTAACTTTTCTAGGTCTTTCTTTCCACATTTATAAAATAAGGAGGACTGAAGACAACCTCTATGGTATATACTCCAACTTTAGTATTCCACAATTAATAATACACATTTCATATTCACTTTGAATGGTAATATTTTTTCTTTTCCTCTTTTTTTTGAGACAGAGTCCACCCAGGCTGGCTGGAGGGCAGTGGTACAGTCTCGGCTCACTGCAACCTCCTCCTCCCGGGTTTCAAGTGATTCTCATGTCTCAGCATTCCAAGTAGCTGGGATTACAGGTGCGTGATCACCATGCCTGGCTAATTTTTAGTATTTTTAGTAGAGACAGGGTTTCACCATGTTGACCAAGCTGGTCTCAAACTCCTGGACTCAAGTGATCCTCCAACCTCGGCCTCCCTAAGTGCTGGGATTACAGATGTGAGCCACCACACCCGGCCTTCTTTTTTTTTTTTTTTTTTTTTTTTGGTACAGATGGAGTCTTGCTACGTTGCCCAGGCTGGTCTCAAACTACTGACCTCAAGCAATCCTCCCACCTCAGCCTCCCAAAGTTCTGGGATTACATGTATGATCCATCCACTCACTGTACCTGGCCTGTATAGTAATATTTTGAATGAAATGTTAGGCCAGTTTTATATAAAGTATGAAGAAATGTCTTATTATGTAAAATATGAAGATGTACTTTATTAAATTCACAGAGGATGAAAAAATGGTACTGGGACAACTGGATACACATACAAAAGAATTATGTTGGTTCAGCAGAACATTGACTCAAAAAAATAAAAGAATTATGTTGAACCATTTACCTCACACCACATGCAAAAATGAACACAAACCAGATCAAAGATCTAAAAGTAAGTGCTGAAACTATAAAACTTTTATGGAAAAAAAATGAGAAAGAGTCACAACCTTGGATTTAGCAATGATTTCTTAAGTATGGCAAAAAGGCTGGGCATGATGGCTCATGCCTGTAATCCCAACACTTTGGGAGGCTGAGGCGGGCGGAGGCGACTTAGTGAGACTTCATCTCAGGGAAAAAAAAAAAAAAAAGTATGACACAAAAAGCACAGGTAATACACGATAAAAAAAGATCCTGGACTTCATCAAATTAAAACCTTTTGTATATTATTCACTATTAAGACAGTGAAAAGGCAATGTACAGAAAAGGAAAAAATATTTGCAAACCATATATCTGATAATGGACTAATATTTAGAATATAAAAAGAACTCCTACAACTCAACAACAAAAAAATCACTTTAAAAATGGGAGCCAGGGCCAGGCGCAGTGGCTCACCCCTGTAATCCCAGCACTTTGGGAGGTCGAGGCAGGCAGATCACAAGGTCAGGAAATCGAGACCATCCTGGCTAACACAGTGAAACCCCATCTCTACTAAAAATACAAAAAATTAGCCAGGCATGGTGGCACGTGCCTATAGTCCCAGCTACTCAGGAGGCTGAGACAGGAGAATCACATGAACCCGGGAGGCGGAGGTTGCAGTGAGCCAAGGTCACGCCACTGCACTACAGCCTGGGCCACAGCGTGAGACTCCGTCTCAAAAAATAAAAATAAAAAATAAAATAAAATAAAATAAATTAAAAAAAAAAAAAAGAGCCAGGCACCATGGCTCACACCTGTAATCCCAGCACTTTGAGAGGCCAAGGCAGGAAGATGGCTTGAGCTCAATTCAAGACCAACCCCAGCAACACAGCAAGACCCTGTTTCTAAAAAAAAAATAAAAAATAATTAGCTAAGTGTGGTGACACATGCCTATAATTGGAAGGCTGAGGTAAGAGATCACTTGAGCCTGGGAGGATGAGGCTACAGTGAGCCCTGACCATGCCACTGCACTGCAGCCTGGGCAACAGAGCAAAGACCCAGTCTCAAAAGAAAAAAAAAAAAAAAAGGCCAGGCATGGTGGCTCACGCCTGTAATCCCAGCACTTTGGGAGGCTGAGGCAAGCAGATCACCTGAGGTTAGAAGTTCGAGACCAGCCTGGCCAACACGGTGAAACCCCATCTCTACTAAAAATACAAAAAAATGGCCGGGTACAGTGGCTCATGCCTGTAATCCCAGCACTTTGGGAGGCTAAGGCAGGGGGAATCACAAGGTCAAGAGATCAAGACCATCCTGGTAAAACCCCGTCAATACTAAAAATACAAAAATTAGCTGGGTGAGGTGGCATGCGCCTGTAGCCCCAGCTACTTGGGAGGCTGAGACAGGAGAATCGCTTGAACCTGGGAGGCGGAGGTTGCAGTGAGCTGAGATCGCACCACTGCACTCCATCCTGGCAACAGAGGAAGACTCTGTCTAAAATAATAATAATAATAATAATAAAATTAGCTGGGAGTAGTGGCGGGCACCTGTAATCCCAGCTACTTGGGGGGCTGAGGCAGGAGAAAAGCTTGAACCCGGGAGGTGGAAGTTGCAGTGAGCCGAGATCACGCCATTGCACTCCAGCCTGGGCAACAAGAGCGAAACTTCGTTTCAAAAAAAAAAAAAAACACCACAAATTAAATTCAATTAAAATTAAAAATGGGCTAGGGACTTGAACAGACATTTCTCCATTGAAGATATACAAATGACTAATAAAAGCACATGAAATGATGCTCAATGTCATTAGTCATTAGGGAAATGCAAATCAAAACCAAATGAGATGCCATTTCACATCCACTAAGATGGCTATAATCAAAAAGACAATTAAGTGTTGGCTAGGCCCTGGCGCAGTGGCTCAAACCTGTAATCCCAGCACTTTCAGAGGTCAAGGCAGGAGGACTGCTTGAGCCCAGGAATTCAGCGGGAGACCAGTCTGGGCAACAAAGTGGGACTCTGTCTCTACAAAAAGCACAAAAATTAGCTAGGTGTGGTGGCGTGCACCTGTAGTCCCAGCTACTTGGGAGGCTGAGTCAGGAGGATTGCTTGAGCCCCAGAGGTCAAGACTACAGTAAGTTGTGACTGCACCACTGCACACCAGCCTGGGCAACAGAGTGAGACCAGTCTCAAAACAAAATAGAACAAAAAAAGTGTAGGCCGGACACGGTGGCTCATGCCTGTAATCCCAACACTTTGGGAGGCCAAAGCAGGCAGATCACGAGGTCAAGAGATCGAGACCATCCTGGCCAATATGGTGAAACCACGTCACTACTAAAAATACAAAAATTAGCTGGGCGTGGTGGCGCGCACCTATAGTCCCAGCTACTCGGGAGGCTGAGGCAGGAGAATTGCTTGAACCCAGGAAGCAGAGGTTGCAGTGAGCTAAGATTACGCCACTGCACTCCAGCCTGGCAACAGAGCAAGACTCCTTCTCAAAAAAAAAAAAAAAAAAAAAGTGTTAGGATGTAGAAAAATTGGAACTCTCATTTTCTGTTGGTGAAAATATAAAATAGTATAGGTACTCTGGAGAACACTGGCAGTTTCTCGAGAAGTTAAGCATGGAGATACCATATGACCCAATCATTCCACTATTACGTACATACCCAAGAAAAATAAAAACATAAGTTTATACAAAAAAAGTCCATTAATGGTCACAAAAGCATTATTCATAGTAGCCAAAAAATGAAAATAACCCAAATGTTCATCAACTGAAGAATGGATAAACAAAATGTGCTGTATCAACACAATGAAATATTATTCAGCCATAAAAATGAATTAAGTATGGATACATGCTACAACATGGATGAACTTTGAAAACATGCTAAAGAGTCTGATCACAAAGGACCTCATTTTGTATGATTCCATTTATATGAAATGTTCCAAAACAGATCAATCCATAGAGATAGAAAGTAGACTGATAGTCACCTAGGCCTGGGAAGACTGGGGGAGAAATAGGGAATGACTGCTAATGAGTATAGTGTTGCTTTCTGGGATGCTGAAATGTTCTAAAATTGTGGTGATGGATGCATTACTATGAATACACTAAAAACCACTGAATTATACACTTTAAATGGGTAAATTTTATAGTACATTAATTTTATCTCAAAACTTTAAAAACTAAGAGGAGGGCAGGCGCAGTGGCTCACGCCTATAATCCCAGCACTTTGGGAGGCCGAGGTGGGCAGATCGTGAGGTCAGGAGTTTGAGACCAGCCTAACTTACATGGCAAAACCCCGTCTCTACTAAAAATACAAAAATTAGCTGGATGTGGTGGCGTATGCCTGTAATCCCAGCTACTTGGGAGGCTGAGGCAGGAGAATCGCTTGAACCGGGAGGCAGACATTGCAGAGAGCCGAGATCGCACCATTGTATTCCAGCCTGGGCGACAGAGCGAGATTCCATCTCAAAAAAAAAAACTAAGAGGAAATACCTACAAATAAATGTTAGACGCTAATGTCACAAAACTAAGGTTCAAATGATGTACAATCTTACATCAACGATAAGAAACTGTATCGCTTCTCTAGGCTCAACAACTCCTTTGTAAATTCTCAGTAACTTTAAGGTTAGTGAGAACTCTAAGACAAACAATGAGCACCAAGTTGCACCTCAACTCCTTAGCTTAGCATATAAGGGCCTCAATACTCTGGACCCAGCTTTCCTTCTTCCTGCTGCTGTATACTCAACTACTCCTTATTTCCTAAATATGCTCCCCGGGTTTTTTTATCTGAACCTTTGCATTTATAATTACGCTGCTTTAGCATCTTCTCTCTGCCTTCGTAGTCCATAAATTCACCAGCATCATTCTCCCTAATCTCCTCCTATTGAAATCATCCTCATTCTTAAAGTCGAGTATTTTCATGAAGCCTGCCTTGATGCCCTTGCTGTGTAAACACTGGCCTTCCTCTAAACCACCAAAGGATACTGTCATTCTCCTTTGGTGCACAGTAATCTAGCTCTCATCATCCTTGACAGATTGGTCAGCACACTCAGAGTCATCTCTCAAGGCAAAAGCTCTACCAACAATGCCTTGCAGATTAAGGAACCTCTTATTTCACCTTCAACTCCTAACTCCACATAAAAACCACATGCTCCTGGGGCCAGGCACGGTGGCTCACGCCTGTAATCCCAGCACTTTGGGAGGCCAAGGCAGGCAGATCACGAGGTCAGGAGATCGAGACCATCCTGGCTAACACGGTGAAACCCCGTCTCTACTAACAATACAAAAAAAAAATTAGCTGGGCGTGGTGGCAGGTGCCTGTAGTCCCAGCTACTCTAGTGGCTGAGGCAGGGGAATGGTGTGAACCTAGGAGACGGTGCTTGCAGTGAGCCGAGATTGCGCCACTGCACTCCAGCCTGGACGACAGAGCGAGACTCCATCTAAAAAAATAAAAATAATAAAAATAAATTAATTAATTTAAAAAAAAAAAACTACATGCTCCTGACTCCTGTGCCGAGCTAATTAGATAGGGGGATCCAACAGACCTAAAGGTTCTATGAATTAACCATCAGCTTGTGAGGAAAGAGTGCTATGAGAGTTTAGTTAAATAGGAATGACAAACATTCTCTGACTTAAATGTAAAAATGTACTCTCTTATTCCCTCTCAACTGAATGGAAAGTGGGAGGAAAAGACTCACGGAGCTGGAATCAAGAATAGAAACTAAAACATTGCCAGAGAAGGGGCCATAAAATAGTAGAGCCACACAAGAGAAGAAACCATAAGACAAGGAAAAACACACAAAAGAAAAGGGTGAAGTCAGAAGTGGGATGGGACAAGAATAGTATAACAAGAGGGGAAAAAAAGAAGACATTATGATCCCCAACCAGGAAGAGAAGGACAAATTCTCATGCTGAAAGGGCTGAGATGTGAGATCACTTGAGACCTGGAGTTCAAGTCCAGCCTGGGCAACACAGTGAGACCCCCATCAAAAAAAGGTCAGGTGTGGTGGCTCACACCTGTAATCCTAGCACTTTGGGAGGCCAAGACAGGTGGATCACTTGATCCCAAGAGTGCAAGACCAGCCTGGGCAATAAGGCAAAACCCCATCTCTACCAAAAATACAACAACAAAAAATTAGCAGGCATGGTGGCGCAGGCATGGTGGCACGCGCCTGTAGTCTCAGCTAATAGGGAGGCTGAGGTAGGAGAATCACTCAAACTCAGGAGGCAGAGGTTGCAGTGAGCCAAGATCACACCACTGCACTCCAGCTTGGGCAAGAGAGAAAGACCCTGTCTCAAAAAAAAAAAAAAAAAAAAGAAAAAGAAAAGAAAGGCCAGGTAAAATAGCTCACACCTGTTATCCCAACACTTTGAGAGGCCAAGGTTGGAGGATAACTTAAGCCCAGGAGTTCAAGACAAGCAAGACCCCTGGGAAACATAGGAAGACCCCGTCTACAAAAAAAACTTTAAAAATTAACTGAGTGTGGTGGTACATGCCTGTGGTCCCAGCTACTCAGAAGGCTAAGGCAGGAGGATCTCCTGAGCCCAGGAGTTAGAGGCTGCAGTGAGATATGATCATGACACTGCACTCCAGCCTGGGTGACAGAGCAAGATTGTCTCAAAAAAAAAAAAATTCTAGCATATTTTAAAATTAAAAATTAACCCATATCTGGCCAGGCACATGCCCATAATCCCAGCACTTTGGGAGGCCGAGACAGGCGGATCACCTGAAGTCAGGAGTTCGAGACCAGCCTGACCAACATGACGAAACCCCGTCTCTACTGAAAATACAAAAATTAGCCGGGCATGGCAGCGCACACCTATAGTTCCAGCTATTCAGGAGACTGAGGCAAGAGAATTGCTTGAACCCAGGAGGCGGAGGTTGCAATGAGCCGAGATCTCACCACTGCACTCCAGCCTGGGCGACAGAGCAAGACTGTGTCCCAAAAAAAAAAAAAAAAAAAAAAAAAAAAGCTGGGCACAGTAGTGGCTCACGTCTGTAATCCCAGTACTTTGGGAGGCCGAGGCGGTGGACCACCTGAGTTCGAGACCAGCCTGGCCAACGAAACCCCGTCTCTACTAAAAATACAAAAATTAGCCAGATGGGGTGGCAGGCACCTGTAATCCCAGCTACTCAGAAGGCTGAGGCAGGAGAATCTCTTGAAGCCGGGAGGCGGAGGTCGCAGTGAGCAGAGATCACGCCATTGCACTCCAGCCTGAGCAACAGAACAAGACTCTGCCTCAAAAAAAAAAAAATTGTAACCCATATCCCAGTATCCTAACAGATATTCATTTCTGGTTCCTTCTAGCATATATCCACAAGCCATTCAATTTTAAACTGATAATCACTCTATTCTAAAATGAACCCTGTCACCACATTCCCCTCAACCTGGGGGAACTTTATAGCCCCTCTATAAGCATCACAGGAGTCGTTGGACACAATCGGCTTTTCACCACATTCCTTCTGGGAGCCTTTACCTAACAAGTGATTTCAACTCTGCTTATTCAACCCCTCACCCAGAATACAGTCTTTGTTGCCTTTGACGCTAACTTTATAAAAAGGATTTACCACCTCTATGAGATCAAGTAATATACTATTTGAATCTTTAAACCAGTTTCAGTACCAAAACAACTTGCAAAGTCCAGACAATTAAGTCAATCAATAACTTCCAACATTCCCTCTGATCTCTATAATCCCAGGTCACCAAAGACAAAGGCAATATGATACGAACCATGACCTATCTTCCTAATCTGTAGGTCCTCAACCCTGGTTCTTTCCACACTGTCACTGCCCAAATCTTTCCACTATGCCCAAAACAATACTCACTCTTATCATACCAAATCTCAGGCTTCCTCAATCTTTCTGAACAATGGTCCTTCCACTTATTTACCTTGACTTAACCCTGGCTGTCCTCCTTCAAGTATTTTCTCACATTTCTCTCTTTACTACGACCTTTACCACCCCCGCCCCCAGAGCAAGATATGATTGTCATTCTCTTGCCTTTCTATCAAAGTTTCCAGATCATGATCATCTCCCTTTACGGTGTCACCTTTGAGATACACAGTTGTCTCATTATTTATGGGGACTGGTTCCAGGACACCCTTGCAGATACCAAAATCCATGGATGCTCAAATCCCTGATATAAAACACCACAGGCCAGGTGTGGTGGCTCACGCTTGTAATCCCGGCACTTTGGGAGGCTGAGGTAGGTGGATTTCCTGAGGTCAGGAGTTTGACACCAGCCTGGCCAAAATGGTGAAACCCCATCTCTACTAAAAATACAAAAATTAGGCTGGGTATGGTGGCTCAGGCCTGTAATCCCAGCACTTTGGGAGGTTGAGGAGGACAGGTCACTTGAGGTCGGGAGTTCAAGACCACTGTGGCTAACACGGTGAAACCCTGTCTCTACTAAAAACACACACAAAAAATAAGCCAGAAATCACTTCAACCCAGGAGGTGGAGGTTGCAGTGAGCCGAGATCCCGCCACTGTACTCCAGCCTGGGCAACAGAGCAAGGCTCCATCTCAAAAAAAAAAAAAAAAAAATTAGCCAAGCATGGTGGCAGGCACCTGTAATCCCAGCTACTGGGGAGGCTGAGGCAGAAGAAACGCTTGAACCTGGGGGGCGGGGGTTGCAGTGAGTCGAGACTGTGCCACTGCACTCCAGCCTGGGCAACAGAGCGAGACTCCATCTCAAAAAAAATAAAATAAAATAAAATAAAAAATTTAGTCTGGCATGGTCAAGAGGTTGAGATGGGAGAATTGCTTGGGCCCAGGAGTTGGAGGCTACAGTGAGCTTCAATCACCCCACTGCACTCCAGCCTGGGTGACAGAGTGAAACCCTGTCTATAAAAAAAAATTAAACTCAAGTAGTAGATGAGGTATTTGCAGGAAAATAAAATAATAAAGTATAGTATAGTAAATGCATACTCCAGTAACACAGCTTATTATGAACTATGTAATATATGTATATCCACTATATATTATGTACTGTATGTTATTGCAGTATCATCTAGTACTGAATTTTATAAAGTTTTAATTATTATATACTATATGTAATTGTACCTGCTATATTTTTATACAACTGGCAGCACAGGTTTGTTTACACCAGTATCACTATAAACAAGAGTAAATGCATTGTGCCACAACGTTAAAACAGCTACCCTATCACTATGCAACAGAAATTTTTCAGCTCCATTAACCTTATGGGACCACCACAGTATATGCAGTCCATCATTGACCAAAATATCATTATGTGGCACATGAATGTATTTGTAGCTGGGATTTAGTCTTAATGTAGTCCTTCTTTTTTCTGAGACACCCACTCTGTTACCCAGGCTGGAGTGCAGTGACAGGATCATGGCTCCCTGCAGCCTTGACCTTCCAGGCTCAGGCAATCCACTCACCTCAGCCTCCCACGTACCTGGGCCCACAGGCACATGCCATCGTACTCAGCTAATTTTTTAAAATTTTTTATAGGAGGGGGGGGGTCTCACTATGTTGCCTGGGCTGGTCTCAAACTCCCACCTTGGCCTCCCAAAGTGCTGGGATTACTGGCGTGAGCCACCGCGCCCAGCCTTATTTTGTGTGTGTGTGTGTTTGTGTTTGGTGTTTGTCTAGTGTCTCATCTCCGCACTTTAATTTCAACTCTTATTTACTTATTTATTTATTTGAGACAGAGTCTTTCTCTGTTGCCCAGGCTGGAGTGCAGTGGTAGGACCTCGACTCACTGTGACCTCCACCTCCTGGGTTCAGGCAATTCTCGTGCCTCAGCCTCCTGAATACCTGGGACTACAGGTGCACGCCACCACACCCGGCCAATTTTTGTATTTTTAGTAGAGATGGGGTTTTGCCATGTTGGCCAGGATGGTCTCGAACTCCTGACCTTAAGTGATCCAACTGCCTCAGCCTCCCTAGGTGCTGGGATTACACACGTGAGCCACCACACCCAGCCAATTTCCACTCTTAATTATAAACTTCAGCCCTGATTACCTCACCTCTGAACTATGTCATCCTAATAATCTCCTAAGTGTTCTTACTTCAAACTATTCTCATCACCACTGCAAAATCAAATATTTTTCCAAGTACTATTTTTTCATTAACACTCTCCTGCTCAAAAACCTTCAAGGGACAAGATAAAAATACCTGCTCCTTAGCCTGAAGCTCGAGGTCTCAATGGTGGGACCATAACCCTCCCTCCCTCTCTTTAACTTCATGGTCTATCATACTCAAACAAAACCTCATTCTAACCAAACGCTCCCTGAACATACATTATATGCATTTACCATCATTTGGCCTTAGCTCACAATACTCATCCCTCTATCTCACCAAACAATCTTCATACCCAGCAACTCCTCTAAATCACCATTTCTCCTGCAAATAAAGTTCTACCTCAGTAAGGGGAAGGAAAGGGGAAGGATGTCTCCTGAGGAAACAACATGAGCAAAGGCACAGAAGATAAAACATGTATATGATATTCAAACATACATACACACACACATACATAAACATACACAAATATTTAGTGTCCCATGACTGAGCACAGAGGCATAATGAGATGACAGGAGATAAAGCCATTCAGCAGGAAGATTAAGAGTCATGTGACCCTATGCAAATCATTTAACCTCTCTGGGCTTTAGTTTCCTCATTTGCAAAATGAAATAACAGTGTCCATGGCATAGGGTTGTGGCAGTTTATTCATTCACTCAGCAAACATTATTAAGCACTTACTTTGTGCTTGCTAGGTACTACAAAAACAGCAGCAAACAGGACAAAAATCCCTGTCCTCATGGTACTCGAATTTTAGTAGGGGAAACATCAAACAAGGAAAATAAATAAATACATGATGTAATATGGTGTGTTATATACTGTGATGCTACAGAAAAAAATAAAGCAGGGAAGAGAGATGGGGAAGAAATCAAAATAGGAACCAAGGCATTCAAATCAAAATCTGAATTGAGGGAACAAGCTATGCAGTATTCCAGACAGAGGAAACCAGAAATGAAAGGGTATATGCCCAGCATGAACAAGGAAAAGCAAGGAGATGAAGAAGCTGGAGCAGAGATTAAGGAAGGGAGTGTTAAGAGATAAGGTCAGAGAAGTAAGAGGGGAGCAGCTCACATACAACCTTAAAGGCCGTTGTAAGGATTTTAGCTTTTATTTTGCCAGAAATAGGAAGTCACTGTAAGGTTTTGAGCAGAGGAACGATATGACTGGACTTTAACAGCATCAGCATCTCCAATCTGACAGCTTCTCTCTGCTGCCATATTAAGAATATATCACAGGCCGGGCACAGTGGCTCACACCTGTAATCCCAGCACTTTGGGAAGCCAAGGTGGGTGGATCACTTGATTTCAGGAGTTCCAGACCAGCCTGGGCAACATGGCAAAAACCCGTCTCTACTAAAAATACAGAAATTAGCCAAGTATTGTGGCTCAATCTCAATTCAGATTTTGATTTCTTCCCCATCTCTCTTCCCTGCTTTATTTTTTTCTGTAACATCACAGTTACATTGGTCCCAGCTACTAGGGAGGCAGAGGTGGGAGGATCACTTGAGCCCAGGAGGCAGAGGTTGCAGTGAACCAAGACTGCACCACTGCACTCCAGCCTGGGCAACAGAGCAAGACTCTGTCTCAAAAAAAAAAAAAAAAATACCATAGGAGGGCAATGTCAGGAAGAGACTACTTAGGCGATTAAATAATGATCCTTAACACAATGCCTGGCATATAGTAATCTTCCCTTAACAGGTGGCTACCAGGCTGGGCGTGGTGGCTCACACCTGTAATCCTAGCACTTTGGGAGGCCAAGGCAGGGGGGATCACAAGGTCAGGAGATCAAGACCATCCTGGCTAACGCAGTGAAACCCCGTCTCTACTAAAAATACAAAATTAGCCAGGCGTGGTGGCACGCGCCTGTAGTCTCAGCTACTCGGGAGGCTGAGGCAGAAGAATCGCTTGAACCCGGGAGGCAGAGGTTGCAGTGAGCTGAGATCATGTCATTGCACTCCAGCCTGGGCGACAGAGCGAGACTCCGTCTCAAAAAAAAAAAAAAAATTACATGAAATTCAAATTTCAGTGTCTATATATAAAGTTTCCTGAAACACAGCCATTTCATTTGTTTGTGTATTATTGTCTGTGGCTGCTTTTGTGCTGTTATCTAGCAAATGGGCTCTCTGCCCATTATGCATTGAAGCCAATACTATGGCACCAGCTTTTTTTTTTTTCCCTATCTCCTACAGGAAGGAGACCTCCTACAGGTAGGAGGCACCAGCTTTTGAGAAAAGAAACGCTTTATTGCAAGGCAGACTAGTGAGGAAACAGGAGGCCCAGCTCAAATCTATCTCCCTGATTTGGAGTCTGGGACAAGTTTTAAGAGGTTGGAGGGCAAGGGAAAAGACCTGGAAATGTTGGCTTGCCAAGGTCTGATTGGAGGGCTTCAAACTTAACCATTTCGGTAAGGTATGCTGAGGCAAATTTTAGCCCTGGATCTTTACGGCCAATGGACCCGCTGCTTCTGAAAAGGTTCCAGCATTCAAGTTCTGGTCATGTCCCAGACTTCTTGGTTCTGCTGGGGGAGGAGAGGAGGGATGTTGGTTCTGGGTGCTGTTAAAGATCAAAGCTTTTTCTATTGTGCATGCCCAGGCTACATGACTTGCAATCTTGGCTCTTTTATATCTACAAAGTAACCTGACATTCTGTTATCAACAGAGTAGACACTCTCTGGGCTGGTCCTGCAGTTTACTACCACAACAGAATTGAGTAGTACTTAAAAGAAACGCTAAGGTCCATACATTAAAATATTTACTATCTAGTCCTCTACAGAAAACATTTGCCAACCCCTCATCTAGAGGCCTGAAAGTAGTACACACATGTATCATGGATAAAACAAGTTGCGTATGAGGGAGACATATGACGTGAGATAAACTATGAGGTAGTGAGCTTTATGTGTCAAGCTAAGTAAGGAGTCTGAACTTGTCTCAACTTGATTCCATTTACTATGCAAAGCCACTAAAGAATTTTATTGAGAGTAATATGATCAGATAAACCTATGTAAAGACAATTATCTTTTTTCTAAATGTATCTGAGCTAAAAAAACAACACTTGCCATTTAAAAAAAAAGAAACATAGAAGCATATCAACACGCTAACAGTGATAGCTGGCATATTAGAAATTATTATTTGTGCTTATGTATTTATCTTCTCAAAAAAAAGCCACTTTTATAATTCAAATATGAAAATACATACTTTTTTTTCTGTTCAGTTGGTTGCCTTTAATGAAAATACATACTTTTAAATTCAGATTCATATACACACACAAAATTTGTTCTCCAGGTTCTCTTTCTCCCCCTCCACCCCTTTAAGTGGAAAGACAAAGTATGCGGAGGAGGAACCTACACATAGCAAAAAAAAGAAAGTGTGCCTCTGTCACACTTGTAAAGGATAAATGACATTCTACCATTTCAAATTATGTATTTTATTTTTTATTTTTCATTTCTATGTTTTCATAGAGACAGGGTCTCGCTATGTTGCCCAGGTTGGTCTCGAACTCCTAGCCTCAAGCAATCCTCCTTCCTTGGCTTCCCAAAGTGCTGGGATTACAGGTGTGGGCCTATGTACTTTCTTTATAGACATGAAATGAAAAAATGCTTGGATGCAACATTGTGACAGAGAACTCTTCTTATATATGGCTTTTATCATATCAAACAAAGAGCTAAATCAATATCTTATTGAAACTAGAAACGTTAAAGGATAAGAGAAAATGCAGAACTTCAAGTCAAATTAAAATGTTGAAAACTGATATAAGACTGCATATAACCCTGAGAATATAATTATGGGCTTAAGAAATGCAGTCCCTGATTTATACTACAGTACTTTGCACTTACGGATATATTGCTTGTTAAGATTAAATTCCTTCCTATGTTTCAGTTCCTCAATTAAATTGTCAAGGCCTCATGTGCAAAGAATGCCTTTTATTTCTTTTGTGTGTCCCCCACACTGTACCTCATACAATACCCATATATGGCAAGTACTCAATACATGCTTATGATTGAATGACAAAATAATCAACCCTACTTTGGACTCACAGGCTGAAAAATCTTCACACCTACAATTCACACCAGTAAGCCTCCTTCTATCCAACAATTTAAAGGACATTCCTGGGGTGAGTACTGCTGATTCTACTGGATTTATTACATTAGGTTCCATCTCCAGCAAAGAGCTCAAAGTACACGTGTACTGTTAAAATAGAATTCCCGACTACTGAGAAGCTGGGTGGAAAAGTGGGCAAGTGAAGGAAAAATCTATTATAATAGCCTGCCTCCAAAGAATAAGCATTATTCAGCCCTAGAGAATAAAACATTCCTAATATGTCTCTGAACTAAGACTTCTAACTGACATTTCACTAAACTTTGTACTGGCTAAATTATGCCACAATGAATATCACTAAAACCAACAACTTGACATAATAAAAAGATCCTAAAAATCTCAGCTAATGATCCATATGATCGTGTATTGTAAGATTTAGTTTTTAATTACTTACTCTTTGGCCAAAGCAAAACTTTTAAACTTTTTCAATGCATTATGATTAAGCATCTACCACATGCCAAGCACTGGGAAAACAAATGAATTTTTTTAAAAGCCAAAATGCCAACTGATTTTGTATTTTGCTATAAATTGAAGTATAAGCAACAGCACTGAGGAAGTACCATGCAGTGAAGGGGTCAATTTTATCCGTCGAAATTGGGGAAAATTACATAGCAAATTTAAGGTGGATATTGAAGACTGAGTAGGAGTTTGAGGCAGGGCAGCAGGAGGAGAAAGAGTATTCCAGGCCAAAAGGGGGTTATAAAAGAGCCAAGCACATTGGGCACGGTAGGTGTGATAAAGAGGAGAAAAGATAAAAAGGAGCGAGATGATGTAGAGTACTCAGACAATGAAGGCTCTGGTATGCTAAGCGAAGAAGTCTGGGGGTTTATGTCCTCAAACAATGGAGAGAAAGTAGAAATCTTCAGGCAGGAAAGTGACAAAAACATGAGGATTCAAGTAACAGGAAGAGCCTAGTAACATTATAATCATCTCAAAGGCATTATTCAGTGTTATACTATTTACATGTTGCTCAGTCAATTTGGTCCTGATACCAATACAAAAGAAATTTAAGTATATATTACAATCTATTCCACTCTATGATATCAGTAGTCTCAGGGCTCAGTCATTAGCCCTCTTCTTTACTCCCTAGCTGACCTAACCAGTTACATGTTTTTGTTTTCAGTTTTGTTTTTTTGAGACAGGATCTCCATTTGTCGCGCAGGCTGGAGTGCAGTGGCATGATCATGGCTCATTGTAGCTTCAACCACCCAGGCTGAAGTAATCCTCCCACATCAGCTTCCCAAGTAGCTGGGGCCACAGGCACACCACCACACCCAGCTAATTTTTTTTTTTTCTTTATAGAGACAAGGTCTCACTATGTTGCAGAGGCTGGCAGTTCTATATGTTTAAACACCATCAATGTATCGATGACATCCCAAAGGTATATTCGCAACCCTGATCTTGACCCTAGGCTCTAGAATTTAATAGTCAGCTGCCTACTCAATGGCTATTCCTGGATATCTAGCAGGCATCTCAAGCTCCAAACATCTAAACACTTCATCCAAACTAGCTCCTTCCTGTTTCCCATCTCTGTAAATGGCACCACTGGCTCCAGCTAAAAGCCTTGTAATCATCTTTGATTACTCTCTTTCACTCACCTCCCACAGCTAATCTATCAGCAAATCCTGTTGGTTCTACCTTGAAAACATGCCCTGAATTCAATGACTTCTCACTGCATCTATCTTTATCTACCTCACTAGTCCAAGCTACTGTACCTCACAACACTCCAATGGCTTCTTTTTTTTTTTTTTTTTTTTTGAGACGAAGTCTTGCTCAGTCGCCCAGGCTGGAGTGCAGTGGCACTTTTTCAATGCATTATGATTAAGCATAAGTAGCTGCGACTACAGGCGCCCGCCACCATGGCCAGCTAATTTTTTTTGTATTTTTTAGTAGAGACAGGGTTTCACCATGTTAGCCAGGATGGTCTCGATCTCCTGACCTCATGATCCACCTGCCTCGGCCACCCAAAGTGCTGGAATTACAGGCATGAGCCACCGTGCCCGGCCTCCAACGGCTTAATTGCCTCTGCAGCAAAGCGATGTTTTGAAAACATAAATTAGGTATCATTTTTCTGCACAAAACTGTCCAATGAATACCATCAGTTAGAATAAAATCCAAAAACCTCATGGCCTGCAAGGCTCTACACAATCTGAGCCCCGCCAATTCTCAATCTCATTTCCTACTAGCATGCACCACCACCACCACCACTTCATACCCCAGCACTCTCCCAACTCTGGCACACTAGCCTTCTTGTAATTCCTTGAAAATCCCCAAACTGATTTTTGACACAAAGTCTTTGCATTACTATTCCCACCACTTCCAATTCTCCACGTTTGGGTGTGTCTTACTCTTTATCATTCAGGTCGTGTTATGTTCAAATGTTACTTCAGAGAAGCCTTGCCTGGCAACCCACCTAAAAGAACCACCAAACCCACCACCACCACTCTCTATCTCTTGTATTGTTTTCTTCATAGCTTTTTTTTTTTTTTTTTTTTTGGATACAGAGTCTTGCTCTGTCACCCAGGCTGGAGAGCAGTGGCACGATCTCAGCTCACCGCAACCTCCCGGGTTCAAGATATTCTCATGCCTCAGGCTCCCGAACAGCTAGGACTACAGGCGTGCACCACCACACCCAGCTAATTTTTTGTATTTTTTAGTAGAGACAGGGTTTCACCATGTTGGCCAAGCTGGTCTCAAACTCCTGACCTCAGGTGATCCACCTGCCTCGGCCTCCCAAAGTGCTGGGATTACAGGCATGAGCCACCATGCCTGGCCCTGAAATCATCTTTATTAGCTCATTGTCTACCAAAATATAATTTCCATGAGGGCATGGACTTTGTCCTGTTCAATGCTCAATCCTTAGCACCTGGCACGCAGTAGGGCTCATTAATTATTTGTTGTTGAATTGTAAGATATTACCTAATTGATCTCAACTATCCGATTTGTATTTTCATCCTACTATGAATAATTGAATAATTCCTTTCCTACCTTTGAATTTAGATCCAATTCTTGATTACCAGAATGTTCTTCTTAAAACAGAGTCCTAAAACAGCTTAAAGACTGTTAAAATAAGCTATATGGTACTAACGCCTTTAATTCCTTTCTACAATTAGCCCTTCAGGCAACTTCGTCATTATTTTTCCTTGATTATAATATCCACTATCCTTTTTCTGTATTATTAGGCTTGTCAATGTATTACTTATTATAAATGCTACTGGTAGACATGTGTAGAATATCAACAGATATTTACTTTTATATTGCAAGTAACAAATTTTATTAATATTAGCTATAGAAAAGCAAACATTTAAAAACAAAACTGACAGCCAAGTGATCAAGGTCACATCAATAGTGACAATCATGTTGATACTAAGTACTCTAACCCCAGTCTAATGATGAAAAAAGCATCAAATCCCAATTGAGTAACATGCTACAGAAAACCTGACTGGTATTCCTCAAAAGTGTCAAGGTCATCAAAAATAAGGAAAGTGTGAGAAACTATCATAGCCAAGAGGATCCTAAGGAGACATGACTACAAAAAGTACTGTGTTATCTTGGATGGAATAGTGAAACAAGAAAGTGACATTAGATAAAAAGGAAATCTGAATAAACTATGGACTTTCGTTAATAATAATGTATCATTATTGGTTCCTTAATTATAATAGGCTGGGTGTGGTGGCTCACACCTGTAATCCCAACAGTTTGGGAGGCCAAGGAGAGCAGATCACTTGAGCTCAGGAGACCAACCTGGGAAACATGATGAAACTCCATCTCTACCAAAAATACAAAAAAATTAGCTGGATGTGGTGGTGCACGCCTGTAATCCCAGCTACTTGGGTGGCTGAGACACGAGAATCACCTGTTATTCCAGCTACTCAGGAGGCTGAAGTGGGAGGATCACTTGAACCCAGGAGGCAGAGGCTGCAGTAAGCAGAGATAGTGCCATTTGCGCTCCAGCCTGGGTGACAGAGAGAGACTCCATCTCAAAAACTAAAATAAATTATTTTAATTATAGTAAATATACTATACTAACATAAGATTTTAATAATGGGAAAAGCTGGAAGGGAAGCTAGGTATATGAAAACTCTCTTTGTAGTCTGCAATTTTTCTATAAATCTAAAACTTTTAAAAAATAGTTTTTTTAGGCCGGGCACAGTGGCTCACGCCTGTAATCCCAGCACTTTGGGAAGCCAAGGCGGGTGGATCTCCTGAGGTCGGGAGTTCAAGACCAGCCTGACCAATGTGGAGAAAGTCCGTTTCTACTAAAAATACAAAAATTAGCCGGGCGTGATGGCGCATGCCTGTAATCCTAGCTACTCAGGAGGCTGAGGCAGGAGAATCACTTGAACCCGGGAGGCAGAGATTGCAGTGAGGTGAGATAGCACCATTGCACTCTAGCCTGGGCAACAAGAGTAAAACTCCGTCTAAAAAAATTTTAAAAAAAAAAGTTTTTTTAGAGTCAAGTGTGCAGCTGCAGTCACAGCTACTTGGGAGGCTAAGACAAGAAGATCCCTTGAGCCCAGTAGTTTGAGACCAGCCTGTGCAACATGGAAAGACCACTTGTCAAAAAAAAAAAAAAAAGAGGAAAATAGTTTTTTCTAATCCAATTCATCCAAAATCCTACTGCTTAAAAATGTCACCATTAGCTTACGTTTGATATTTATCTTTTTAGACTTCTATATACAGTAATTCTCCTCTTATCCCCACAGGATACATTCCAAGATCCCCCAGTGTATGTCTAAAACCTAGGAAAGTATTGAACCCTATACACAGTGTTTTTTCCTATACTTACATACTTACCTATAATAAAGTTTAATTTATAAATTAGGCACAGTGAGAGATTAAAAACTAATAAAATATTACAATATACTATAATAAAAGTTATGTAAATGTGATCTCTCAAAATATTTTCAGACCACAGTTGACAGCAGATAACTGAAACTGAAACCATGGATAAGGGAGAAGTACTATAAAGGGATATATACAGGTATATTTCTACAAAAATGTGATCACATAATTTTGTAATCTGCTTTGTTCACTTATCACATGCTTTCCAAGTCATTAATAGAGATCTATATCATGTTTACCAGGTACAAAGTACCCCCCTCTATAAAGGCACCGTATTTATTTATTTTTATTTTTATTTATTTATTTTTTGGGACACACACTCTGTCGCCCAGGCTGGAGTGCAGTGGCACAATCATGGCTCACTGTAGCCTTGACCTTCTGGGTTCAAGTGATTCTCCTGCCTCAGCCTCCTGAGTAGCTAGGACTATAGGCATGTGCCACCACACCAAGCTGATTTTTGTATTTCTCGTAGAGACAAGGTTTTGCTGTGTTGACCAGGCTGGTCTCAAACACTCTCCAAGGAGCAAGCGTTTAGTGTGTGCCTGCTGAGTGACTTTGTAAAGATTCAAAAAAAAAAAAAACTCCCGGCCTCAAGGAATCCTCCTGTATCAGCCTTGTTCAATTTTTTTTTTCTCACAATTTGCCAGGCTTTGCTGATTACTGGATCTCCTAAACTTAAAAAAATTGGCTGGCACATAGTAAACACTCAATAAATACAAATGAATACTAAATAAATAAATTTGTCTTTTAACTTTATCATGTTTCTGCCAACTAGACAGATGTTTTTTGTAATAACTGTATCAATCTTTGTCATCTTTGTCTTTATGGATTTGCCTCGACAGTCATGCTTAGTAGAACAGCTCCTTTCTCTTTTGTTGAGCCTGGGTCTCACTCTGTTGGCCAATCTGGAGTGCAGTGACACGTCACAGCTCATTGCAGCCTCGAACTCCTGAGGTCAAGTGATCTTCCCATCTCAGCCTCCTGAGTAGCTGTGACAACAGGGATGTGCCACCACACCAAGCTAATTCTGAAATTTTTTTGTACAGATGGGGTCTCACTCTGTTACCCAGGCTGGTCTTGAATTCCTGGGTTTGAGCAATCCTCCCACCTGGGCCTCCCAAAGTGCTGGGATTATAGACATGAGCCACGTGCCTGGCCTCATTCTATTTCAAGACTGGAAAACTGTTTTCCCAGTTTTTTAAAGTAGTAATTTTCTGATTTCACGTTTTATATTTTAATATTTAATTTGGGCCAGGAGCAGTGGCTCACTCCTGTAATCCCAGCACTTTAGGAGGCCGAGATGGGAAGAAAACCTGAAGTGAGGAGTTCCAGACCAGCCTGGCCAACATGGTGAAACCCCGTCTCTACTAAAAATACAAAAATTATCAGCCAGGTGCGGTGGCTCACGCCACCCACCGAGCACTTTGGGAGGCCAAGGCGGGCAGATCATGAGGTCAGCAGCTCGAGACCAGCCTGGCCAATATAGTGAAACCCCGTCTCTACTAAAAATACAAAAATTAGCTAGGTGTGGTGGCAGGCATACTCTGCCTGTAGTCCCAGCTACCTGGACCCTATCTCTACTAAAAATACAAAAATTAGCTAGGCGTGGTGGCGGCGGCATAGTCTGCCTGTAGTCCCAGCTACTTGAGAGGCTGAGGCAGAAGAATCACTTGAAACTGGGATGCGGAAGTTGCAGTGAGCTGAGATCGCACCACTGTACTCCAGCCTGGGCGACAGAGCAGGACTCCATCTCAAAAAATAAAATTAAAAAAAAAAAAATACAAAAATTACCTGGGTGTGGTGGCCTGCACCTATAATCCCAGCTACTTGGGAGGCTGAGGCAGGAGAACTGCTTGAATCCAAGAAGCAGAGGTTGCAGTAAGCCGAGATCATGCCACTGCACTCCAGCCTGGGCCACAGAGTGAGACCCTCAAAAAAAAAAAAAATTTAATTTGCTGGGCTCGGTGGCTCACGCCTATAATCCTAGCACTTCAGAAGGCCAAGGCTGGAGGATCACCTGAGGTCAGGAATTCCAGACCAGCATGGCCAACACGGTGAAACCCCGCCTCAACTAAAATTACAAAAATTAGCCAGGTGTAGTGGGAGACACCTGTAATCCCAGCTACTCGGGAGTCTGAGGCAGGAGAATTGCTTGAACCCAGAAGGCAGAGGTTGTGGTGAGCACCACTGCACTCCAGCCTGGGGGACAAGCCCGAAACTCCCTCTCAAAAAAAAAAAAAAAATATATATATATATATAAATAATTCACCTAGATTCTTTTTTTTTTTTTGGAGACGGAGTTTCGCTCTTGTTGCCCAGGCTGGAGTGCAATGGCGCGATCTCCACTCACCGCAACCTCCGCCTCCCCGGTTCAAGCATCCCAAGTGGCTATGATTACAGGCATGCATCGCCACACCCGGCTAATTTTGTATTTTTAGTCGAGACGGGGTTTTTCCATGTTGGTCAGGCTAGTCTCGAACTCCCGACCTCAGGTGATCCACCCGCCTCCGCCTCCCAAAGTGCTGGGATTACAGGCGTGAGCCACCACACCCGGCAATTTTATTTAAATTTTAAGGTAGAAATCCCATTTTTTCTCCAAACAGTTGATTGTTCCAATATAATTTTGGAACACCTTCCCTACTCATATAAAATACCATCTTTATAACACTAACCTTATATATTTCTAGATTATTCTGTTTCACTACTCTTGTGTTCCAGGGTTGCTACTTATATTTTGATTATCATAGCTTTATTTGTATATTCTCTAGTACAAGTCCTTTCCTCATTCTTCTCTTCCAAGAAGTTTCTTAATTTCTAGGTTTACTTTTTCAAATGAATTTTAAAACCATTTGGCAAATTTTCAAAAGGAAATCTGGTTGGAATCATGTAAAACTGCCAGCCATATCTCTCTGTTGCTATTTTCCTCAGTGGTAAAACGGAGATAACAGTACTTACCTCGTAGGTTTGTTATGAGAACTAAATGAATTAAATACAGTAGAAAGTATTTAGAACACCAAGCCAGAAAGATAACTATTATAATTACTCAAAAGTGACAGCTATTATGATTGCTCAATAAATGTTTTCCAGATGTGTTCGCACAAAATTCGAAGACTCTTTTTAAGATAAATCAAAAGGTATAATAAAACATAAGCAGTGGTATGGAAAACATACAATTTATACTTTTCTTCACCAATGGCTTGACCCTTCTTTGGTGAAATGACGAGCTAGAACTGGGAGGAGAGACCAAGAAAAATACCAAAGGCTGGTGGGTACCAGGTCTCTAAAATTTTACAAAGATAGCCCACCAAGTGGAAACGAAGACTTCTAGGCCCTTCTAGGCAGCGTTATGGGGGATCAGCATTTCCCTTTTAAATACTATTTCCCCATCTCCGCAGTTATGACAATAGTAGTTACCTTTTGATTTCCTCCCAGAAAATACATAGGGATTAGATGTCTAAAAGACAATATTTTTCGAATGAGGTCGTGGGCCCCTATAAAGTATAAATGGGAATGATAAAGATAGACAGACATGCCCAGAATATTATAACAAATTACCTCCACCAGGTTTCCCACATCATTGTAATGATTGAGAGGGGAGTGGCTGTGGGGTTTTTTTTGGCGGGGTGGCGGTTGTCTCATTATAATTTTTAAGAATTTGTTAAATTATTTTATCTGCATGAAATTGAGGTGAGGAAGTCAGAGGCCGTATGAGGGACCTTAAAAGGTGATCTCCTCTACCGAGCTGAATGAGAAATGGAAGCCGAGGGTGGCAAGATGAAACTAGCCAAAGGCCTGGACCCCAGGCCTCCGAATTCCCAGATCTCGGCTCATCCCAGTACACCACACAGCTTCTCACCGACGCTTGCCACGCTTCGATGTGGGAGGAGTAAAAACAGGCAATCCGACCGCAGCAAAGACGCTGGAAAACCACAGGCCGGCGCAGTCGAAGGCACGTGACCCGCCACGCCCCCCACCCTCCCCCTACCCCGCGCCAGCAGCACGCGCTGCCAACCTCGTCATGTGACCTTCACGCGGCCCCAGCACTCCCCCTGCTTGGCGACTCTTTCCAGCAGCCATTTTGCTGAGAACTTGTCGTCTGTGCTCACCGCGGAGCAGGACGCCACGAAAAGCCGCGGCCAGAATTTACAGGCCGCACACGCGCTTCGAAAGACCGCTCAGGCCGTCAGGGCCCGGTCGAACCTCAGTGAACACGTCGCACCCCGGGGCGCCGGGGAAAGCTGTGGGTGCGCCTCGGCCTGAGATTGGCTGTGGCGTCCACGTGACGCCTCAGCGCCCCCCCGCCCCCGCCACCCTCTCCTTCCCCCCAACGCACAAAAACACCCAGACTCTTAACACTTCGCGCCAAGAACACGCCACCAGGCGCGTGGGGACGGGCGTAGCGCGTGGCAAGCAAGGCGCCTGCGCATACCTGCCGGGGCCGACCGCAACCGACCCACGCGCCGCTCCGCTCGCGGGTCCCGGAATCCTCGCGCTGCTGGACCACCCGGCTAGTCATTGGCTGCCAGTTCGGGTCACGTGCTGGTCGCAAGCCCGCCCCTACCCGCTAATCACCTGGCACCGAGCTCGAAGCGGCGCCGAGTCGTTCGCACGCGGAGAGGGAGGGTAGTTAGAGGGCCATCCTTTTCTGCCGTTATGGATTTAAACCCATAAAGAGGAAACGAGAAACCAGAGGCTCAAAGCTAAGGAAGCTCGCACCTACCGGCTTAACTTCGCACGCCTCTCCAGGAGCCGGGAACCATCGCCCTTGGGCGCTCCCCGATGCACGCCGGGATACGCCTGGCGCCCCTCGGTGTGCTGCAGAGCATGCCGGGAAAGGCACCTCTCCCGATCTCCTGGCGCTCACCTCCCGGGCGTTCCTTTCGTGTCCCCTTGAAAGCCCGGTCCTTGGGCTTGGAATGAGACGGTTTGGGTAATTATGGGAGTGTGGCGAGGTATACCAGGCACTTTCAGCCCCTCCTCTCCCACTTGTTTGATCTGTGTGGTCTTGGGGAAACCGTTTAACCTTTCTCCACGGAGCAAGCGTTTAGTGTGTGCCTGCTGAGTGACTTTGTAAAGATTCAGGAAAAAAAAAAAAAACAGCAAGGGTATTTGCCTGCAAATGAACTGCAGCCCTTTCCTGGCCAGTGAAAAAGAATGCTAATTTAAATGCAACTTACCAGGAGCCCCACTTGAGGGTGGAAATGGCACTTAGAATTTCCCTTGGGATAGAAGATGAGACCTTTCTTGCTAAACTTATTGCTACTGTTGGGGAAAGTAGGGGTGGTAAGAGCAAGAGGCGTTTTAAAGGAGGCGGGGACATGTCTATCACAGTTGCTGGTTCCACCTCGTACGAAATATGGTATATTGGAAACGAGAAAAAAAAAAAAACACCGTCTCCTAACTCAGAAAAAGTGGTCATGCATCAGAACCAATTAACTTTGTAACATATTCACAAACTGCCCTTCAGGCCAAAACCTAATGAAATCCCCACTTAAAACAATTCACACCTTTTCTGCTTTGAACTCCATTCTTCAGCTTTGCCGGATTTTAGAACGATTTCATCAATTCTTAAAGAGATGATTAAGCTTGAAGAACTTGACTAGCGATGGTCAAGCTCAAGAGCTCTTATTTATAGATTAAAAATTAAATGTATTCATTTATAATGTGGTTATCAAGCCAAAATATAGTTTGGGGCACCCTTTTCTAATTTCAAGGTACTCCATAAGCCTAATTATCAGAAAATTATTCCCTGACTAGAAAACCAAAAGAAAGGGTATTAGATGATCATACGTAATAAAAAGCATTAAATTGTAAGCATATGATGTTACACTTGAAGTTTATAAAACATTCCAATATTCTTCATTATATATAATCCTTACAACAACTCAGAGAAAAGTGCTATACTAGTAGTATCATTTTCTGAGTCAGTCTTGAGTGGGAATCTGGAAAAATATATCTTAACACGTTCTTCAGGTAATTGTTATGCACAACTGGGTTTGGGACCTATTGGCTATAGTGGAAAGAACCCAAGGTTTGAAGTCAGACAGATCCATGTCAACTTGCAGCTCTTTTTCTTCCTGCACTCTGATTGTGGTGAACAGGTTTTTGAACTTTTTTTTTTTTTTTTTTTTTTTGAGACCGAGTCTCTGTTGCCCAGGCTAGATTACAAAGGCGTGATCTCAGCTCACTGCAACCTCCATCTCCCGGGTTCAGGCGATTCTGGTGTCTCATCCTCCTGAGTAGCTGGGATTATAGGCGCCTGCTACCATGCCTGGCAATTTTTGTATTTTTAGTAGAGATGGGGTTTCATTCACCATATTGGCCAGGATGGTCTCGAACTTCCGACCTCAGGTGATCTGCCTGCCTAGGCTTCCCAAAATGCTGGGATTACTGGCGTGAGCCACCACGCCTGCCCGTTTTTGAACTTTTTGATTTTCAGTTCCTTTGACTGCAAATTGAGGCCAGTTTGGATTGTCTTTGTTTTTTTGTTTTTTTGTTTTTTTGTTTGTTTGTTTGCTTTTTAGACAGAGTCTCACTCTCTTGCCCAGGCTGGAGTGCAATGGTGCAATCTCGTCTCACTGCAACCTCCGCCTCCTGGGTTCAAACAATTCTCCTGCCTCAGCCTCCAGAGTAGCTGGGATTACAGGCGCACACCACGTCGCCTGGCTAATTTTTATTTTTAGTAGAGACAGGGTTTCACCATGTTGGCCAGGCTGGTCTCGAACTCCTGACCTCATGATCCGCCCGCCTCGGCCTCCCAAAGTGCTGGGATTACAAGCGTGAGCCACTGTACCTGGCTTGTGTGTGTGTGTGTGTGTGTGTGTGTGTGTGTGTGTGTGTTTTGAGATGGAGTTTCACTCTGGTTGCCCAGGCTGGAGTGCAATGGCGCAGTCACAGCTCACTGCAACCTCCGACTCCCGGGTTCAAGGGATTCTCCTTTGTCAGCTTCCCAAGTAGTTGGGATTACAGGCATGAGCTACCACGCCCGGCCTGGATTGTCTTTGGATTGTCATAATGATTCTCAGATCAAAATATTTAGAACACCTGTCATAATCCCTGATAAATATGATGAACTCTATGAATGTGAGTGCTCGTTAGTGGTAAGGTTGCATTCAAACTAGCACCCTGTACTCTGTGCAATACAGCACATTGTTGAATCTTTTTTCTCCACTATTCTGTTTCTCCCCTAGACAGTGCTAGAGGAACACTAACAGATTCGTGTACCACAGATCTTTTTTGGAATCCTTGGTGACTACTGCCCATCTGTTGGTATATATATTTACATTGTCTCCCACCTTCATTTCATTTTTTTTCTTAACATGTTAAAATGCTGAGCTGTAGACATTATTGCAGTAAAATAATGCTGATAGACGATTAGAGAGGGCACCTGTGCCTGAACTTCAAGGAGACTAAAAATTTTTATATGAATATCTCAAAGTAAAGACACCTCAAAACTCGCTCTTCACTTATATAACAATATTTCGGATGCTGTCTTCCTGGCCTCCTTCCAGTGGTTCCATAGAACCTCTACTAGCTTCATCATTTACCCTTAAAAAAGGGAGGGATTCGCTTAGGCAGAACTTCCCATAGACATCTGAAACTCAGCATTTCCAAAGCCAAGCTAATTATCCGTCCCTTCACCACTACACACAAGTACTACAGCATTCCTCTACATGGGTAGTATCACCACCATTCCAGTAACTTTGCCAGGCTACAAAACCTGTGTGAACCCGGGAGGCGGACCTTGCAGTGAGCTGAGATGGTGCCACTGCACTCCAGCCTGGGCGACAGAGCGAGACTCCATCTCAAAATAAATAAATAAATAAATAAATAAATAAATAAATAAATAAATAAAATAAATAAAAATTAAAAAATCTGTGTATGGTGTGAGGTAGGGGTTGAGATTCATTTATTTCATAATGATGTCAAGTTGATCCAACACTGTTTGTTGAACATTATTTTCCCTCTTTGAAGTACCTTGACATCTGTATTAGTTGTCTGTTACTGTATAACAAATTACCTCTAAAATTTAGCAGCTTAAAACAACAAATACTTATTACCTCATTGTTTTTGTGGTTAAGGAATCTGGGCACAGCATACCAGGTTGCCAGTGGCTCAGAGTGTCTCAAGAGGTTCCAGTCAAGCTGTTGGCCAGGGTTGTAGTCTCAACTGAAGGCTTGACTCAACGTGAGGGGAGTCTGCTTCCAAGCTCCTTTGTGCTTCTTGGCAGGCCTTGGTTCCCTGCCCCATAGGCCTCTCCACAGGCCTACCTTACAACATGGCAGCTAGCTTTACTGATAGTAAACAATCCAAGAGAGATACAGTTACCCCAAAATGTAAGCCATAGTCTCTTTTAAACCTAACTCTAGTAGTGACATCCTCTGACACCTATCAGCCCACACTCAAGAGAGATTACATATGGATGTGAATACCTGGAGGTAGGAATCATGATATTCAATGCCACGTAATCTCTATTGAGTGTGACCTGATAGATTAGGGTCCATCATTAGAGGCTGGTCCATCATAACACCTTTGTCAAAAATCAATTGTCTATATATGTTTGGGTCTATTTCTAGGTTGTATTCTGTTCAACTGACCTAATTTGTCCATTTACTACTGCTATGCTGCCTTAATTTCTGTAACTATAATATGTCTTGAGGTCGGTAGTATAGGTCCTTCAACTTATCTTTTTCAAAACTGTTTTGGCTATTCCAGGCTGCAATGCAGTGGCATGAACATGGCTCACTGCAGCCTGGACCTTGCAGGCTGAAGGAATCCTTCCACCTCAGCCTCCCAAGTAGCTAGGGTTATGCACCACCACACCTGGCTAATTTTTGAAGTTTTTTTATGGAGACAGGAGTCTCACCATGTTGCCCAGGCTAGTCTCAAACTCCTAGGCTCAAGCAATCCTCCTGCCTTGACCTTCTAAATTGCTGAGATTACAGGCGTGAGCCACTGCACTTGGCCCTTGCATTTTCATGTAAATTTTAGAATTGGCTCATCAACTTCTATGAAAATTAGGATTTTTAGTGGAATGGCATTGGATCTATAGATCAATTCATGAATAATTAATATTTTAATATTGAGACTTCTGAGTCATTAACATGTAGTCACAATACATATATCTAACAAAGGACAAAAATCCACAATATATTAAGAACCCTGTAATAGGCCAGGTGCGGTGGCTCACACCTGTAATCCCAGCAATTTGGGAGGCCGAGGCAGGTGGTCACCTGAGGTCAGGAGTTCGAGACCAGCCTGGCCAACATGGTGAAATCCCCTCTCTACTAAAAATACAGGAAAATGGCCAGGTGCAGTGGCTCACGCCTATAATCCCAGCACTTTGGGAGGCCGAGGCAGGTGGATCTCCTGAGGTCAGGAGTTCAAGACCAGTCTGGCCAACCTGGTGAAACCCGGTCTCTACTAAAAATACAAAAATTAGCTGGGCATGTTGGCAAGCACCTGTAATCCCAGCTACTCTGGAGGCTGAGGCAG
Organism: Homo sapiens; assembly: GCF_000001405.40. NCBI lineage: Eukaryota > Metazoa > Chordata > Mammalia > Primates > Hominidae > Homo > Homo sapiens. Next base: position 41,616,523 of record NC_000015.10, on the reverse strand, counting down.
GAGAATCTCTTGAACCCGGGAGGCGGAGGTTGCAGTGAGCCAAGATTGCGCCATTGCACTCCAGCCTGGGGGACAAGAGTGAGACTTCCTCTAAAACAAAAAAAAAAAACAACAACAACAACAAGAAAAACTAGCCGGGCGTGGTGGCAGGAGCCTATAATCCCAGTTACAAGAGAGGCTGAGCAGGAGAATCACTCAAACCTGGGAGGCAGAGGTTGCAATGATCTGAGATCGTGCCACTGCACTCCAGCCTGGGCGACAGTGAGACTCTGTCTTAAAAAAAATAAATAAATAAAAAACCCTGTAATAATAATAAAACAAAAATCCAATTTTTTTTTTTTTTTTGGAGACAGGGTTTCACTCTGTCACCCAGGCTGGAGGGCAGTTGCAAGATCACAGCTGCTTAGCTCACTGCAGCCTCAACCTCCTGGGCTCAAGTAATCCTCCCACCTCAGCCTCCCACTTACTAGGGAGTAAGTGGGACTACAGGCATGCAGCACCACCCCGGCTAATTTTTTGTATTTTTTGTAGAGATAGGGTTTGGCCATGTTGCCCAGGCTGACCAATATATTTTTCTCATTTTTTTTTCTTTTTTTCAGACAGATTCTTGCTCTGTCACCCAGGCTGGAGTGCAGTGGCACAATCTCGGCTTACTGCAACCTCTGCTTCCCAGATTCAAGCGATTCTCCTGCCTCAGCCTCCCTAGTAGCTGGGATTACAGGCTCCTGCTACCACGCCTGGCTAATTTTTGTATTTTTAGTAGAGACAGGGGTTTCACCTTGTTGGTCAGGCTGGTCTCGAACTCCTGCCTTCAGGTTGATCCACCTGTCTCTGCCTCCCAAAGTTCTGAGATTATAGGCATGAGCCACCACACCCAGCCCACAGGCCTTTTTTTCTTTTTCTTTTTCTTTTTTTTTTTCAGATGGAGTCTCGCTCTGTCACCCATGCTGGAGTGCAGTGGTGCGATCTCAGCTCACTGCAACCTCTGCCTCCTGGGTTCAAGAGATTCTCCTGCCTCAGCCTCCTGAGTAGCTGGGACTACAGGCGTGTGCCACTCCACCTGGCTAATTTTTTGTATTTTTAGTAGAGACAGGGTTTCACCATGTTAGCCAGGATGGTTTTGATCTCCTGACCTGATGATCCACCTGCCTCGGCCTCCCAAAGTTCTGGGATTACAGGCATGAGTCACTGCGCCTGGCCCCCTTTTTGTCTTATTATATATTTTGCTCTACGTATTCAGAGAAACTTCTCTAGTAACAAACTATAGAAATGATTCCTGAAAGTGTAGTCTTGGCCAATATATATATTTTTTTAAAGAATTCAATTGGCTTTATTGCAGTTTTGTTTTTTGAGTTTTTTGGTTTTGTTTTTTTTTTTTTTGAGAGACGGAATTTCGTTCTTGTTGCCCAGGCTGGAGTGCAATGGCACGATCTCAGCTCACCGCAATCTCCACTTCCGAGGTTCAAGCGATTCTCCTGCTTCAGCCTCCCTAGTAGCTGGGATTACAGGCATGTGCCACCACGCCAGGCTAATTTTATATTTTTAGTAGAGACAGGGTTTCTCCATGTTGGTCAGGCTGGTCTCGAACTCCTGATCTCAGGTGATCCGCCCGCTTCGGCCTCCCAAAGTGCTGGGATTACAGGCATGAGCCACCATGCCCAGCCTGTTGCAGTTCTAGAATCAGGAAATAATTCATTCCATAAAACAGAAAGTGTTCAATGGCCAATATTTTTTAAATGAGTAAACGAACTGACATTTTACCAAAGAAAATCTACAAGTGGTCAATAAACATATGAAACATGCATAACACCACCAGTTATTAGGGAAATACAAATTAAAACCACAAAGAGATACCAGTTCACATCCTCTACAATGTCTAAAATTAACAAGACTGACAAGGTCAGACGTGGTGGCTCATGCCTATAATTCCAGCACTTTGGGAGGCCAATGCGGACAAATCACCTGAGGTCAGGAGGTCGAGACCAACCTGGCCAACATGGTAAAACCCCGTCTCTACTAAAAATACAAAAGTTAGCCAGGTGTGGTGGTGGGCACCTATAATCCCAGCTACAGAGGCTGAGGCAGGAGAATCACTTGAACCCAGGAGGCGGAGGTTGCAGTGAGCCAAGATTACACCATTGCACTCCAGCCTGGGCAACAAGAGCAAGACTCCATCTCAAAAATAAATAAATAAATAATAAAAAGACTGACAATAACAAGTGTTGGCTAGGATTTGTAGCAACTAAAACTCTCATACATTGCTGCTGGGAGTATAAACTGCTACAATTCGGCCTAGGCAACATAGTGAGACCCCATCTCTACAAAAAAATTTAAAAATTAGCCAGGAGTGGTGGTGTGCACCTGTGATCCCAGCTACTTGGGAGGCTGAAGTCGAAGGATCTCTTGAGCCTAGGAGATTCAGGCTGCAGTGAGGTAGGATTGCACTGCTTTACTTCATCCTAGACAACAGAGTGAAAGCCCATCTCTATTAAAAAATCGTACAATTGGTCAGACGCAGTGACTCACACCTGTAATCCCAGCACTTTGGGAGGGTGAGGCGGGTGGATCACCAGAGGTCAGGAGTTCGAGACCAGCCTGGTCAACATGGCAAAACCTTGTCTCTACTAAAAAATACAAAAATTAGCCAGGCGTGATGGCAGGCGCCTATAATCCCAGCTACTCAGGAGGCTGAGGCAGGAGAATCACTTGCACCCGGGGGAAAGAGTTTGCAGTGAGCCAAGATCACGCCACTTTATTCCAGCCTGGATGAAAAGCAAAACTCCATCAAAAAAAAAAAAAAAGAAAAGGGTACAACCCTTTGGATAACAGCTTGACAATTGTTTATAAATTTAACATATACTTACTCTATCACCTAGCAATTTAACTCCTAGGTATTTACTCAAGAGAAATGAAAACATATATCCACAAAAAACTTTGTATCTTTCTTTGAGACAGAGTCTCACTCTGTTGCCCAGGCTGGAATGCGGTAGCGTGATCACAGCTCATTGCACTCTCAACCTCCAGGATCAAGCAATCCTCCAGCCTCAGCCTCCCAAGTAGCTGTGACTACAGGTGTGCGCCACCACATCCAGCTAAAATTTCTTTTATTTTTAGTAGAGACAAGGTATTGCTATGTTGCTCAGACTGGTCTGGAACTCCTGAGCTCAAACAATACACCCACCTCGGCCTCCCAAAATGCTAGGATTACAGGCCTGGGCCACTGTGCCCAGCACACAAAAAACTATTGTATTAAAAATTTTATAACAGCTTTATTCATAATAACCAAAAACTAGAAACAACTCAAATGTCCATCAACAGATAAATAAGTAAACAAATTGATTATCAATGGACTATATTCAGCAATAAAAAAAAGAATGGAGTTCTGGAGTTTGTCAATAAAAAGGAATGAACTGCTGATATATCAACAATATAGTTGAATGGCTGGGTGCAGTGGCTCAGGCCTGTAATCCCAACACTTTGGGAGGCTGAGGTGGAAGTATCACTTGAGCCCAGGAGTTCAAGACCAACCTGGGCAACATAGTGAAACCCCCCAGCCATCTCTATTTAAAAAAAAAAAAAAGGAAAAAACAATATAGATGAATCTCAAAACACATAATAAGCAAAAAAAGCCAGACATATATTAAAACACAGTGTATGATTCCATTCTGTAGGACATTCTAGAACAGACAAAATTAATCTATGATGTGGTGGAATAAAGATGGCCCATCTTTGTCACTCTCCCCACTGAAAAGTGGAATTTATTTTTCCATCCCCTTGAATTTCTTCTAGGCTCATGCCTGCTTTGGTCAGTAGAATACAGCTGAAGTGATGTTGTACCAGTTTTGCGTCTGGTCTTTACAAGCACTGGTAGCTTCAACTTTCTCCTTCTTGGTACTCACCCACCATGTTGTAAGGAAACCCAAACAGCCACGTGGAAGACAGTTCTAGTTGAGCTCCCAGCCCAGAGCCTATCCCAACTCTCCAGCCATGTAAGTGAAGTGAATTCTCCAGCCCCAGTCAAGCTACCCCAGGTGACCCACAAAGCAGACAAATTGATTCCACTAAACCATGACCAAATTGCAAAATCATGAGCAAATAAATGATTTTTATTCTTTTTTTTTTTTTTTTTTTTTTGAGACAGAGTCTCGCGCCGCCCAGGCTAGAGTGCAATGGCGCGATCTCAGCTCACTGCAACCTCCACCTCTTGGGTTCAAACGATTGTCCTCCCTCAGCCTCCCGAGTAGCTGGGATTACAGGCGCCTGCCACCACGCCCAGCTAATTTTTGTATTTTTAATAGAGACAGGGTTTCGCCACGTTGGCCAGGCTGGTCTTGAAGTCCTGACCTCGTGTTCCACCCACCTCGGCCTCCCAAAGTGCTGGGATCATAGGCATGAGCTACCGCGCCCAGCCAATGATTTTTATTCTTTTAAGCCACTGGGTTTTGGGGTGACAAAACGATCTACAGATACAACAATCTATAACCAAAACATACGGGAGTAGAAATCACAACAATATTACCTGTGGGAAGAGGCAGAATCAACGACAAAGGGGCACAAGAGGACTTAGAGGTGACAGAAATGTTCTGTATCAGCTAGGCACAGTGGCTCACACCTGTAATCCCAGCATTTTGGGAGGCTGAGGCTGGAGGATCACATAAGCCCAGGGGTCTGAGACCAGACTGGATGACATAGTGAGACCTCATCTCTGCAAAAAATAAAATTAGCTGGGTGTGGTGGCACACACCTGTAGTCCCAGCTACTGGGGAGGCTAAGGTGGGAGGATAACTTGAATCCAGGAGGTTGAGGCTACAGTGAGCTGAGATCATACCACTGCACCCCAGCCTGGGCAACACAGTTAGACCCTGTCTCAAAAAAAAAAAAGGTTATCTATCTTGATTAGGGTAATGGTTATACAAATGTATGCATTTATCAAAACTCTGAACTGTATACTTAAAATCTATATATTATATTGTATGTAAATTATGCCTTAATGAAGTTGATTTTTTAAAAAAGGCCAGGCGTGCGCGGTTGCTCTCACCTGTAATCCCAGCACTTTGGGAGGCGAGGCGGTTGGATCATGAGGTCAGGAGATTGAGACCATCTGGCTAACACGGTGAAACCCCGTGTCTACTAAAAATACAAAAAAATTAGCCGGGCATGGTGGCGGGCGCCTGTAGTCCCAGCTACTCGGAGGCTAAGGCAGGAGAATGGTGTGAACCCGGGAGGCGGAGCTGGCAGTGAGCCGAGATCGCGCCACTGCACTCCAGCCTGGAGGACAGAGCGAGACTCCGTCTCAAAAAAAAAAAAGGCCAGGCGCGGTGGCTCACGCCTGTAATCCCAACACTTTGGGAGGCCGAGGCGAGCGGATCACGAGGTCAGGAATTCAAGACACATCTGGTCAACATAGTGAAACCCCGTCTCTACTAAAAATACAAAAAATTAGCCGGGTGTGGTGGTGTGCGCCTGTAATCTCAGCTACTCGGGAGCCTGAGTCAGGAGAATCGTGTGAACCGGGAAGGCGGAGGTCGCAGTGAGCCGAGATCGCGCCTTTGCACTCCAGCCCGGGGCGACAGTGCGAGACTCTGTCTCAAAAAAACAAATCAACCAACCAACCTTTGGTGACTCTCCATTAGCTAGAGAATATAAAGTAACCTCCATAGCTTCTTAGGAGACTCTTCACAAACACAAAGTCACCCCAGCCTGAATTCCCAAGATATTTCCTTTTTTTTTTTTTTTTTTTTTTTTTTTTGAGACAGAGTCTCGCTTCGTCTCCCAGGCTGGAGTACAGTGGCGCGAACTCGGCTCACTGCAAACTCTGCCTCCCAGGTTCAAGCAATTCTCTGCCTCAGCCTCCCGAGTGGCTGGGAGTACAGGTGCCCGCCACCACGCCCAGCTAATTTTGGTATTTTTAGTAGAGACAGGATTTCACCATCTTGGTCAGGCTGGTTTTGAACTCCTTACCTCGTGATCCACCCACCTGGGCCTCCCAAAGTGCTGGGATTACAGGCGTGAGCCACCGCGCCCAGCCAATATTCCCTTCTTTACACTAAAACTAAACAAAATGATTTGAAGTTCCACATGGGCCCCGGCTTCTTGAGGTTGTTCTGTCTTCTTGGAATGTCACTCCTTGCAATCTCAGGCTGCTAAAAAGTCCTAGGCATCCTGTGACACCCACCTCTACCCACCCCTGTCCTGAGAGAATCTTAGTCACCACCTCCTCTGGCTTGCAGAACACTGTGTGAATACTTTTATTATAATACTTACCAAGCATTGTATTGTATTGTATTGTAAGTTTTTGTTTACATGCTTCTCTCTTTCACTAGACCCTGACTTCCTTCAGCAAAGAGACAGCTTCTGATTCATGTTCGTCTCACCATAATGTAAGTACCTGGCAAGTAACAGATGCTCGGTAAATGGTGAATGGATTACAGCACATTAGTCAGGGTCTCCTTTTGCTTCTCTCGTTACTTTACTGCTAAGTATTCTCCAGCCCTCTGTTGTATGGCTGTGTCCTAGGTCGCCATCCTCTGCCATTTCCTTTTTTTTTTCTGTTTCTCTTTCACTCCTGTAGCAGTCCTTGAAGGCTCACCTATCCTCGTGGCTGCAGCCATTTCCCTCTCTGCAGATACTTCCAAAAGTTACACTAGATGTTAACTGAGCACTAAGGACACTACGTGAAAGACTGGAGTACAAACATCCAAAGGACTGAAGAATTTGAAGAGCACTGAATGTGGGAGATAGGACAGAGGAAAGGAGTCAAATGTCTCCAAGAAACGAAGCCTGTGTGCCCTGGAGAATGAAGAAGCATCATCAAATCGGGGAGACTGAAGGAGGAATCGGTTTTCAGAGAAAAACAATTTATATTGTCTTAGCTGTGTTAGGTGGCATACTATTACATTCAAGTGAAGCTGTGTAATAGACAGAGATGACAAATTTTATTCATTTATGAATGCCCCCCAAAATATATATATAGTTTTTGCCCTCATGTCTCTTATTGGGATGACAGACATAAATCAAAGAATTCCATAAATAAATATTAAAATACAATTTGTGATAAATGCTACAAAGTGGTACATATTCATATGGAAGCATAAAGAGAACTGACCCGCTTGAGGAAGCTGGCAGTGAGAGCTGAAGGTAAGAGCAAGAGTTGACTAGGAGACAAGATGGGGAAAGTTCTAGGCAGAAGGAACAGCATGTTCCAAAGCCAACAGCATAGAGACAGAAAGTAGATTAGTGAGTGCCAGGGGGTGGTGGGGAGCAGAGAAGAAGAAGGGGTGTCTGCTCTTGGGTATGGAGTTTCTCTTTGAGGCAATGAAAATGCTCTGGAATGAGATAGTGGTAACAGTTGCACAACTTTGTGAACATACTAAAATCCACTGAATTGCATACTTTAAAGGGGTAAATTGTGTGGTAAGCGAATTATATTTCAATTTTTAGAGATAAAGATAAATGCAAGTTAACAATAACCAGGAAAAAAAAAAAAACATGCCACAGCACCTTCAGTAAACTAAAAGAAGGCCAGTGTGGGCCAGGTGTGGTGGCTCACACCTGTAATCCCAACACTTTGGGAGGCCAAGGTAGGTGGATCACTTGAGGTAAGAAGTTTGAGACCAGCCTGGCCAACATGGCAAAACCCCATCTCTACTAAAAGTACAAAAATTAGCCGGTGTGGTGGCAGGCACCTGTAATCCCAGCTACTCAGCAAGCTGAGGCAGGATAATTACTTGAACCCAGGAGGCAGAGATTGCAGTGAGCCAAGATCGCACCACTGCCCACCAGCCTGGGCGACAAAAGCGAGACTCTGTCTCAAAAAAAAAAAAAAAAAAAAGAAAAGAAAAGAAAACAAACAAAAAAAAAGGCTAGTGTGGCCAAAACAAGTGGGAGCAAGCATGATGTATGATGAAGCTGAGGAAGTGAGAACAAAGAATGATGAAGGACAAGGCCAGGCACGGTGGCTCACGCCTATAATCCTAGCAATTTGAGAGGCCAAGGCAGGCAGATCACCTAAAGTCAGGAGTTCAAGACCAGCCTGGCCAACATGGGGAAACCCTGGCTCTACTAAAAATACAAAAACTAGCTGGACGCAGTGGTGCATGCCTGTAGTCCCAGGTACTTGGGAGGCTGAGGCAAGAGAATCTCTTGAGCCCAGGAGGCAGAGGTTGTGGTGAGCTGAGTTCACGCCACTGCACTCCAGCCTGGGCAACAAAGCAAGACTCTTATCTCAAAAAAAAAAAAAAATTAGACGAGGTGGTGGCAGGTGCCTGTAATCCCAGCTACTTGGGAGGCTGAGGCAGGAGACACTTGAACTCAGGAGGCGGAGGTTGCAGTGAGCTGAGATCACACCACTGCACTCCAGGCTGGGCAACAGAGCGACTCTGTCTTAAAAGAAAAAAAAAGAAAGATGAAGGATGAGTGTTCAGGAGACATTTAGAGATATAATAAGGCGTGAGAAAAAGATCAAAGAGTATGAGTATAGAAATAAATCAGGGCCAGGAGTGGTGGCTCATGCCTGTAATCCCAGCACTTTGGGAGGCCAAGGCGGGCGGATCATGAGGTCAAGAGTCCGAGACCAGCCTGGCCAACATGGTGAAACCTCATCTCTACTAAGAATACAAAAATTAGCTGGACATGGTGGTGTGTGCCTGTAACCCCAGCTGCTCAGGAGGCTGAGACAGGTGAATTGCTTGAACCCAGGAGGTGGAGGTTGCAGTGAGCCAAGATCATGCCACTGCACTCCAGCCTGGGCAACACAGCAAGACTCCATCTCAAAAAAAGAAAGAAAGAAATCAAAAGGTTGGCCATCAAACCTGTCTCCATTCCCACAGCTGAGGAGTGGAAAGAAAGAAATGGAGCCTCTAGAGGCATTAGACAAAGAGGCCACAGGAGAGGAGAAGCAGCAGCACAGCAGACTTGCATACAGGCCAAGAGAGGAGAGGATTTCTCATAGCAGATGATGGTCAGCAATATTGATCACAGCAAAGAGGCTAAGGAGAACAGAAATCAAGAAAAGTCCTTTGGAGCCATGTGCAGTGATGTGCATCTATAGTCCCAGCTACTGGGGAGACTGAGGCAGGAGGATTGCTTGAGCCCAGGAGTTGGAGGCTGCAGTGAGCTGTAATTGTGGCTGTCAATAGCCACTGTACTCCAGCCTGGGCAATAAAGCAAGACCACATCTCTTAAACATTTTTTTAAGTTCTTTGAATTTAGAGCTGGATGACCATAGGCACAGCTATGTGAGAGTGGGGTGTTGCAGGAAAGAGCCAGATGGCAGAGGAATAATGAGAGAATGAGTCATGAAGACATGGAGGCACACAGTATTTGGCAGTAAAAGGAGGAGGAAAAAATGGGACAGTAGCTTAAAGAGAGTGAGGTCATATAGAGGCCTTTTCCAAATGGGAGAGACCTGAATGCGTGTGAGATGAAAACAAGGAGACAGGACAAAGGAACCAATTTAAAATGTGAAGGAGAAAATAAATCATGCAATAAGTTCCCTTAAGGAGACAGGAGAAGATAGAATCAAGACACAGGTGGAAAGCGCCAATTTAGGAAATGACAGTTGGCTGGGCTCAGTGGCTCATGCCTATAATCCTAGCACTTTGGGAGGCCGAGGCGGGTGGATCACCTGAGGTCAGGGGTTCGAGACCAGCCTGGCCAACATGGCAAAATCCTGTCTCTACTAAAAATACAAAAGTTAGCCAGGCGTTGTGGTGGGCGCCTATAGTCCCAGCTACTTGGGAGGCTGAGGCAGAAGAATCACTTGAACCCAGGGAGGCGGAGGTTGCAGTGAGCCAAGATCGCACCACTGCACTCCAGCCTGGCTGACAGAGTGAGACTCCTTCTCAAAAAAAAAAAAGAAAGAAAAAAGAAAATAAGACAGTCATTTGCTCTGAAGTAGAAAGAGAAGAAGTGGTGGGTAATGATACAGGTATTTTTTAGGTGGAGAGGAATTTGTATAATGGAGTTCATGTCATTGATTTCTGTCTTCTCAGTAATAATCATAAGCCCTAGCATTTACTAGCCTAAATAATTTGTAATGTATTAACTCACTTAATCCTTACAACCTCCTAAAGTATATACTATTGTTATCCCCATTTTACAGTTATGGAAACAGAGTCACCAAGAAGTGAGGTGACTTTAACAAGGTCAAACAGCTAATAAATGGTAGTACTCAGCCAGGCATGGTGACTCACACCTGTAATCCCAGCACTTTGGAAGGCCAAGGTGGGAGGATCAGTTGAGCCTAGGAGTTAGAGACCAGACTGGGCAACATGGTGAGACCTCATATCTACAAAAAAAATAATGATAATAATTAGCCGGGCATAGTGATGTGTGCCTGTAGTCCCAGCTACTCAGAAGGCTGAGATGGGAGGATCGATTGAGACTGGGAGGTGGAGGCTGCAGTGAGCCGTGATTGTACCACTGCACTCCAGACTGGGTTAATAGAGTGAGACCCTGTCTCAAAAAGAAAAAAAAAAGGTAGTGCTCATATTTCTACCCACGAGATAGAAAGGAGATAAGGCGATTTGCCAAGAGTAAAAGAGTAACCGATGGAAAAGGAAGAGCGGAAATTGGGAACCTGAGTGAATATAAAAGTTTAGAATAGCCAGAGTGAAAAGTATGCCTCTGAGGGTGCAAATAGAGTGAGCCCTCTTCCAGACCATCAGTCTCCTATTTTCTTCTGCTAATAGAACCTCTCCCCTTGAAGATTCCACAAACCAGATGTGTGGAATTCCTCAGTCCTTTCGGGCTGTTTGAGGTGATTCTGCCCTTCCTTTCACATTCCTGGACTCTGGGTCTGCCCTTTGGACAGGATTCTCCTAATAAAGCTGAAGGTGGCAGAGAATTATTCTAGGCTGTCTTCTGACAGGGCTGTACACCAGCCGCACACCTGGGCAGACTTACTGAAACTTTTAAAAGTGCATGTTTAAAATGGCATTAGATTTGGGGTCTCAGTAGCCCCTATGTTTCAGGAGAGATTTTCTTTTTCTTATCTTTCTTTTTCTTTTTTTTTTTTTTTTGAGACAGAGTTTTGTTTTTGTTGCCCAGGCTGGAGTGCAATGGTGAAATCTTGGCTCACTGCAACCTCTGCCTCTCAGGTTCAAGCGATTCTCCTGCCTCAGCCTCCTGAGTAGCTGGAATTACAGGCACCTGCCACCATGCCCAGCTAATTTTTTGTATTTTTAGTAGAGACAGGGTTTCACCATGTTGGCCAGGCTGGTATCGAACTCCTGATTTCAGGTGATCTGCCAGCCTTGGCCTCCCAAAGTGTTGGGATTACAGACGTGAGCCACTGCGCCTGGCTAGATTTTCTAATTTAAAAACAGTTAAAGAGGAACACGGCTGGGCGCGGTGGCTCACGCCTGTAATCTCAGCACTATAGGAAGCCGAGGCGGGCAGATCACTTGAGGTCAGGAGTTCCAGACCAGCTTGGCCAACATGGTGAAACCCTGACTCTACTAAAAATTTAAAAATAATAATAGTAAAAAGAGTTAAGGAGGAACAGACAGTTTCTAGCTCTCTGAGATTGTTCCTCTAGACTTTACCACAGGTAACAAAACCTGTTTTTTTCAAACCAAAATTTGAATTTGCTAAAAACTTTTTATATATTACATAATTATTTACATCACCAAGGAAACAGAGGAATTTACAAGTAAGAAACCAAACTGTCTCTATTCTCTTCCTCAAATGTCAGTGGTATTTTGGCAAAGATTCTTAGAGGAGTGAGAACAGAAAAGCAGCAACACTAAAAAGCCAAAAACCTCCTCATGTAGAGACATCAATCAAAAAATGCCGCAACCAAAATTTCATTTTCCAGGAAGGACAGCTGGGTTCAGAATAGTTTCCAGGCAAATTTGCATCATTGGTATTACTTCCTCCAGCAATATGCATTTGTATTTTTTCACATCGAGACATCGTGAAGAACTTCCAACTTCTTAGTAACTCTCCAGGCATTCCAGGTCATGTGCAGATGCAGAGAGCTGGGTTGATGGGGTTTCATGACTCAAAAGGCTAAGTACTGGCACAAATTCATTACAAGCGGGGCAGCCGGGATATTCAGCTAGACAATCCATTCAGAATCAAACTTAGATACAAAGATGTAGAGATACATTGTTCCTGAGATGTGAGCAAGGAGCAAACGCAACACAGAATGGAATTGGGTTTAAGAATGTGTCATGTGAATCCGCCTACAGACAACGCTGGGAACTGTTCCTGAAATGGGAGGAGGCTGTCATCACCTCTCCCTCAGTAGCACCATGTGCCACAGAAATCATTTTTTCTTCTTTTTTGTCTTCATTTTCATTTTGGAAGTGCATTTTGATATGCTGTCTCCCTTCCCCCATTTCCCTCCTCCCCACTCAGGGAGACAAGGCTGATGCTCACTAACCTCTGCTATTTGCTGCCAGGAAAAGGAAGGGAGGTTGAGGGGGTGCTTACAAACCCCTGTGAAGCGCGCCGGTCCTGGCATCACCCAAACGGGCATGCCCTCTACCTCCTCCTGGTGGATGCGAAGGGAAGACTAATTCCTCATAGTGATGAGGACACAGAGCTAAACTGTGGCCAACTGAGAGACCTCCAGAGGAGGTCAGTTCAGGACCGATGGGTAAGCTCTGACATGCTTCTTCACTCTTAGTGGATAGACTTAAGAAGAGTGATGAGTGGCAATATCTAGTCCTTTACTGAGAAGAGAAGCCTACAGTTTTTCCTACTGTACTGCGTGAAAGCTCGGGAAAGATCAGGAGTGTCTGACACCAAAGCAGACATGAGTTGAAGCTGTCAAAGCCACTACATCAACAGCTTCCCACTGTCATCCAGCTGAAGTCCTGGGTGCTCCTCACATAGGAACAGGCACTCTTCTAAGAGACGAAAGCCGCCTTCTAATTGCTGTTTCCAGTCAGAGGTAGATGTCACACACCCACACGTGCAAGTTAATGACAGATTGAAGACTTGTGGTCATGCTGTCTGTCCTTAAGCTATCTGTATGTGTTTCAAGAAGGTTCCATATAGTCCTAAACACCCCACTGTCCCCCACCAACTCTGTCTTTTCTAGCAGAACAAGAAGAAATCTACAGATTGTAGAAGTCTGTTTTATTCTCCTATTACTTTTGCCCTTGGGCTAAGCTAAAACCAGGACGCCTCTTCTTCAGGTTTTATATCATGTCTCATTCCCTCTTAGCCGCTGCTTAGCTACATAGGTTTTGCTCCCTAAGTTTCTATCAGAAATTAGCTTTTCTCTTAGTCACCTTTCCTATTCCCGTCTCCTATTAATTTAGAATTATTTTACTGTAATCAGACAGAACGTCCTCCTTGCTACTCCATTATTTATTTCCATAGCATTTTCAAGTTCATCCTCCCTACACAGACACACACACACACCACACACACACTCAGTATTTACATGGGCTCCAAATGTTCCGGACCCAAGTAGACTGATTCTAGATGGGAATCCAGAACCTGAATTCATAACCTTTGGGAAGTTTGGCCTGAGACTACCTGCCTACCTGAATGAAAGGAAGAGCAAGACTGTGAATTGTGAATACATGAGGTGGATCACTGTTCACAGGGCAGAAGATAAGACCCACTGAGGGAACAGACGTTATGTCAACCCCAGACATGCAGCAGTTGTTTTCCAAGTTCTCACTAATGTTTCTGGCTGGCCTAGGAGATAAAGAAGTTCTGAAAACAGGCTGGGCGCAGTGGCTCACACCTGTAATTCCAGCACTTTAGGAGGGTGAGGTGGTTGGATCGCCTGAGGTCAGGAGTTTGAGACCACCCTGGCCAACATGGTGAAACCCCATCTCTACTAAAAATACAAAAATTAGCCAGGCATGGTGGGGCACGCCTGTAATCCCAGCTACTCTGGAGGCTGAGACAGGAGAATCACTTGAACCCGGCAAGCGGAGGTTGCAGTGGGCTGAGATCACTCCACTGCACTCCAGCATGGAGCGAAACTCTGTCTCAAAAAAAAGGAATTTCTGAAAACATACTAATAGCATCCTCTCTGACTATCATACTGAGGAATGGAAAGTTTTTGTGTTAGGGAATGCAATTTAATCCTAGATTATGGCCATCACAAATGATACTTATAATTTGCATTATACAAAGCTCTCTTATCAATGAAAGCTGATTTAATCTTTGTTGTATTCTAGTGAAAAGGCCAGAGAAGGGTCTTAACCCTATTTAACAAATACAGAAGAAGATTCAGAAAATATCTATGATATATCCAGAGTCAACCAGGCCAGGAAAGGATAAAAAGCAGAATGAAAGGAGTGAAACCCCAAGAAAGAAAGCAATGAAGTGAACTCTGCCCTCAGAGAAGCTGTGAGCATCTTAACAGCTATGATGTATGGGACCCTTTGCCAGGATTAAGGGAAAAAAGTGGAGCAAAGCCACTCAGTTCTACTCACCTCCCCAACTCTTAACCCCTCGACCAGGTTGCAGAGGCAAAAGAAACCTGGGAAGGTAGCCCACAGGTCTTCCCAGGGATGGGGACCATGGAAACACCAGCCTTTATTATTAATCAAAACTGCAAGCTTCCTTCCTTCCTTTTTTTTTTTTTTCTTTTTTTTTTTTTTGAGATGGAGTCTCACTCTGTCCCCCAGGCTCACTGCAACCTCCGCCTCCTGGGTTCAAGCGATTATCCTCCCTCAGCCTCCGAGCATCTGGGATTACAGGCTCCCCCAACCACACCCAGCTAATTTTTGTATTTTTAGTAGAGACAGGGTTTCACCATGTTGGCCAGGATGGGCTCGATCTCTTGACTTCATGATCCGCCTGCCTCAGCCTCCCAAAGTGCTGGGATTACAGGCATGAGCCACCATGCCCAGGCTTCCTTACTTTTTTATGCATATTTGATGGGTCACTATAAAATGTTAACCAGGAACTCAGGCTAATACCATCACATAGGCTGGATTTCCAGTTCAGGTCATGGGCAGGCCATGCTCCTTGCACCATGGTCCTTACCAGTCTTGCTGGAGGTCAAGCTGCCCCAAGGAATGAAGATGCTGAAAAAGGTCTGTCTCCCTTCTTTTTTTTTTTTTTTTTTTTTTTGAGATGGAACCTCGCTTTGTTGCCCAGGCTGGAGTGCAGTGGTGCGATATCCGCTCAATGCAACCTCCACCTCCCAGGTTCAAGCAATTCTCCTGCCTCAGCCTCCTGAGTAGCTGGGACTATAGGCACCCGCCATCACGCCTGGCTAATTTTTGTATTTTTAGTAGAGACGAGGTTTCACCATGTTGGTCAGGCTGGTCTCGAACTGCTGACCTCGTGATCTGCCTGCCTCGGCCTCCCAAAGTGCTGGGATTACAGGCATGAGCCACCGCACCAGGCCCTGTCTCCCCTCTTGGACCCTGGCATGCAGTAGGTTGCTCCTGTGTTGTAAAGGAAAGATGATTCTTGGATGAGGCTTACCTCTGCTAAGTAAGCCCTGAAGAGTGCAGAAGAACACCACCACTGCAACATCCTTGGACTGTGGTGGCAGGAGACACTATGTGTGATGGGAGGCAGTGTGACAGTGTGGCTAGCATTCAGTCCTGTCTAGGAAAGGAAAGAGAAATAAAAAGCTTGAACACAAAACAAGTACCTCAAGTGCAGGCTGTGGGAGAGAAGGATATCTGGGATCTGGTGCCAGTGAGGGGGCCAACTGGCTGGCACTGAGCCTGCTTAAAGGTGTCTCAGACATTTGGCCAGTGTGTTTCTCAGAGCTGTGGTCACAAAAGATGGACTCTTCCCACCCAGAGGATGCAAGGACAGCACACTGTGTCTTTCTGGCCATTGGATCCTCTCCCTTTCCCCAGGCAGCTTGCCTGGCCTCATCCTCTGAGTGATGAGTGAGAACCCCCACTGCCCTCAAGGACAACACAAGGTCTTACCCAGAGCCCAAGAGGGGAGGGTGCCAGCAGGTGCCCAGGAGTGGGGCCCTAGCCCAAGTGGAGCTTTCCTGAAGGTGCATTCCTGAAGGCCACATGGTAGGCAGTCAGCCAGAGCAACTCTGTCCCCTCCCCTCTTCCCATCTTATATGTATTCAAACCAGGAAAAATGTGACAGCACATGGGCAGCCTAGGCAGTGAATAAATGCCTCAGGCATCCTCTTGCAGCAAGTGTCTCTATATGTTATGGCTGTTTCCATCTTACATTTCCTTGAATGTTTATATTTCTTTCTGTCTCTCTCTTTTTTTTTTTTTTTTTTTTTGGTTTTGTATTTGTTTGTTTGAGATAGGGTCTCACTCTGTTGCCCAGGCTGGAATGCAGTAACGTGGTCTCAGCTCACTGCAATTTCCACCTCCCAGGCTCAAGCCATACTCCCACCTCAGCCTCCAAGGAGCTGGGACTATAGGAACACACCACCACACCCAGCTAATTTTTTGTACATTTTTAGTAGAGACAGGGTTTCGCCATGTTGCCCAGGCTGGTCTCAAACTCCTGGGCTCAAGCGATCCACCCACCTTGGCCTCCCAAAGTGCTGGGATTACAGATGCAAGCCACTGAGCCTGGCCAAATGTTCATATTTCAATAAACCTCTACCTCTTCTCTCTCTCTCTCTCTCACACACACACACACACACACACAGAGAGAGAGAGAGAGAGAGAGAGAGAGAGAGAGAGAGAGAGAGAGAGAGAGAGAGAGAGAGAGAGAGAAGGCTGGGCATGGTGGCTCATGCCTGTAATCCCAGCACTTTGGGAGGCTGAGATGAAAGCATCACTTGAGGTCAGGAGTTCGAGACCAGCCTGGGCAACATAACAAGACCTCATCTCTACAAAAAATTTTAAAAATTAGCCGGATCTAATGGCACACACCTGTAGTCCTAGCTACTTGGGAGGCTGAGAAGGGAGGATTGCTTCAGCCCAGGAGGTCACGGTTGCAGTGAGCCATGATCATGCCATTGCCCTCCAGCTTGGGTGACATAGCGAGACCCTATCTCAAAAATAATAGTACATTATCAAGAGTAGAACTCTGTATTTCTGCCTTTCCCTCCCACCCTCACTCTCCTTCTGCTGCTGCTGTTGCCATTTGCTTTTTTCTCTTCCCTCAGCATCACTCACTTCCTCTCCCTTTTTCGCATGAGTCTTTTTCTCCCCACTCCTCCTCCTCACTGTTTTCTTCCTGTGCTCCTAGAAGAACCAAACAGTTCCATTTTAGGGACTCTGAACCCCAGTGGAACAGGATTTGGTTGGCTGACCTGGGGAGTGGAAGACATCATAGAAAACCACATTGATATGTTGGGGCCGGTTAACCTGGACTGGTCTGGACTTTCCCTGCTGTCCTATTGGCAGCAACTCAGAGAGTCCAGATGGCCCTAGAAAAATCTGTGGTCCAAGGATACAAAAACAGAATTGCTTTTAAGCCCCTAGAAATGCTGAATTGCTGTTTATGGACTCTGGAATAGAGCTGAAGCTGGGACCCTCTAATAGCTGAAATGTGACCTAAACTTACAGGGGTACAGTGTGGCCTCACCCAAGGATCACTGGGCATAGTCAGGAGCTCCTTGAGATAATGCTGATGGGAGGAATATCCATACTGGGAATGAAGACTCGGAGAGACATAGACCACCTCTTGGCTGGAGGCAGGAAGAGGACAACCCGCCCAAAAGGAGAAATATGGTTCAGGGAAAGCTCCTATATTCCCCAGCAAACGGGACAGTTCTGGGCTGAGTACGTCACACATTTGTACTCTTGCACAGTGCCAAAATGCTGTCCTAAGTCCAGTGCAATGGAGGTAAGCACATGCACACATCTTCTTATGGAGAAAGATGCCCCTTCTGACCTTGGGAGCTGATTACATTCTGGTTTAACATTTGCTTTAAAGCACTGTAAAAGGTAACAGTGTGTGGCCAGGCGCGGTGGCTCACGCCTGTAATCCCAGCACTTGGGGAGGCCGAGGCAGGTGGATCACGAGGTCGGGAGATCGAGACCATCCTGGCTAACACGGTGAAACCCTGTCTCTACTAAAAATACAAAAAATTTGCCGGGCGCGGTGTTGGGCGCCTGTAGTCCCAGCTACTCAGGAGGCTGAGGCAGGAGAATGGCATGAACCTGGGAGGTGGACTTTGCAGTGAGCCGAGATCACGCCACTGCACTCCAGCCTGGGCAATAGAGCGAGACTCCATCTCAAAAAAAAAAAAAAAAAAACACAGTGTGGCCAGGTGTGGTGGCTCATGCTTGTAATCCCAGCACTTTGGGAGGCCGAGGCGGGTGGATCACCTGAGGTCAGGAGTTTGAGACCAACCTGGCAAACATGGAGAAACCCTGTCTCTACTAAAAATACAAAATTAGTTGGGTGTGGTGGTGCATGCCTGTAATCCTAGCTACTCGGGGGGCTGAGGCAGGAGAATCGCTTGAACCCGGGGGCGGAGGTTGCAGTGAGCCAAGATCGTGCCATTGCACTCCAGCCTGGGCAACAAGAGTGAAACTCCATCTCAAAAAAAAAAAAAGATAACAGTGTGACCATGTGGAGTCTGTTTTCCCCTTGCCCAGTCCATAATGAGTAGATATTTGTGGCTAAGAAAAGGGATTACGGCAGTGAATGGCCATGAGCCAGACAGGAGCCATGTTAGTTGCCAGTCTTGGGATTAGAGCAGAGGAATTGCCAGAGCAGCTAAGGGGAAGATTATCTAAAATACCAAGAGGGAGAATAGTTTTCTTACCCAACTTACAATGAGAGTATAAGCATCTGGGCTCCCTAAAGACAAGCCACATGGTCAGGGCACGGACAAAACAGTGACCAGCCTGACAGCAGGACCCTCTAGAGAAGATAAGATAGATGTTAAGTTAGGCCAGGCCCGATGGCTCACACCTGTAATCCCAGCACTTTGAGAGGCCAAGGCCACCCTGGCCAACATGGCAAAACCACATCTGTACAAAAAATAGAAAAATTAACCAGGCCTAGTGGTGCTTACCTGTAGTCCCAGCTACTCAGGAGGCTGAAGCAGGAGAATTGCTTGAACCTGGGAGGTAGAGGTTGCAGTGAGCCAAGACTGCACCACTGCACTCCAGCCTGGGTGACAGAGTGAGACTCCATCTCAAAAAAAAAAAAAAAAAAAAAAGATAGATGCTAGGTTAGAATAATTCAGTAGGGAAATCTGACTTCGTTAAAAAACTTACTCTAAGAAGAATTTGACAGGAGACATGATAGAGGCAGAACAATCCTAGAAGCACAGAGTTAAGAAGGAACCTAAAGAACATTTAGAGTCTTAAAAAAAAAACACAAACAGGACTAGGATCCACTGGATGGAGTGGCTACAGGCAGGGTGAATCAAGCCGAAAAGATAACAGATAGGGACCAGTAAAGGAACTCCTCTTCTGGCAACCACAGCAAAGAGCAAAGGAGGTGGCTAGCTTCTGTAGGATCAGAAGCCCGAAGCCAAGGAAACCCACTTATGGGAGATTCAGATAAGACCTAGCATAACACAGTCTCTAACTCTGGGACACAGAACCCAGCTCAACGTATAATGGGAAGGACTTGGGTCCCAAGCATGACAGAGGAGTTCTTGAGCATCCAGGAAGAAAAGTAGCTAATGGAGCCTGGTCTTCCCAGAACGGAAGGTGACACAGAAAGGATGAGAAGAGAAGAAACTCACAGTTGGTGTCAGTCTTCCTGAGGCTTTTGTGTGATCTGGGAAAGCGTTGTCCATAAATCAATGCCAACAAGCCAAGTTTGTTTTAACTCTTATCCTATGGCTATGTCCAAACCTGACCCCTCATCTTTATTAAAAAAAAAAAAAACACTTTAGCACCACCCCAGGAATTCCATGTTATTTAAAATATGAGTGCCACTGGTCCCAGCACTTTGGGAGGCTGAGGAGGGTGGATCACAAGGTCAAGAGTTTGAGACCAGCCTGGCCAACATGATGAAACCCTGTCTCTACTAATACAAAACTTAGCCAGGCATGGTGGCACATGCTTGTAGTCCTAGCTACTCGGGAGGCTGAGGAAGGAGGATCACTTGAACCTGGGAGGTAGAGATTGTAGTGAGCCGAGATCATGCCACTGCACTCCAGCCTGGGTGATAGCTTGAGACTCCGTCTCAAAAAAACAAGCAAACAAACAAAAAAAAACGCCGGTCGAGGTGGCGTGGCTCACGGCTGTAATCCCAGCACCTTGGGAGGCTGAGGCAAGCAGATACCTCAGGTCAGGAGTTCGAGATCAGCCTGGCCAACATGGTGAAAACCCCATCACTATTAAAAATACAAAATTAGCCGAGTGTGGTGGTGCATACCTGTAATCCCAGCTACTCAGGAGGCTGAGGCAGGAGAATCGCTTGAACCTGGGAGGCGGAGGTTGCAGTGAGCTGAGATTACGCCATTGCACTCCATCTCAATAAATAACTAAATAATCTTCTCT
The DNA here is from genome assembly GCF_000001405.40 of Homo sapiens. Lineage (NCBI taxonomy): Eukaryota > Metazoa > Chordata > Mammalia > Primates > Hominidae > Homo > Homo sapiens. Next base: position 41,596,184 of record NC_000015.10, on the reverse strand, counting down.
CCAAACTGTCAGAGGCATTGCAACCAGGCTGGCTCCATCTTGAATAGGTACTGGGTAAAATGAGGCTGGGACCTACTAGACTGCATCCCCAGGAGCTTAGGAATTGTTAGTCATAGGTTGAGATAGGAGGCCAGCACAAGATACAGGTCACAAAGACCTTGCTGATAATAGCCAGGTGCGGTGGTTCACGCATGTAATCCCAGCACTTTGGGAGGCCGAGGCGGGCGGATCACAAGGTCAGGAGATCAAGACCATCCTGGACAACACGGTGAAACCCTGTGTCTAGTAAAATACAAAAAATTATCTGGGCGTGGTGGTACATACCTGTAGTCCCAGCTACTAGGGAAGTTGAGGCAGGGGAATTGCTTAAACCCAGGAGGCGGAGGTTGCAGTGAGCCGAGATCATGCCACTGCACTCCAGCCTGGCAACAGAGCAAGACTCCTTCTCAAAACAAAACAAAAAAAAAAAAAACAGCATGCAATAAAGAAGCCGGCCAAAAACCAACAAAACCATGATGGCAACGAAAGTGACCTCTGGTTGTCCTTACTGCTCATTATATGCTAATTGCAACATATTAGCATGCTAAAAGACACTCCCACCAGCACCATGCAAATGCCATAGCAATGCCCAGAGATTACCCTACACAGTCTAAAAGGGTCTAAACTCTCAATTCTGGGAACTCCCATCCCTTTCCCACAAAACTCCTGAATAATCCACCCCTTGTTCAGCATATAATCAAATAACCATAAGTCAGCCCATGCTGCTGATCTGTCTATGCAGTAGCCGTTCTCTTATTCCCTTTCTTTTTTTTTTTTTTTTTTTTTTTGAGACACAGTCTCACTCTGTCACCCAGGCTAGAGTGCAGTGGTGTGATCTCAGCTCACTGCAACCTCCTCCTCCCAGGTTCAAGAGATTCTCGTGCCTCAGCCACCCAAAGAGCTGAGATTACAGGTATGCGCCACCAACCCCAGCTAATTTTTGTATTTTTAGTAGAGTCAGAGTTTCGCTATGTTGACCAGGCTGGTCTCAAATGCCTGACCTCAAGTGATACGCTCACCTCGGCCTCCTAAAGTTCTGGGATTACAGGCATGAGCCACCTCACCAGGCCTATTCCTTTACTTTCTTAATAAACTTGCTTTCACTTTACTAAGGACTCACCCTGAATTCTTTCCTGGGCAAGCTCCAAGAACCCTCTCTTGGGGTCTAGATTTGGACTCCTTTCTGGTAACAAAGCCATTGTTATGAGGATTACATACGTTAATATTTAGAAAGCAATCAGAAAAACAAAATAGGCTGGGCATGGAGGATCACACCTGTAATCCCAGCACTTTGGGAGGCCGGGGCTGGTGGATGGCCTGAGACCAGGAGTTCAAGACCAGCCTGGGCAACGTGGCAAAACCCTGCCTCTACAAAAAATACAAAAACTTAGCTGGACATGGTGGCACATGCCTGTGGTCCCAGCTACTTGGGAAGCTGAGGTGGGAGGATCGCTTGAGCCCGGAGGCAGAGGTTGCAGTGAGATGTGATCATCCCACTACACTCCAACCTGGGTGACAGAATGAGACCCCATCTCAAACAAACAAACAAAAAAAGATGAGTATGTTTATTAAATAAGTTAAACAAAACATATAGCTTCGGGATTAAAAATAATAAAATGGGCTGGGCACGGTGGCTTACACCTGTAATCCCAGCTCTTTGGGAGACTGAGGTGGGCAGATCACAAGGTCAAGTGATCAAGACCATCCTGGCCAACATGGAGAAACCCCGTCTCTATTAAAAATACAAAAAATTAGCTGGGCGTGGTGGCGCGTGCCTATAGTCCCAACTACTCAGGAGGCTGAGGCAGGAGGATCGCTTGAACCCGGTAGGCGGAGGTTTCAGTGAGCCAAGATCGCGCCACTGCACTCCAGCCTGGCAACAGAGCTAGACTCCATCTCAATAATAATAATAATAAAATGTTCAAAGGTATAAGGAAAGCATCTGGTATGTTGTATATGCTTGAACAGAGTCTTAGGAACAATTATGTTACTGAAACCACCTTTGCAAAATTATGACTGAGACAGTGAAAGAGATCTAACTTAACTGACTTCATTTTGCTTTTAACCTCCAAGCTGTCCTTGTCCATTCCTGGGCATAGGCTGAACTAACTTTGGGAGAAGTTTAGTTTGTAGTTTATGGTTTAAACAAAGACGGTAACAGCCCTTTCCCAAAGCAGACCTCCTTCTTGCCTGGGGACTAGACTGCCTTTGTAGGACTAACATTAGTCACAAGATTAGAAATTATGGTTTAGGAGTCATGCAGCTGGAGGCTACAGGATTCTGACCCTCCCTAAACTGCTCCTAAGGTCACTGCTTGAGATATTTTGCAGACCCTGCACTTCATGGATCAGCTGGTCCCACTCAGATCAAAAACTGGCTCATCTGATCTTGTGGCCCCCACCCAGGAACTGACTGAGCTCAAGAAGACAGATCCAATTCCATATCATTTCACCTCTGACCAATCAGCACTCCTGGATCACTGGCTTCCCCCCACCGACCAAGTTATCCTTAAAAACTCTGCTCCCCCAATGCTGGGGAGACTGATTTGAGTAATAATAAAACTCCGGTCTCCCTCACAGCCAGCTCTGCGTGAATTACTCCTTATCCATTGCAATTCCTCTGTGTTGTAGCACTCGAATATAAAATTTTCTGTTTTTTAATTCTCAGCAAGGCAAGGTACTTCTATAGAAGGGTGCGCTCTCACCGATGGAGCAATGGTGGGCGCACATTTGGACAAGGGAGAAGAAGGGGTTCTTTTTTTTTTTTTTTTTTTTTTTTTTTTGAGACAGAGTTTCTGTCTGTCGCCCAGGCTGCTGGAGTGCAATGGCCAATCTGGGCTCACTGCTGCAAGCTCCGCCTCCCGGGTTCACGCCATTCTCCTGCCTCAGCCTCCCGAGTAGCTGGGACTACAGGCGCCCACCACCATGCCCGGCTAATTTTTTGTATTTTTAATAGAGACAGGGTTTCACCATGTTAGCCAGAATAGTCTCAATCTCCTGACCTCCTGATCCGCCTGCCTCTGCCTCCCAAAGCGCTGGGATTACACGCACATGGCCCCTGCTGCTGGGTCATTCCCCTATTGGCTAGTGTTAGACCGCACAGGCTAAACTAATTCCGATTGGCTAATTTAAAGAGAATGATGGGGTGAGCGCTTTGTAGCAGGTAACCGGAATGAGTTAGGGTGGAGCAGGTGATCAGAATGATTCAGGGTGGAGGTGATCAGAATGAGTTAGAGTGGAGTAGGTGATCAGAATGAGTCAGGGTGGAGTAGGTAATCGGGATGAGTCAGGGTAGAGTAGGTAATCACAAAAGGTTGCTTTACGAGGAAGTTAAGTTTAAAAGTAGAAGGCAAAGAATTGAACATACTGACATATTAATTCTTTGAAGAGAAATTTAGAATTCATATTCAACAACTTCCTCCTCTTGCAATTTTTTATGGCTTTCTCTTCAAACTTATTTAACATGTCTTGACTTAGTTGTTCTGCTTGATTTTCCAAAAGAAGCAGCTTCTCTGGATAAGGTGGAGGATAGTTAAGGGAGGTTTTAGTAAGTGCCATTTCTATGAGCCCCTGCACCAACCCAGGATGCATGGTATAACACAGCACCCGACAAGAATAAGTACACCTATTACAGCTACGAGGGAGGAAAGAATTGAGGCTATTATTCCTTTCCATTTACCAAACCACTTCTCTAGCCATCCCGTAAAGGGGTCATTTGCCCCTGAGTTGCTGGCTAACTCATTGGATAGAGCAGTCAGACCTTGCAATGCCTTTGTTATACTTCCATCAGGGGCGGTGTTGTTTGGGATGAAGGTGCAACATCGAGTTTTAATCATGACGCAAACTCCTCCTCTTTTTGCTAATATCATGTCTAAGGCTATCCTATTTTCCTAAGCCATCTGGCTAGTAGCCCCTAATTGCTCAGCTATTCCTTTAACAGCATCTCTAGTGTAGTTAATAAATCCCTGTTGGTTGTAATAGACGTAGTTTATCCAATCTACATTTTTGTTAACTGTCACTCACCAAAATATTGACTCAAATCCTGCAGCTATTTGATTTTGGGCCTTAAATTGATCTGGTATTCCCCATGGGACTCCAACTGTGTCTAAATAGATGTGAGAGTCGAAAGCATAAGGGGCTTCTCTCACTTTACAATGTCTTATTTTTTCTTCCTCTTATTGATGAAATGCCAGGGTAAAAGGGATAGCCAATTGGACTAAAGCACAAGTGCCACTCTAGTTATTCAGTAGAGTGTCCAGTAAAGGTCCACCACAATACCACCACACATCCACTCGGGGATGAACAAGGGCTGACTGATTGGTAAGCTCTTGAAAGTTCTTAAGCTCACTGCATCCCTTCAGGTCTCCAAGGAACGCTAAGTTTCCTCCCTGTCGTGAGAGACACGAAGTGAACTTAGTGTTGGGAGACCGAAGCTGGATGGCCCTCAGGGGCTGACCCACAGGGTGTGGAACTTCAGGATACAGCAGAGAGAGAGCTTGGCATGACTTGTTACCCCAGGCTGTAAAATCCTGGAAAAGAGCTACCATGCAGCCCATGCCCAGTCTGCTGGAGTACCACCCTAGTGGAAAGGGGACAATCTGCACCTCTGGCCTGCCACACGCACAAGCATAACAATTGCTTTTGTTTAACGTGCAGATGGAATATTTGATCCATTCCAACCAGGCATTTACATCTTGGTATCCTGTCTCGATTGCTAAAGTTTGTTTTAAGTCTTTAACTTCTACCATCGCTATCTTGGCCTTGTCGTTAGATGGAGGAGGAACAATGGTTCCATTGTAAGAGGTTTTAGAAAAAGCTTTAGAAGCAGGTTCAGGTGGTGGGGGATCAAAGAAACACATTTCAAAGAATCCAATAGGTCTGTCCCTGAAACCTCAGCTCCCATACCATAAAACCGGCTGAAAGAAGGGAACTGGCTTAGAAAAAGGGGAGAACTTTGGGGGCTCAAAATAATAACCTGTATAGGGTTGCACTGGTTTAGCTGACAGTTAGGGGGGGCTGTCCCTTTAGTAAAATGAATGTATGGTTTTAGGAAATTATAAAAACTGGTTGGGGCACTCCATCCTTGCTCTTTGGTGGTTCACAGAACATCGGACCAACTACGGCATAAAAGCTCTACATCAGTGGGGCAAGACTCCTGGTTGCCACTGGGGTCTTTATTGAAATCTCCCCGGATTAAATGGTCCCAATTCACTAATGCCCAGTCTGAGGAGAGCCAGGAGGGACAGAGGTACTTTTCTGAAGTAGAGAGCTGTCTTTGACTTAGCAAATCCCTACAGAGTATAACACGGCAAGCATCAAATGCAATAGTTTGAGGTGAACTTGACTTGGTTACGTTAATAACTAGATGGTCAGCAATAGAGCGAGGAAAGAAGAAAAAGTAATAGAATAGATGAAAGAGAGTTAAATTCTTCTTAGCTTTAGTTTGGTAGGGTTTTCCCCTAGGACTATGGCCCATGACTCTGGAGTCCATCCTCTCTCTGCGGTGTGGACTGCGGTTTCAGTCGCGAGGAGCACTAAGTAAGGACCTTCCCAGGCTGGCTCAAGTTTTTCCTCTTTCCAGCTCTTAATGAGGACATGATCCCCAGGCTGATGTTGATGCACCGGGAACTCCAAGGGTGGCGCCTGTGCTAAAAAACCTTTAGTTTTAAGAGAAGAGAAAGTAGAAGATACATCAAGTATATAATTTGTAAGGAATTGATTGGGTCTTTTGTTTCAAAGGTAGGAATATCAGTAGTGGAGTGCAAATAAGGTAATCCATAGAGCATCTCATAAGGAGAAAGACCAATGTCTTTCCGTGGTGCAGTTCGAATTCTCAGCAGGGTATAGGAAGACACTTGGTCCACGGCAACCAAGTCTCTAAGACTGATTTGGTTAGGTGGTTCTTTTGCATCTGATTCATTCTTTCTACTCTCCCTGATGAGGGTGGGTGCCAGGGAATATTGTGTTCCCATCTAATGTCTAATGTTTGGGATAGCTTTTTAATAATGTGTGCGGTGAAATGAGTTCCATTGTCTGAGTCAATATTTTCTATTAGTCCAAACCTAGGTACTATATTTTCAATTAGGGCCTTAACTACATTATTGGCTGTCGCATTTGAAAAGGGATAGCTTCAACCCAGTGAGTGAGGTGGTCTACTACTACTAGTAAATATTTCAGACGACCTATTGGAGGCATTTCTGTGTAATCAACTTGGATACTTTGGAATGGCCTTAAGCCCGGATTCCTTCTCTTGAGAGGTAATCTTTTTATAGTATGTCTATTAGTTTTCTTACATACTAAGCAACTATCTGTAACCTGTTTGGCCAGGGTATAAATTCCTATACAACCATAAACCCTGAGAACTGCATCACACATGGCCTGAGGCCCCCAATGGGTCCCTTGATGTAGTTGGGATAAGACTTCCCTTATAAGGGGTTTAGACAACATTTCTCTCTGGTCTGGCAGTATCCACTTTCCTTCTGAATTCTCTTTAGCACCTATTTTTATTAGTTTCTCTCTTTCAGTGGAAGAAAAAATGGGGATTACAGTAGGAGGAGGCAGGTAGGGAGTTAAGTGAAAAATATGCATTTCAGAAGACACAGCAGCCTGCTTGGCTACCTGATCTGCTAGGTTATTTCCTCAACTTTCAAAAGAAAGGTTTTTCTGGTGTCCGGGAACACGGACAATAGCTATTTCTTCTGGCAACTGAAGATTATTCAATACTTGGGTGATCAGCTCCTTGTGAACAAGGTCTTGACCTTTACTACTAATGAGACCTCTTTCAGTCCAAATTTTCCCAAACATATGGGCCACTACACAGGCATACTTGGAATCTGTATAGATGGTTCCTTCCTGGTTCTGTAAGTACTTTAAGGCTTGGCTGAGTGCAAATAGCTCACATGTTTGAGCAGACCAATTGTTGGCAATTTTCCAGATTCTATTTCTATGAGAATTTCTCCATCAATCACTGAATACCCATTGTGTCTTTTTCCCTCAATCACCCCGGAGGAACTGTCTATGAATAAGTGCCGTCCAGTCCGGAAGGGGGTTTCTCCTAGGTCTGGTCGAACCTTTGTATGGTAATCAATTAAATCTAAACATGTGTGTTCCCTCCATAGATTTGGATTCCCTGTTAGGAAACCTGCTGGGTTGAGTGAATTATCAGAGGTCAATGTTAAATCATCCTTTTCTAACAGAACGGCCTCATACTTCAAGATTCTCGAGTCGGTAAGCCATCTCCCTGCTCTCTGGTTTAAGATAGTTCTAACTTGGTGAGGCGTGCTTACCGTCAATTTTCCTCCAAAGGTTAACTTCCTGCTTTCCTCGACCAGTATTGCCGCAGCCCCGATGGACTGGATGCATTGAGGCCATCCACAAGTGACTGGGTCCAACACCTTTGATAGGAAGGCTACGGGCTGCCGGCGGCCTCTGTGTTCTTGAGTCAGCACTCCTAAAACTACCGCACTGTCCACATTAACAAAAAGGTGGAATGGCTTTTCTAGGGAGGGTAAGGCAGTTATGAGCCTTTCCTTCAGCTTCTAGACTTGATCAGCTTCCTCAGAAGTCCACAGGAGATGGTTCGGCTTCTCCTGGGCAAGTTTTTAATATAACAGTTTACTGTGCAGTGCATGAGTCAATCCATAAGCGGCAGTATCTGACTAACCCTAAAAATTTCCTGAGTTCTTATTTAGTTTGAGGCAAGGGTAGGGACACCATTCCCTCGATTCATTCAGGCCCTATTCTTCGCTTGTCTGCACTTATTAAGTGGCCTAAATATTTAACTTCGGGCTCTACATACTGAAGCTTTCTTTTTGAGACTCATAGCCCCTCAAACTGCAGATAGCTAAGAATATGTGTAGAGAAGTCAGTTACCTTCTCTATATCTTCACCAGATATAAGAATGTCGTCTACGTACTGAAGAAGGCATATTTGTTCTAGTATGACAACTTTTTCTAGTACCTGTTCTAAAATTTGGCCAAAAAGATTAGGAGAGTCTATGAACCGTCGGAGCAAGACCGTCCATCTCGATATTGCTGTTTCCGCCCTGAGTGGCGATCCTCCCATTCAAAAGCAAATATATTTCGGCTATCTTCAGCCAGGGGACATGCCCAAAAAGCATCCTTCAAATCTATTATGGTAAACCATTGATGATTACATGGAATTTTGCTAAGAACCGTGTAAGCATTGGGGACAATGGGGTTGGTAGTCTGGACTATTTGGTTGATAGCTCTAAGGTCCTGTAGTAGCTGGTATGACCCATCTGATTTCTTGACTGGCAGTATTGGGGTGTTATAAGGGGACATACAGGGCTCGAGAAGCCCATCCTTAATAAGGTCTTTGATTATAGGTTTCAACCCTATCCTACCTTCTAGGGGAATAGGGATTGCTTCCTTCTTACTACTTCTCCTGGGGTTTTTAGCTTGATGTGGATCGGAGGGACTTGGAATTTCCCTCGGTTTCCTTTTTTGGACCAGACATTAGGATTAATATATTTTTCATCGGCAGTGGTGAGTAGATTTAATGAGGTGAGGAATCCTCTTGGGCTGACTTGTAGACCTATGCCCAACTTTAACATTAAATCCCTCCCCAGTAAATTAGTTCCTGCTTAGGGGATTAACAAGAACTGAATATAAGCTGAGCGATCAAAATTTATCAATTTATCAAAAAGGTTGTGATAAGTTGGTTCTGTCTAGGCAGGAGGCAAGGTGAACACCTTGGGCGGTTACATTACTGGAAAGGAGTCCCAGTCCAGATCCCAAGAGAGGGTTCCTGGATCTTGCAAAAGAGAATTCAGAGCGAGATCATAAAGTGAAAACAAGTTTATAAGGAAAGTAAAGGAATAAAAGAATGGCTACTCCATAGACAAAACAGCCCCAAGGGCTTCTGGTTGCCCATTTTTATGGTTAGTTCTTGATGATATGCTAAACACGGGGTGGATTATTCATGCCTCTCCTTTTTAGACCATATAGGGTAACTTCTGATGTTGCCATAGCATTTGTAAGCTGTCATGGTGCTGGTGGGAGTGTAGCAGTGAGGACGACCAGAGGTCACTCTCATCGCCATCTTGGTTTTGGTGGGTTTTAGCCGGTTTTTTTACTGCAACTTGTTTTATCAACAAGGTCTGGCCGGCGCAGTGGCTCATGCCTATAATCCCAGCACTTTGGGAGGCTGAGGCCGGAGGATCACCTGACGTCAGGGGTTCAAGACCAGCCTGGCCAACATGGTAAAACCCTGCCTCTACAAAAATACAAAAATTAGCCGGGCCTGATGGTGGATGCCTGTAATCCCAGCTACTCGGGAAGCTGAGGCGGGAGAATCTCTTGAACCCAGGAAGCAGAGGTTGCAGTGAGCCGAGATTGCGCCACTGCACTCCAGTCTGGGCAACTGAGTGACAGAGTGAGACTCCATCTCAAAAACAAACAAACAAAAAACAAGGTATTTATGACCTGTATCTCGTGCTGACCTCCTATCTCATCCTGTGATTAAGAATGCCTTAACTTACTGGGAATGCAGCCCAGCAGGTCTTACCTTTTTTTTTTTTTTTTTTTTTTTTTTTTAAGACAGAGTCTCCCTCTGTCACCCAGGCTGGAGTTCAGTGGCATGATTTCAGCTCACTACAACCTCCACCTTCCAGGTTCAAGAGATTCTCCTGCCTCAGCTTCCCGACTAGCTGGGACTACAGGCGTTCACCACCATGCCTGGCTAATTTTTGTATTTTTAGTAGAGACGGGGTTTCACCATATTGGCCAGGCTGGTCTTGAACTCTTGACCTCAGGTGATCCGCCCGCCTCGGCCTCCCAAAGTGCTGGGAGACCGAGACACAAGAATCGCTTGAACCAGGGAGGTGGAGGTTGCAGTGAGCCGACAGCCACTGCACTCTAGCCTGGGCGACAGAGCGAGACTCTGTCTCAAAAAAAAAGAAAAGAAAAGAAAAGAAATTTTAAATAGTTTAAGGATCACATGTATTGTTTTCATCCACGTTATATGTTGTTATATACATTTCATTTTAATAAAGGGTTATTTCTGTCAACCTTAAAAAATATATTGAGGGAAAGTTTGTTTGTTGAATGGTAATGATTACCAAACATTCTGTGGTTTTTGGCTTTAGGGATTCCCTCGGACTCTTCATCTTCGTTTTGCCCCGTAGGCATTTGCTGACTTTGTTGGCATGTGGCATCCCACAGCTCCCAGCCCCACCACTAGGGCCTTTTCCACTTCGGCCACGTGGCCCCACCCACCTAGCTCTCATCTCCCTTCCAGGGCGCTTACTGTCTGTAGAGCGTCTTAGCTTTCTTCTCTGTTTTTCCTTAGTTTTCTTGACAAACAGGCAACGCTTTCGTCGTTTCCAAGAGCGTGAGCCCCTAGGGCGTAAAAACGGGAGGCTCACGGTTCTTTGCTATTACTCTGGGCCAAGTCAATACTTGTGGAATTAACTTTTACCACCAGAGGAGGCAAACTCAAAGACAGCTTTAACGAAAGAAGCGCGGGCATTCCGCGACGATGGAGTGTTCTCGGGCACCCTTGGGAGGATGGATCCCGTAGACCCGGAGCTGCCGGGCTCCCGCTCCGTGCGCGTCTGTCCCCGTCCCTGCAGGGGCCCCGCGCCCACGGGCCGCCACCGCCTGCGCCCGCCGCGCTCCTCCCCGCGGCCTGCAGGGCGCCGGCTCTGTCCGCAGCTGGGGCCCTTCTGCGCCGCGGACAAAGGCGCTGGTGTCCCGCCGGCCAGGCCAAGCCTTTCCCTGCCCGCCGCCGAGCGGCCTCGGCCAAGCCCCGGCGGGGCAAACCGGCTCGTGACCGCGCGTGTGACGCCCGCGTGTGGCCCCGCTCTCGAGTGGGCCGCAGAGGTGAGGATTCGTCCCGCGGGCCCAGCCCGCCTAGCGCGAGCCTCTCTGGCCGGAGCCCGTGGGTAGAAATGCCTGGGGCACAGCTGCGTATCCCACCAGGTGCTTCTGGGCTCGCTCGAGCTAAGTCCAGGCACAGCCTTCTGATTTGGGGCTTGTGGGGTTTTAGAGGACCAAATGTAAAATTATTTTCTGCCTTTTAATGATCCAGAGGCTTCCCCAACCTGTCTGTGGCTTAGGGAGGGCCCAAAAGGCTTCTCTCCTTTGCTCTTGCTCTACCCTGGGGAAAAACTGAGGAATTTGGAGAAAAGGGGAGGAGTGTTCTCTAAGATTTACTGAACTTTGGCCAATTGTCAGGAACTCTTCTAGGCCCTTAGATACTTTTAGTTAATTCTAAAAAGGTCTCGTGAAGTAAATATTACCAGTGTTTTCCCCTGTGCGCCCTAGGCACGCACTCAATACTCTCACCAACCACCAAATCGCCAGTTATAAATTTTACTAGACCCCTCCTTTCCCTTACCCCCACACCCAATTAATGAATATTCATTGAGTGCCTACGAAGTGCGAAAGCGCTGAGGATACCATAATAAAAAAGACAGGTCCCTGTGTGCACACAACTTATATGGAGAGGAAAGGGAAGGGGGAGAGATAATTTTTTTTTCTTTTTTTTTTTATGGAGTCTCGCTCTGCAGGCCAGGCTGGAGTGCAGCGGCTCAGTCTCAGCTCACCGCAAGCTTCCCCTCCCGGGTTCACGCAATTCTCCTGTCTCAGCCTCCCCAGTAGCTGGGATTACAGGCGCCTGCCACCACGCCCGGCTAATTTTTTGTATTTTTAGTAGAGACGGGGTTTCACTGTGTTAGCCGGGATGGTCTCAATCTCCTGACCTCGTGATCCGCCCGCCTCGGCCTCCCAAAGTGCTGGGATTACAGGCGTGAGCCACCGCGCCAGGCCTTTTTTTTTTTTTTTTTTTTGTGAGACAGAGTCTTGCTCTGTCACCCAGGCTGGAGTGCAGTGGCACAATCTCAGCTCCCTGCAACCTCCGCCTCCCAGGTTCAAGCGATTCTCCTGTCTCAGCCTCCAGAGTAGCTGGGATTACAGGCGCATGACACCATGTCCGACTAATTTTGTATTTTTAGTTGAGATGGGGTTTCACCATGTTGGTCAGGCTGGTTTTGAACTCCTGACCTCAAGTGATCCACCCACCTCGGCCTCTCGAGATAATTATAATTACAAAACAGGAAGGAGAACCCTGAAGACAAATTCCACAGGTGTTGGGGGCAGCGGCTTCATAACCAAAGGAGTGCTGACCTGGTCTTCGTCAGGAAGGTTTGCACAGCTGTTGCAATACTCTGGGTGAGAGAGGAGGCCTCAGGATGCTGATAGCTGGGGAGGGACCCATGCAAAAGCAATAGGAGAGTGGAGTTAACAGGACTTAGAGACAGAAAAGTCTATCCAGACTACTCCCCGCTATCCTCTGGTCCTCAAAACCTCTCAGCTACCCCTACCTTCCCACTCTGGGGCAGTGGAAAGATGGAGGAATTACGTAGATCCCTGGGTTTTCATCCCAATTGTGCCCCTCACCCCTTGCTTTGTGACACCATGAACAAATCATTCTTCTCTAAAGCCTTGGGAGACCTGTATTCCTTTCATGCCATGCCTTGACATAGTGTTCCTCAGACCTTGGGAGAACGTTGCAAAAAAAATGTACCACGAACATATAGGAAAACATTATACATTTATAGTAATTCAATTAGTGTAGCAGTGACACTGGCACATGTAATTGGGATGAACAGTCTAGCAACCAAAATAGATATGGGAGTTTAGATAGATCAATGAGGCTATATAGAGAAATGGAGACAGATTATTCAAGAAATTCTGGCTGGGTGTGGTGGCTCACACCTGTAATCTCCGCACTTTGAGAGGCCAAGGTGGGCAGATCGCTTCAGCCCAGAGTTCAAGACCAGCCTGGGCAACAAAGCAAGACTCCATCTCTACAACACTTAAAAACTGGGCCGGGCGCGGTGGCTGAAGCCTGTAATCCCAGCACTTTGGGAGGCTGAGGCGGGCAGATCACGAGGTCAGGAGATCGAGACCATCCTGGCTAACATGGTGAAACCCTGTCTCTACTAAAAATACAAAAAATTAGCATGTTGTGGTGGCACGTGCCTGTAGTCCCAGCTAATTGGGAGTGTGAGGCAGGAGGAGACTCGCTTGAACTGAGAGGCGGAGGTTGCAGTGAGCCGAGATCACACCACTGCACTCCAGCCTGGGCGACAGAGCAAGGCTCTGTATTAAAAAAAAAAAAAAACACTTAAAAATTTGCCAGGTGCAGTGGCGTGTGCCTGTGGTCCCAGCTATTCAGGACGCTGAGGTGGGAGAATCAGTTTACTATCACTTTACTCCAGCCCAGGCAGAAACAGAGCAAGACCCTGTATCAAAAAAAAGAAAAAAAAAAGAAATGTGCATAAAATATAGATTGTTCAATAAATGGTGGTATTGGGACAATAAAAAGTATCTGGGAAAAATAACTTTGAATCTCTGTATCACTTCTTATTCAACAATAAATTTGAGATAAATCAACATGAAATACTGAAAAATAAACTATATTATTATTATTTTCTTTTTTGAGATGGAGTCTCACTCTTGTCCAGGCTGGAGTGCCATGGCACAATCTCGTCTCACAGCAACTTCCACCTCCCAGGTTCAAGCAATTCTCCTACCTCAGCCTCCCAAGTAGCTGGGATTACAGGCACCCACCAGCACGCCCAGCTAATTTTTTTTTTTTCCGAGATGGAGTCTCACTCTCTCACCCAAGCTGGAATGTAGTGGCTCACTGCAACCTCCCCCTCCCAGGTTCAAGTGATTCTCCTGCCTCAGCCTCCCGAGTAGCTAGGATTACACGTGCCTGCCACCATACCTGGCTAATTTTGTGTATTTTTAGTAAAGACAGGGTTTAGTAAAGACAGGGTTTCACCCTGTTAGCCAGGCTGGTCTCAAACTCCTGACCTTGTGATCCGCCCGCCTCGGCCTCCCAAAGCGCTGGGATTACGGGTGTGAGCCACCATGCCCGGCCATTCTTGCCTCTTTGAGACTCACTTTTCAAAACTGCTGTTGTTAGATGATCCTTATAAACATGTTGCTGAGGGAAAGAAGCCAAACGCAAAGTAATCAAATCTACATGACTCCATTTATATACTTTTAAAAGGAGCTTCACTGATCCATGGTGTTAAGAGGTCAGGATAGAGGTTACCTATGGGGAGTAGGGAGGAGGCAGAGATTGAGGCAGGTCCCAAGGGTTGCTTCTGGGTTGCTGTTAATGCTGTTTCTTAATCTGGATGCTGGTTCTTTGGATCTGTTTGTGAAAATCCTTTTTGATCCAGAGTCTCTCTCTTTTTTTTTTTGAGACAGAAAATCCCAAAGCGCTGGGATTATAGGCGTGAGCCACCATGCCTGGCCTCTTTTTTTTTTTTTTTTTTTTGAGATGGAGTCTCGCTCTGTCACCCAGGCTGGAGTGCACTGGTGCCATCTCAGTTCACTGCAACCTCCGCCTCCAGGGTTCAAGTGATTCTCCTGCCTTAGCCTCCCAAGTAGCTGGGATTACAGGTGCCTGCCACCACTCCTGGCTAGTTTTTGTATTTTTTAGTAGAGATGGGGTTTCACCATGTTGGCCAGGCTGGTCTTGAACCCCTGACCTCAGGTGATCCACCCGCCTCAGCCTCACAAAGTGCTGGGATTACAGGCATCAGCCACCGCCCCCAACCGATAGTGAAGGTCTTTTCAATCAATAATTCCCAGATGTTATCTCACAGGTAATCACTACCTGCAGTGAAAGCTAATCACAGCAGGAAAGATTCTGAAAGCTACTTGCCTGGAAGTTTTTCAGGTTTCATGATCTACATGGGAACCAGAATTTGGAGTACCAGCAACAGGTTTTTCAGGATATTTGCTTTCAGAAGCAGCCACCCTATTCCCCTGCCCTCAGCCAGAAGCAGCACAATACCTGTGGGCCCTCCCAGTCTCCCCACACTCCTCACTAGCACATGTGTGGTTCCTGCGCCTCCTGCTGCATCTCCCATGAACTTGCTCTAAAAGCTTTTTTGTTGTTTTGTTTTGTTTCTGAGACAGTCTTAATCTGTCACCCAGGCCGAAGTTTAGTGGCAAGATCTCAGCTTACTGCAACCTCCTCCTCCCAGGTTTAAGTGATTCTCATGCCTCAGTCACCCAGTAGCTGAGATGACAAACCTGCGCCACCAAGCCTGGCTAAACTTTTTTGAATTTTTAGTTGAGATGGGGTTTCATGTTGCCCAGGCTGGTCTCGAACTCCCGGCCTGAAGTGATCCACCCGCCTCAGCCTCCCAAAGTGCTGGGATTACAAGCTGGGTATGGTGTCTCACCCCTGTTATCACAGCACTTTGGGAGGCTAAGGCAGGCAGATCACTTGAAATCAGGAGTTCGAGACCAGCCTGGCCAACATGGCGAAACCCTGTCTCTACAAAAAAATACAAAAAATAGCCGGACACAGTGGCTCGTGCCTGTAGTCCCAACTACTCGGGAAGCCAAGACAAGAGACTTGATTAAACCTGGGAGACAGAGGTTACAGTGAGCCGAGATCACACCACTGCACTCTAGCCTGGGCGACAGAGAGAGACTCGAGACTCCGTCTCAAAAAAAAAAAAAAATACACGCCACTGTGCCCAGCTGAATATTTGCATTTTCAAAAGATCAATGGTGATTATCTCTAGGTGGTGGGAGTATAGGTAACTGGCACCTTTTATTATTTTTTGCATTTTTATTTTTATTTTATTTTTGAGATGGAGTCTCGCCTGTCACCTAGGCTGCCGGGATCTCGACTCACTGCAACCTCCGCCTCCTGAGTTCAAGCAATTCTCCTGCCTCAGTGTCCTGAGTAGCTGGGATTACAGACACGCGCCACCATGCCCAGCTAATTTTTGTATTTTTAGTAAAGACGGGGTGTCACCATGTTGGTCAGACTAGTCTTGAACTTCTGACCTCGTGATCCACACACCCAGGTCTCCCAAAGTGCTGGGATTACAGGCGTGAGCCACTGCGCCCAGCCGATTTTTTGCATTTTTCTAACTGCCCACGGTGACTCTGTATTATCTTCAGTATAATAAGATTCATTGGGATCCTGTATCTAATTACAAAAGCATTTTGTGCTCAATGCAGAAAACTTGGAAAGCACAAAGAAGAACGTCCCCTTAACCCCATCATTTAAAGGTAACAGCTGTTGCCAGGTGCGGTGGCTCACGCCTGTAATCCCAACACTTTGGGAGGCTGAGGCAGGCGGATCACGAGGTCAGGAGATTGAGATCATCCTGGCTAATACGGTGAAACCCTATCTCTACTAAAAATACAAAAAATTAGCCGGGCGTGGTGGCAGGCACCTGTAGTCCCAGCTACTCGGGAGGCTGAGGCAGGAGAATGGCGTGAACCTGGGAGGCAGAGCTTGCAGTGAGCTCAGATCGCGCAATTGCACTCCAGCCTGGGCGACAGAGTGAGACTCGGTCTCAAAAAAAAAAAAAAAAAGATAACAGCTGTTAACATTTTGGCATATGTCTTTCCAGACTTTTCTCTCTATAAAAATCTTTCATCTTTGTGATCTCAAAAAAAGTAAACATTTAAGAGACAAAGCTGGGGCCAGGTGTGGTGGCTCAGGACTGTAATCCCAGCACTTTGGGAGGCCAAGGCAGGCAGATCACTTGAGGTCATGAGTTCAAGACCACCCTGGCCAACATGGCGAAACCACATCTCTACTAAAAATACAAAAATTACCTGGGCATGGTAGTGAGCCCCTGTAATCCCAGCTACTCTGGTGACTGAGGCACAAGAATCGCTTGAACCCAGGAGGCAGAGGTTGCAGTGAACCAAGATCACACCATGCACTCCAGCCTGGGCAACACAGTGAGACTGTCTCAAAAAAAAAGAAAAAAAAAAAGAGACAAAACCTTAGGTCTTTAGTCTTCAATTTTATTTCTATTTTAAACAGCAACTAACAGCTTGGAAATGTCCCTAACAGCTAGGACCCGCCCCATGCATTCCAGAGGCTCCCCCACCAAGGCTGGGGTCCAGGTTCCAGGAATTCCCCCTCATCAGGCCTGATTTCTCTCTGGAGACTTGGGACAGAAGAGGCTGTCCAGTTAGAGGGGAAGTTGGCACTAAAGGTCACCGTTTAGAAGGGTTGGGCTCAGACACAGCTGCCTTTGTTAGTCTTAGGATATTTTGAGATTTGGTAGCGTGCTCAGATTGTGGGTATGGAGAAGGGTTCCTGAACTCCTCTCCGGCCTCACTTGCTCCTGGGCAAGCCTCACAGCACCCCTTCCTCTTGCTGGCTCGGCACGCTGCCTTTGGAAGAGGGGCACCTGATAGGCTGGGTACTCCAGCATGCCTTTGTGTGACCCGGTCAGCTGCAGGGAAGCATGCTCCCCTCAACTTCTCCTGGCGTAGGCAGGGTGCGGAATCAGAAAGATGGTGAAGATTCAGACCTGAGATACCAACCCCTTACCAACCCTCACCTAAAAGGGAATATTACAAGGACATCTCTTTGTGACTTGGAGGGGCACACCTGGATATTTAAACCCCAAGTGTGGTAATAGCTGGGCCACCAGGCTGGAGGCAGCTCAATGCATGCACTTAAGCAGCAGGGGCAGCTCAGCAGGAGGGTAGGGCCCACAGAGCTGGACCTGCCCTCCCCACACTGCCATCCACACCCATGGTAACCATGGAAACATAACCACCCCACTCCTGCCAGCTGCCTGGGTTCAGACAACCAGGACTGGCCCACTTCCATCAAGCCAAGGCCTAAACTGATGCCAGGCTGGCCACAGAGTGGTTGCAGGAAGAACTGGGATTGGGTGATTTGGTCAGTCCGGGCTTCCCAGCACAGCTTGGGAGGACTACCACAGGAGCCTCCACACCTTGCTGTCTGGGCTGGGGTCAGACGGGGCTTAGTCAGCCAGCTCAGTGGCCACCAGAGCCGGCCAAATGGCCCCGATGCCCTCTGCCTGTGGGCTAACAGCTACTGTGTGGCAGTAGCCCTTGCTGCAGCAGCAAAAGCCTCTGTGTCTCATTGAGGGGACTCTCTGGCTGGTGCTCTGCCTGCCCTGGCTGCTCAGCCAGCCCTCCGGGGGTGAGTATGTACCGACAGTCACTGGGAGTGCCACCCACTGCCCCCATGCCACTGCCATCCCCAGCCCCACTGTAGGGCTGATCCCTGCCAGGTAGCTCCAGGCTGCCTCCCGCAGTGGGCTCCTCAGCTCTCTCGATGTTGATGTATAAGGGGTCCTGGCTGGCAGATAGCACAGACAGCTGGCCCAAGATGTTCTCCAGTTCCATTCGCAGACAAGTAAAGCTCGGGCGCTGCTTGGGGTCAGCACTCCAGCACTGGTACATGAGATCATACCTGGGGTGGAGAGAAGCGTGAGAAAAGGCAGGAGCCCTTCCCTCAAAAGCAGGGGCCCCTTCATCATATGGCACTAGGGTTTTAAAAAATTTTATTCCCTGGTGGGGCACAGCGGCTCGCATCTGTAATCTCAACACTTTGGGAGGCCGAAGGGGGGTATTATTTGAGCCCAGGAGTTCGAGACCAGCCTGGGCAATATGGCAAAACCCTGTCTCTATAATAATACAAAAATTAGCCAGGCTTGGTAGACACGCCTGTAGTCCCAGCTACTCGGAAGGCTGAGGTGGGATCACCTTGGGAGGCCAAGGCAGGCAGATCACCTGAGGTCAGGAGTTCGAGACCAGCCTGACCAACATGGAGAAACCCCATCTCTACTAAAAATACAAAAAAAAATTAGCCCAGCATGGTGGCACATTCCTGTAATCCCAGCTACTTGGGAGGCTGAGGCAGGAGAATCGCTTGAACCCAGGAGGTGGAGGTTGCGGTGAGCCGAGATTGCACAATTGAACTCCAGCCTGGGCAACAAGAGTGAAATTCCATCTCAAAATAAATAAACAAACAAATAAATTAATTAAATTAAATAAATAAAAAATATATTTGTAGAGACAGGGTCTTGCTATGTTGCTCAGGCTGGTCTCAAACTCCTGGCCTCTAGTGATCCTCCCACCACAGCTTCCTGAGTAGCTGGGATTACAGGCACATCCTAGCTTATTATTTCTCACAACAACCCTATGAAAGCAATGATCAAATAGAAATCATTTCCACATTTACAAATGTGGAAACATGCACAAAGAGGTTAAGAACCGTGACTAAAGTCACACACGTGGAAAGTGACAGAGCTGTGATTTGAAGCGAGGGGGTTGACTCCGAAGTCCCTCCTGTGCTGAGTGGGCAGTACCTACTCAGTAATTCCTCACCGTGCAGCCGGACACAGTGGTATGCACCTGTAGTCCCAGCTACTCAGGAGGCTGAGGCTAAAAGATCCTTTGACCCCAGGAGTTCGAGACTAGTCTGGACAACATAGCGAGACCATGTCTCTATTAAAAAAAAAAATTAATAAGCAAGGTATGGTGGTAAGTACCTGTAATCCCAGCTACTAGGGAGGCTGGGCAGAAGATCTCTTGAACCCAGGGGTTTGATGCTACAGTGAGCTGTGATTGCATTACTGCACTCCAGCCTGGCTGTCAGAGCGAGGCCCTTTCTCTTTTTTTTTTTTAAAAAAAAAAAAAAAAAAAAAAAAGGAAACCTACTGAATCAGGCCAGGTGCAGTAGCTCATGCCTGTAATCCCAGCACTTTGGGAGGCCGAAGCAGGTGGATCACTTGAGGTCAGGAGTTCGAGTCCAGCCTGGCCAACATGATGAAACCCCGTGTCTACTAAAAAATACAAAAATTGGTTGGGCAAGGTGGCACACACCTGTCATCCCAGCCCTTTGGGAGGCCAAGGTGGGCAGATCACCTGAGGTCGGGAGTTTGAGACCAGCCTGATCAACATGGAGAAACCCCGTCTCTACTAAAAATACAAAATTAGCTGGGCAGGGTGGTGCATGCCTGTAATCCCAGCTACTCAGGAGACTGAGGCACGAGAATCGCTTGAATCCAGGAGGTGGAAGTTGTGGTGAGCCAAGATTGTGCCATTGCACTCCAGCCTGGGCGACAAGAGCAAAACTCCATTTCAAAAAAAAGAAAAAGTCCTCACTATTCATATATAACTTTTGAGTATCTGGAAAAAGCTTCCAGCTCTCCTGCCAACAGGAATTAATTTTTTTTTTTTTTTTTTTTTGAGATGGAGTTTTGCTCTTGTTGCCCAGGCTGGAGTGCAATGGTGTGATCTCGGGTCACCAGAACCTCTGCCTCCCGGGTTCAAGTGATTCTCCTGCCTCAGCTTCCCAAGTAGCTGGCATTACAGGCATGCGCCACCACGCCCAGCTAATTTTGTATTTTTAATAGAGGCGGGGTTTCTCTATGTTGGTCAGGCTGGTCTGGAACTCCCGACCTCAGGAGATCCGCCTCCCAAAGCGCTGGGATTACGGGCGTGAGCCACCGTCCCCTGCCAGGAATGCTTTTTTACATACAATTTCAGGAACCTTATAAATTCCCTGAAGCCTATCACTCAGGATGCCCAAGGAATGCCTCAGGCTCAGGTGGAAAAATAACAAACCAAAAACCTAATGGAAAGACGCTGAGACCAAGTCCAATGAATGCAAATGCCTGACTCTCTTGCCTATGCCCATGACAAGAGCCCCAAGCACTGCCTCACACACCAGCACACCCCCAGCAGGGGCCACCAGTAATGGCAGTAATCATGCCAGACACTGAACAGGTCGTGGGAATGGGAATGGTCTGGGGCCGTGGGTACATGGCCAGACTGGGACACGTCCTCAAGGCTGTGCTAGGAGCCAACTGGCGCCTGTCCACCAGGCTGCCTGGGTGAGGCCAGTGCCTGCCCACTCTCCATTGACAGCACCAGCTCCAGCTGGGGAGGAGGCTGCGCTGGGGTCTGGTCCCCACTGCCCTTCAGAGCTTCTACAGCGCCAGATTAGAACTGAAGCAGGCTGCAGCCACAGGGAGATGTGAGCTTCCTGCCCCTTGCCATGCCCTGAGCTCTGCTGAATGAACAGGAGGGCCAGGGCCTGGCTTGTCTACTCAAGATTTCCCTCTCAGGTGTAGGTGAGTTACCCACAGCCCAGGCTCAGGGCACTTCAAACCCACTGTCCAAGGGAAGGACCCCACCATCAGGCTGAGCCTTCCTGTGCCTGTCCATGACCTCGGCCCTCTGGAAGTCCAATCCCAGAGCAAGAAATGGAGCAGATTCTTTCTCTGGTCACAGTGGCTCCCACTCCCCCTGGGGCTCATGAAAGGTCCTCTGGGCTGGGCGTGGTGGCTCACACCTGTAATCCCAGCATTTTGGGAGGCCAAGGCAGATGGATCCCTTGAGCCCAGGAGCGCAAGACCAGCTTGACAAATATGGCGGAGCCCTGTCTCTACAAAAATACAAAAATTAGCCGAGTGTGGTGGCACGTGCCTGTAGTCCCAGCTACTTGGAAGGCTGGGGAGGGAGGATCACTTGAGCCCAGGAGGTTGAGGCTGCAGTAAGCAGAGATCACGCCACTGCACTCCAGCCTGGGTGACAAAGCGAGACCCTGTCTCAAAAAACAAAACAAAAAATACTCACAAAAGGTTGTCTGAAGGCCTAGGGAGCCCTTGGCTTGGATGGAGTGGGAGTGTAAGACTAGAACAGACAAATCACAGTTGTTGTCATAAAGAGTTAAGAGTATATATTCTAAAACTACAGGGATCTAGGTTCAAATTCCAACTTATTCACTTACTAGCTCTGTGACGTTGGCCATGTTACTTAATCTCTCTAATCCTATTTTCTCATCTACAAAGTGGGGATAAATAATAGTCTTTTCCTCATAAGGTCAGAGGAAGATTACCTGAAAGAATGCCTAAATGCCCAGCTAATGTCAGTGACACTTCCCATTATCTTGTCACAGGGTCTGTTATCACTGTAGCAAAGTGGGTGGTATCATTGCCTGCCCAGTCCCGAGGGCTTTGGGCTTGCAGAAAGAAGAGGAGGCAGTTCCCTTCTTCCCAGGATCTCAGTTCTTTATCTTAGATTCCCAAGAGAGCTCAGCCTAGGAAGTTTTCTTAGACTAGCTGGGGTCTCCAGGACAAAGGTTGTATTCACTAGGGTAGAACAAATAAAATAAAATAAATACAAATTAAAAAAAGAAAAGGAATGACGGGTGGGAAGATGGCAGGGAAACCTCCCACACTGTTACTCAGCACTGTGCCTTCTGCTCTTGGGGTTCCTGGTTCTCCTTACAAACTGGAGAAAAGAGACTGATAGACAAAGGCTAAAGCAAGAAATCTGGGATGGGAAAGGGGGAAAGAAAGAAAACAGGGAGGTGGTAGATGAACAGTGAGTATGAGGTGGAGTGCAGCCTTCCAACTACAAGGATGTTTCTATCAAAAAACAAAGGTCCAGTTGAGGCAACTGTGGTGGCAGCCATCAGCCAAAACTCCAGATTCCCCTTTCCTTCCAGAGCCCCCTTCCCAGGATACTCACACGTCCTCCATACACTCCGGAGGCTGTTTCAGGCGGTTCCCGCCAATGAGGTAGTTGTAAATCTCAGCGTTTTCGATGCCAGCATATGGCGTCTGCCCACGTGTCATGATCTCCCACATGGTCACCCCGAACGCCCACTGGGACAGAATCGAGGTTGGGGGAGAAGCTGTCACTAGGTGTCCTGAGCCAGGCAGAGAGCCATGGCTCTGAGACAAGCACAACCTGGGGCTCAGGGCCTCATCAGGGGGCAACCAAACCCCAGAGAGCAGACTTGGCTAGGCCCTTAAGGATCCTAAAGGTCTGCTCTCACACTCGTCCCCACCAAGCTTCACGGGCCACCCTGCTCACCACGTCACTCTGCACAGTATACAGGTTGTCGGCCAGGCTCTCCAGGGCCAGCCACTTGACAGGCAGTTTGGAGGCACAGCCTTGACGATAGTAGTCCCCACTGTAGATCTTCCGGGAGAGTCCGAAGTCAGCCACACACACTGTCATGTCCTCTGCCAGCCTACAAGGGGCATTGAGGGAGAGAGTCAGCCTTCTGCCATGCTCACAGGCCCACAAGAGCCAGGACATCTTTGCATCTTTGCTCCCAAGCTACCCCCATGCATAGCAGATACTGTCCCAGGCAGGAGCCGACCATCAGCTAGCTCCTCTTGGCACCTGCTGCTGTCTCCCACCCTCGAGTCCTCCAGAATTCGTACATGCAATTCCGAGCAGCCAGGTCTCGGTGGATGAAGTTCCGAGAGCTCAGGTACTCCATGCCGCAGGCAATGTCCACCATGAACCGGATCAGGGTCTGGAGGGGTAGGTTCTAGTGGACAGACAGGCCAAGCTCAGGCTTAACCTGCCCACCCAGCTGGGGCAGGATGGATGGGGGTCCCTGGCCAGAAAGCCTGAAGGCTGTCCCCAGAATCACTGGAAGGAAGGAAGGGGATGGAGGGCCTTCCCAAGGCAAGGAAGCTTCGGCTAGCCTAAGAGGGAGCCTGGAAGACGAGACTCCCCCACCCTGGGGCTCCACAAGTCCCTCCCTCTAGAAAGGGCCCTTGCCCAGCCTATATTTCTCAGCAGGGTTTTGTGAGAGAAAAGAAAGCCTGCTAGATTAAAAGGATTCAAACTCAGACCCCTCCTACTCCCACCCAGCTCCATCAGCCCTACCCAGCAAGCCCCTCTCTGCCAGGGTCTCTATGCCTTTCCAGGCCCTGTGTTCCCACCCGTTTCCTCCTGGCCACCCCCACACCAGGTACTCACAAAGGGGTTCTCCCCAATCCGGGAGGCGAGCAGGAAGGCATGCAGGTCCCCATGCTTCATGAAGGGCAAGATGACCATGGGGATGGGGAGACGGCCTTTAGCCCTGCTCCGGAGGCTTACCCCTGGGACAAGGGAGAGTCAGGAGCTGAGCATAGAAGGGTCAAGGGGCAGTTCAGGTGTCTGCATAAGTCCCCACCTGCTGGGTCCCATCTCTAGCTCTGGCTCTGCTATTTATTTTTTATTTTTTCACAGGCTCCACACTGGTCTGGGGACTACCCAGGAGGGACTCTGGCTGCTCCCATATCCCTGGAGCATCTTCTGTCCCCTTCCTTTCCTTCTCTGTCCACACAAGCAGTCTTTGTTTTTTCTGAAACAGTATCTTGCTCTGTCATCTAGGCTGGAGTGCAGTGGCGCAATCACAGCTCACTGCAGCCTCAATGTTCTGGGCTCAAATGATCCTCCCACCTCAGCCTCCCGGGTAGCTGGACAAAGGTGCACACCACCACACCTAGCTAATTTTTGTATACGTGTGTGTGTGTGTATGTTTTTTGTTTTGTTTTTTTTTTTTAAATAGAGGTGGGCTGTTGCTATACTGCCCAGGCTAGTCTCAAACCCCTGGCCTCAAGCAATTCTCCCACCTCAGCCTCCCAAAGTGCTGAGGTTATAGGCATGAGCCACCACATCCAGCCACACAGTCTTCATGTGCAGACCTTTGGCACTCCTCACCTCAGATTTCTGCCAGGACCCTCCTTGCTATTTTGCCATCTATTTATTTACCAGATGAGTCCAAAAGTCTCTCCTATAGGCTGCCATCTCATATTGGTAGAGCATATTTTTAGCCCTATTCTCTATCTGCCTCCCCCAAAAATGGGCTCACCAACAAGTTTGGCCACGTGTGGATGGTCAAACTCCTTCATGCAAGCTGCTTCCCTGAGGAACTCTTCAATGTCGCTTGAGGCAATGATGTCAGCTAGGAGAAGGGGATGGGGAAGGAGGAAATAAAACAAGATGTGCCCCTAGTTTTGACCCAGGCCTCCTAGGTCTTGTCCTTCAGATGTCCTAGGCTTCCCAGGGAGCCCAGGAAACAGCCCAGCCATGAGCAGGAGAAACCCCCAAGGAGTGGTGATACTTAGCAACTTCTCCACTTGCTAATGCCTTCCCTTCCCTTTGGTTTGGGCAGCCCAGCAGGTCAACCAACCACAGCTGTAATCACCCAAGAGGGGACTCAGAGGACAGTCACTGCCGATGGCAGAGAGCAATGGCTGGGCATGAATATGTATGTTTGGGTTTATGCTTGTGAATTATTCGTGTGGTAAAGAGCATCCCAGTTAGTGCTGCCCAGCTCTTCTTGGAAAATCTAGGGGCAAAGCAGAGCCTGCTTCAGGGTCAGTCGCCCCTCTTACCCTTCCAAGTGATGCCCTCAGGCTACAGCTATCCCCCACTCACCTTTCAGCATCTTCACAGCCACTTTCACAAAGGAGCCATCCTCTTGCTTCAGCTGGGCCTCCCGCACTGAACCAAACTCTCCTAGGAACCAATCCAAGTAAGGGAGAGTCTCCTTGGCTCTCTGCTCCCTGCCAACCTTCCTCCCAAGTGACCCTCCATGGGAACACAGTCAGCAGACTCTGGGGCCAGTGGAGAAGGCACCCTTGCCAGTAGCCAAAGCAAGAGCATGCTGGGAGCAGCTCCTCAGCCCTCCCTGTCTCCAGCCACCATTCCCCACAAACATCCCACACTCAGGAGTCTACAAGCATATCTTGTTTACGGCAACCGACCCAAACCCACAGCCTCAAAGTGACAGGGGCAACCAAACACTTCCAGCTACAGCAAACCAGCCATGCCCATCCCCACACAGCCTCACATACCTTTGCCCAACATCCGGCCCAGGGTGAACTGCTGCTCTGGGATGAGCACATCCTCCAGTTTTTCCTTTAGTTCATCGCTGATGCCCAAGCTGTCCACTGTGGGGAAAGGGTTTGTGGGAAAGAGGGATCTCTGATTCCTGAGCCAAAACCCAGCCTCTTATACCCCAGACTCTGCCCTCAGAGCATAGAGATGAGCTTAGGTCTCCCACGGCTGGGGTGGTGAACTCCACACAGGCAGATTTGTGTGCCTGGGGCTCACTGATGTTCAGACATATCAGTCAAATTAATAATTTGGTAAAAGAATGCAGATGGGGCACAAGACAGCCCATTTGTCCTTCCCACGATCACCCACCACTCACATGTGGCCTCGATGCGCTCGGGCCTTTCTCGATTGAAGGACCGGGCTGCCCGGAAGTGAACGGCTGGCTCTCCCCGGGCCATGACACTGTCAAAGGCTTGCCTAAAGGAAAACCCAGGATTTGGGGTCAGCTCCAAGGTCTTTCATCATTACCTGCCTCTCCCTCCACATCCCCATCCCCTTACCCAAACCGCGTCTCTTTCCGTCTCTTTCGAAGCAGGATGAGGGCCAGGGCAGCAGCCGTCACCAGGGCCGTTAGCACACCAAGGACCACAGGTACCCAGGATGTGCGGCTGTGAGGAGGGCCCTGCTGGCCTGTGGGAGGGAGGTGCAGTGGCATGAGCTAGGATGACACCATGAGGTCCCTTCAGAACTTTCCCAGGATGGCCATCCAGCTGGTTCAAGGGGCTCCTCTAGGTCAATAAGGGTCCTGAGGGAAAGGGGCTCCAGAGGAATGCCTAAGAGTCCTTCCTACCTGGTCAGAGACAGGCCCTGGCTGTTGTGACCTAGAGGGTGACCATGGATTTCTATGCCAGTTCTGGGGCAGAGAGAGGAGAATGAGATATAGTTTGTTTGAGACACAGTCTTGTTCTGTTGCCCAGGCCAGAGTGCAGGGGCACAGTTGCAGCTCACTGCAGCCTCAACCTCCTGGGCTCAAGCAATCCTTCCACTTCAGCCTCCCAAGTAGCTGGGACTACAGGTGTGCAACATCACACCTGACTAATTTTTAAATTTTTTTGGTAAAGTCTCACTTTGCTGCCCAAGGTGGTCTCAAACTCCTAGACTCAAGCAATCCTTCCACCTCAGCCTCCCAAAGTTGTGGGATTATAGGTGTGAACCACCACTCCTGGCCTTATTTGTTTGTTTCTTTAGAGACAACAGACTCACTCTGTTGCCCAGGCTGGAGTGCAGTGGTGCAATCATAGCTCACTGCAGCCTCAAACACCTGGGCTCAAGCAATCCTCCTGCCTCAGCCTCTGGAGCAGCTGGGCTTAACAGGCATATGTCACTACACCAGGCTAATTGTTTTTTTTTTTTTTTTTTAATTTTTTTGTAGAGACAGAGTCTTGCTATGTTGCCAGAGCTGGTCTCAAACTGCCGGCCTCAAGCGATCCCTCAACCTCCCAAAATGTTGGGATTACAGGCATGAGCCACCATGCCCAGCCAAGATAGTTTAAACAGCCCTGGCCTCAACTTCTTCACTCTGTCTGTGGGTCTACTAGGAGGGGAGATGCTACTAGGCTCCTCCCATCAGTCTAGGTTGCCCTTGAAAACCTTGATCCCCTGAGCCTCTGCCCCTCTCCACCTACAAGCCTCACCTGCACGGTCATGAGAAGAGACCACCAGTGGCTGACTCCAGGGTCCACAGCCAACTGCATTGGAGACGCACACACGTACGATCAGGTCCTTTTGGGGATCCCAGCCTGTCAAATTGGCCCTGGTCCCCTCCACTGTCAGCTCATCCTGCAGCCAGGAAAAGCCCCCACCCCATAGTGAGCCTGGGGAGAAGGCCTCCAGCTGGGGCCTGAGGACAGAAAAAGGTCCAGCTGGGAACATGGGAGTATAGGGGCACTGTGGGTTCAGGGGCTGCAGGAACACAACCTTCTGGGAGTAATCACATTCCTGTTCCCGGCTGCAGGGGCCTCTCCAGAACACAAACAAGGCTCAGTCCCGGAATGCACAGGTGGGGGATGGGAGCGAACTGAGCTGGGGACAAAGCCTTATCTGTGCCCTCCCCCAGCTCAAGCAGGAATGTGCTTCCTGCTTTATTTACAAAGTGCACACAGGATGCAACCCTAACAGGAGACATAATCCTTTGAGAAGTGGAGCTTGCAGAGGAGGGTGAGGAGGAAAGGATTCCCTGGGGCTGCGGGAGACCCAGGCCCACCAAAGACAATCATTTTGAAATTCTTAAAGGCCTTAGAACCCTGAAGGCTTATACTCCAGGAGAGTGGAGAGAGGGGAGGGTTCTGTCTTACCTGGGTTCCATTGTCTTGAACCCAGGACAGTTTGTAGGGTCCCAGGGGGCCTTCCAAAGGGGCCTCGGGGATCACTTCTTCCCACTCCAAGATGAGGCCTGAATCTGTGCGGATGGCATGGAGGTTTTGGGGAGCGCTGGCTGGGGCTGCAGCCAAAGAGAGAAGATTGCTAAGACCCCTGCCCTTCCCACCATCATAATTCCATGCAGACCTTTGGAATCAACTCCCAAGAACTAAACAGCTCTGAGAGGCACAAACTGGGGAAGGGTTCACCTCCCAGCTCTGACTGCTCTCACCCACTGTGCTGGGGGAGGGGTAAGCAATGGGCAGGACAGGCAGCACCCCAGCTCGGCAGTGTTGCTCTTCATCACCATGGTTACTGCCTTTCTGCCTCACCCCTTACCACTCCCCTCTCACAGCTATGCCAGCCTCTTTGCAATTGCCAAGCAAGTTCCTGTCATAGGGTCTTTGCACTTGCTGTGCCTTCTTCCGGCAGTGATTTTCCCCCAGATATTTACATGGCTTCTTCTTTATCGTTCAGATCCCAGATCCTTCAGATCTTTATCCTTCAGACCTTTTTAGGGGGGGTTTCCTTAACCACCTGGGGACACTCTTTATCAACCACATTATCTGATCTTTTCCAGTTTGCTTATCTGTTCCACCTACAAGAACTACTTACAAGGTGGTATGTAGTTATATGCAGTAAATGTTTGCCGAATGATGCCTGAACCTCCATCTCTACCAGCACCATTCAGAACTCCAGCCAACACGGCCCCCTTCCCGGCTCCAGCCCTGCCCACCCGCTCTGCTCTATGCATCCCTTACCTAGACCCTTGGTCTGAAAGGGCACCCAGTCAGCATAGGGAGAGGGCCCCAAGGCATTGGCACAGCGCACCCTGAGGCTGTAGTTGGTGGCAGGCACCAGGTCCCGGAGCAGGCAGGTAAAGGGGGGCACAGGGACCACAACAGCCAGGACTTCCCAGCCTCCTGGGGCCTGTGTCACCTACAGAAAAGCAGAAAACTAATGATGTAGGGGAGAGCCTGTGAGAGATGGAAGATGGGATGGGTATAGTTATGGGTGCTTGAATGAATGCTTCCTCTATCAGCAAACACTTGCAACCCACGCCCTCCCATCTGCCCCCACCCCAATAATACACAGGGTTCCACATCTTCATACCTTTGCAAATGCTGTTCCTTTCACTTGGAATGACCTGCTCTTCCTAGCAAAGGCCTACTCATCCTTTAAGACTCAGTGCAAATATCACTTTCTTGGTGAAAGCCTTTCTCAACCACTCCAGAAAACTCTTGTCCTTTTGTACTTGGTACGAAACTCTTAGGGTATACTTACCACTTACTGTGCCTGTTTACATGCCACTCCAAAGTTCTAGAGCTTCTGAAGCTCAGAGAAAACTGGGAGCCTAGGGCACTATGAACCAGCCCTTCATCTTACATTTTGGGGGCCCAGGGCAAGAGTACAAAGAGATCCACGTACTATATGTCTAAATATTTAAACATTATAAATCAGCTAACAAACTATTAAATAGTTTCTCTCTTAATATTTTGACCAATAAACCTTCAAAACAACCTGGGAGATCAGGTTTGCATTTGTAACTCTCCAAATCCCTGGAGTCCCGAGTCAGAATGAGGAGGCACTGGAAGAGCTGGCCTGAAGCCAAGGTCTGCACCATGAGGGGCCTCATGTGCACAGGCGTGGACAATGCTGACTGCATATCCAAGCTCCATTCCCATCCCCCTCACGAATGGCTGCCCCTTGGGCTTAGAGGTGGTCATATCACACTGCGGTCCATCCTTGGGAAGATGGAACAGGGAAAAGGCCCACACAGACCCCAGAAGCAGACTCAGAACCATTAGGGCAAGAGATCCTGAATAGCTATAGTATAGTGTGGCAGTGAGGGGGTCCTTGCCATCTGGATGGGCATATCCTCTTGGCCCTGTAGGCTCTTTGCCCCGGGGAAAGGGGTGTGGCCAAAGGAGGGCCAGAGTAGGATCCTCTTTTTTTTTTTTTTTTTTTTTTTTTTTTTAATAGAGACAGGATCTTGCCCTGTCACTCACTCAGGCTGGAGTGCAGTGGCATGATCTCGGCTCACCGCAGGCTTGACTTCTCAGGCTCAAGTCATCCTCCCACTCTAGCCTCCTGAATAGTTAGAAGTACAGGCGCATGCCACTGTGCCTGGATAATTTTTGTATTTTTTGTAGAGAAAGGGTTTTGCCATGTTGCCCAGGCTGGTCTTGAACCCCCAGGCTCAAGCAATCCTCCCGTCTCCACCTCCCAAAGTGCTGGGATTACAGGCAT
The DNA here is from genome assembly GCF_000001405.40 of Homo sapiens. Lineage (NCBI taxonomy): Eukaryota > Metazoa > Chordata > Mammalia > Primates > Hominidae > Homo > Homo sapiens. Next base: position 41,566,048 of record NC_000015.10, on the reverse strand, counting down.
AAGCCACTGTGCCCAACCTCAGTAGGGTTCTCTAAATGGTGGAGCCCAGAGCAGGGGCCCCTCCTGCCCAGGGGAACTGCCCAGAACAGTTTTGAAAGGTACTCATTAAATGGCCTTTGAGTAAACGGATGAAAATGAGCAAGCCTGCATTGCCTCTTGTTTTTAGTATCACCTTACACAGTTTTTCCACTCTCCAAGGCTTAGGGCCCCTTCTGGTCATCTTGTTCTCTTTGGCTTGAGTGGGGGTTGGGGGGTAAGGTGGAGCATGATAGGGTGAGTATCAGCAAAGGTTTGAGCTTTCACCTAAGTAAGAAAAACTCGTCTGGGTGTGCTGGTTCATGCCTGTAATACCAGCACTTTGGGAGGCTGAGGCAGGTAGATCACTTGAAGTCAGGAGTTTGAGATCAGGCTGGCTAATATGGTGAACTACTAGTCTCTACTAAAAATACAAAAAAAAAAAAAAAAAGTTAGCTGGGCGTGGTGGTGCATGACTGTAATCCTAATCCTAGCTGCTGGGGAGGCTGAGGCAGGAGAATCACTTGAACCCAGGAGGTGGAGGTTGCAGTGAGCCGAGATGGCACCACTGCACTCCAGCCTGGCCAACAGTGAGACCCTGTCTCAAAAAAAAAAAGAAAGAAAGAAAAACCTTCCAGGTACCCCAAATCTGTTCTAGTGATCTGCTTTCCAACCTTATGAATGCATGAGTTTGAGCCAATCTGCAAAGTCACTTAGTTGCCAGAGCACCCCATGATAAGAGACAGTGGCCTGTGTTCTTCCTGCTAAGGAGCAGAGCCTGAAAAGAGCTGCAGACCAAGCCCCCAGGAGCTGGCTAGTGAGTGTGATATCCCTGTCAACAAAGTGCTGGCCATGCAGCCAGAACGAGCATGGCCCGGCCCGGAGAGCCTACCTGAACTGTACAGGACTGTAGCAGAGCTCGGCCATCAGCACCTGGCATCCAGGCCACACTAGCGTTGCTGCTGGAAAGCTTTGTCACGGTGATGTTGAAGGGGGCTGCAGGCAGTGCTGTGGACGGGGACTCAGAATCAGTGCCCAGTAGGGATATGAGCAGAGGCAGCAGGAGGCATGGGAGTCAAGCCTTGAGTCTCTCTGAGGGTCCAGGGCATCCCCAACCTAAAGACGGCTACTCAGCACTCCCAGGATCACAGTAGTACACAAATAAGCAACCAGTAGGGCACAGCTGCTCACACCTGGGAGAGTGCCTGGGCTGTGGAGAGAGGTTGCCTCTCCCTGCCACGAAGGCCCTGTGTAACTGAGGAATAAGATGAGAGGGTATGTGGGGGCAGCACCTCAGGCTTGGGAGATACAAGGGAGAGACAGGCAGCTGCCCCTGCAGCCACAGCCTGGCTCCTGCAGACACCCTCTCCCTCCCCCTCTCTCTGTACACCAGCCCTCTGGTCTCCTCCATCCGGTACTAGGCTGTTTTCCCCACCCCCATCCCCTCAAAGGGAGGGGCAGAAACAAGGCTGGGCATGGGCCTTGACCATCTCCTGCTGCCTCCCTCCCTCCTTCCCTCCCTCCCAAGGACTCTGCTTCGTGATGGGAAATCTGCTGTGACGTCAGGATTCTATTCTCATCTCAGCCACGCAGGGTCTCAGGTGCTCCCACTAGGAATGGGAGCTATGCCAATTAACCCCTTGCTCCCTAGATCCCAGCAGGACCACAAGGGGAGCTGGAACACAGAATGATTCTAACTGCTGGACAGCTCGCTGGGAATGCCCCTGGCCTCATCCACCCTTCCTCCCTGCCAGCCCTCCTACCTTGAAGGTGAACAGTGGCTGTGCGAGAAGAGGCCAGGCCTTTTAGGTTGTGAGCTTCACAGGAAAACATGGTGCTCTGGGTCACCCCTGGGGCCAGAAAACCTCAGTCAGCTCCCCAAGCAGCAACCCCACTCAGTGCGGGACTGGGAAAGGGGAATACTCAGGCTCTGGTCTGAACATCCTTAAATCCCTCCTGCCAAAGGAAGGGGCTGGGCAGTGAGGTACGGTGAAATGAACAGGGACACTAGAGTCTGGTGAGCCTGGAGAGGGCTCTGTTTTCTCATCTCTCAAATGGGAGAATTGTGAGAATCAGGTAATGTGTGTCAAGTGCACGGCATGCTAAATAAGCCCTTGAGAAACGTTATACCACCCTCCCACCTCCATCCCATCTCCCACACACAGCACAAATTGCCCCCCTTTTCTGGTCACTCTTTTATTGCGCATACCAGAGTGAGCCCTTCTGTTTGCTCTGTGCCCCCTTGGGGTTGTTATTTGCAGACTCTCTGCCTTGCAGTAGTTCTCAGCTCTTTATGCACATGTCTTGTCTCCCCAGTTATACTCAGTTCTTTAGCTTCTATTTCCTTTGTATTCCCTCTGTCCCCTGTGGTGCCTAGCACAGTGTGGTGTGGAGTAGGAGTTCAGTGAGTGCTTATTATCAGGCTGCCTGCCTGAGGGTCCCAACCACGCACACCTGGAAGGAAGTGAACCCAACCTCCTCTCTAATCTGCTCCAACTCAGCGCCTCCTGAACAGGACCTGCACTTGCTTCCAAGAGGTCTCATAGTCCACCTCTTGTCAAGATTCAAATTGCTGGAGAACCTAGCTCAGCGCCCATTTCCCTGGCACCTTCCAGCACATGAGACCAAGCTCAGACTCCCATCTTTTTTGCCCAATTCAAGCCTCAACCAGAAACAAATAAGCAAGCCTTTGTTTCACAAATAAGCAAGCCTTACAAGCATGTGAGGGTATGTGCCCAAGAAACTTGGGGCCCAGGTGGGTGTGCAGGTGTGACTGTGCAGAGGTATGGACAGACACAGTTGTTTGAGAAAACGTGTGGAGGTTTCCCGGAAAGCGCCATTAGGGGAGGAGGCCCTGTATCTTTGTGCTAACCTCCCCCTACCCCTTCTCTCTCCCTCCTCTCCCCTCTCTGCAGCCTGAGAGTCTTGTCTTCTCAGTGTCTGCCAGATACTCCTCCCTAGTTCTGCGTGGGCTGGTTTCTGGCTCCTTTCCTTGGGAGGGGTGGGGGATGGGTGCCCCTGGTCTCATACAATTCATCTCTGAGGGCCAGCTGTGCATGGCCTGGACTGCTGTGAACCAAAGGTGGCCCCACACCCTCCTTAAGCACACACAGCAGGATCACCACTAATCAGCCCACCCAGCCAGCCTAGCACACCTGACTAATGAGCTTAGTAATGGTGCAGCTCACGTCCCCAGACACTGGGGCTTGCTCTGGACGCTCACAACCGCAAGCTCAGTGGCTGAAACTGCCAGCTTCAGTGCCCTCCAGGACCCAGCTCCTTCTCCACTCCCAGCCCCCTTCTGAGGCTGCTCACCTGTTACATTTAAAACAGATGGAGAGGGAGCGGGTCCCCCGATCTTCGTAGTTCCTCTCCACCAGACAATGGTAACAGGTTCAGGGGGACCCACAGCCTCACAAGACAGTTGGAAAGGGGCATTGGGTGGCACTGCCAGATCTTTTGGCTCCACTGTGAAAAATGGCACACCTAGGAGAGAAGGGGAGTGAGGAGTGAGCCCTGCCACCTCTTGGCTTCCTACTGTACAAATCACAAGTCTGTTTACATCTGAAGTCCTCCACGCAGAAGGTTCCCACAGGCCCCTTATGATTAGGTCAACAGCAGAACAGGCATCTAGCTTGAGAGGTAGGCGGTGCTTCTCTTTTTCAGGCTCCTTAGGAATTTTTTTTTTTTTTTTTTTTTTTTGAGATTGGTCGCGGGGAGGTCTCTCTATGTTGCCCAGGCTGGCCTGGAACTCCTGGGGGCTCAAGTGATCCTCTGGCCTTAGCCTCCGGAGTAGCTGGGACTACAGGCACACGCCACCATGCCTGGCACCTTAGACACATCTTCCATGCTGCCCCCTTAGGCATGGCAGATTTGGACAGCTCTTCTTGCAGTAAGAGAGGAGACTGGGGGTGGAGAGCTGGGAGAGGGGCATAAAACTCAGGGGAGTGGGTGAGAGCTTTAGCAGAGTTCTGCTGCCAGGCCCCAGCTCCCATTCAGGGCCCTTTGTTACTTTCTTAGTCACTTTGTTTTCCTGGGCTGAACAGCTCTGAGCTCCCGCAGCTGCAGAGCCTTCCTCCCCTCCCCCTGCTGGCCAGGCCACTTGGCAGAACAGGGTCCAGTCCCAGATGGATGCTTGAAGCTTGTTGCTCAAGCAACGGAAACAGACTGCACCCCACAGGTTGTGGATCCCAGTTGGTCCCTTGGTTCTCAGATACCCAACTCCAACTGGTAGGGTCTTCCGACATCTGGAGTGGGCCTACAGCCTGGACAACCAGGCCCCACAGAGCAGTGGGGCAGCCCAGCTTCTACTGAGTTCTCCGCTGCAGAGGTATAGTCACCAGCAGACAGCACGTGCTCCAGGCCAACACGCCCATATGGCTCTGCCTCCTCACCTTCTACCGTGAGCCACACTGGCTGGGAGATCTCGGTTTCACCCCCATCCTCCACCTGGCACCAGTACCGGCCGGCGTCAGAGCGCTCCACTGACTTCAGGCTGTGGAAACAGGATACGAGGCTTGCTTCCGAGGGCAAGGGCGGCAGCTCTGCTGGGCAAACTTGATGAGTTCAGCCTGCCCCCACTTCTGGAAGGTCCCACAGGTAGCCAAATAAAAAAACCACAGACCTCTGGGCATCAGGAGAGGGCCCCAGCTCCCAATCCCCAAGGAAAGAGCATAGCCTGCCCCCTGGCTGGCAGCCCACACCTTCCCCCACAGGCCTGCACCTGAGGAAGCCGATCCAGTGCTGCTCGCTGACTGGGATGTACAACTGGTCCAAGTTCTGGACCACAGCCCCATCCTTCACCCACTGGATGTCAGGCTCCTCCATCCCCTCCACACTGCAGTTGAGCTTCACCGGCTGCCCCTGAGACACTGTCAGCTTCACCGGGGCTCCCATGAGCTTCAGACCTGAGGGGTGGGAAGGAACATGTGTCAGCCTTGAGAGGGACTCTGTCTCTGTAAACAGTTCCCATTCTCTTCTAGAAGGTAGCTTCTGTGTCAGACAGAGGGCTCTTTCTCAGCCAAAGTCAAGGAAGCAGAGGTAGGACAGTGTGGAAGGGAAGGTCGCTGGACCTGGGCGAAGGGAAGGGGCATGGCAAGCTCTCCAAGTTCCCTCCGGCTCTAAGGACCTCTTCCCCATGTCCTCCTTCTGAGCCCAGACAGCAAAAGGAAGGCAGGCTGGGCTGAAACGATGGGAGTTACCCTACTGGGGCAGGCACTGCTCTAGGAATGACTGCTGCACCCAACTAGTGCAACAGGCTGCCAGCTCTCCACCCAAGGTGTCAGCCCAGACCCTGAATTGCTGCCAGCACCCTCTGCACCCAACCTTACCAAATGGAGCAGGGCTGAAGAAGGAAAGGAGGGGGTGCTCCCCTGAAGTGGAGAACATATGGCTGCAAAACCACGTCAGATCAAACACATGGCAGCCTTCCTGGCAGCCATCCACTCTATTAATACCTGAATGTGGGCAGGGGCGAGTGCTAGGAAGGTGGGAGGCAGAAGGGAGGGCTGGGGCCCTGAGCAGGGAGCCTAAGACCCCTGAGCCACTGCCACATTAACAGGGGCCACTCTTTGGAACTTGCGTGCGAGCGCGCGCGCGCGCGCGCACACACACACACACACACACACACACACACACACATACACGCACCTCTCCTGGCCTCCTGGCATGTTTTTAAGCAGAGAGAGGGGCAGGTCAAGTATCCACATAACTGAAATCCAGCCCTGCTTCTTCTCACCCTTTGCTGTGTGACTCTAGGCAAAGTCGTGGGCTCCCTGAGCATCAGGTCCGCACCTTTCGGCTTGTAAATACTCGTCACCCCGTTTCCCTTCCCTTCCCTGAGAGGCTGATATGGCAAGGAATGCTGTCTCAAGAGAAGATGCCAGCGGGTGGCCGCTGTCCTGGCCTGTGGCTCTTCCCTGCTCCCTTCACCCTCTCAGGACCAGTCACAGGATGGGGGCCAGCCTCCCGCTCCCTATATGCCCATCAGTCCCCGAGGTGCGGGGTGGGAACTTGGAGAGCACCGTGCTGCATGGAACGCTCTTGTCACCAGCAAATGCCTCAGTGGCTATGTGGGAACACAAGACTAACCCCTCCCAAAGACCAGCAACCTGGCACCAGCCCATCCTCTCCAAGGTTCTGCTTTCAGGAAGCTCTGAGGGCACAGGAACTCGAGTGTGCCCATTTGTTTTTTGTGACTGGGCACCCTCACAGCCCCTGTGTACCTAAATGGTATCAGGGTGGCCTTTGGGTGCCCAGCCCCGGCCCGTGTGGTTTCCGAGGCGGACCTTCGCGTGCGGGGCAGGCAGAATGGGGTCCCCAGTACTGGGAAGGAGGGAGCTAACAGCTGGGAACATCGAGGCGGGAAAATGCAGTCCCAAACACTCCCCGCTGACCACACAGCCCACACCCCGCTCCCTTCTCTTCCACCCCGCCAGAAGAGCCCCGAGCGCCAGAAAGTTGGGGGTGGGGGCCCGGCCGGAGATCTGGCGGCGAGCACTCCGCAGCGTGCCCTGTCCCGGCTCCGAGCCTCGGCCTTCGGCTCCGGACCCCCACCCCGACTCCAGCCCGCCAGGCCCGCCCCGGGCTCCGACCCCCGGCCGCGCCCCTCCGCAGCCCCCCGCTTCCCGCCGCCTCCCGTGCCAGCCCCTACCTGCGGCGGCGGACTCCGGGAGCAGCAGAGAAGCCAGAGCCGCCAGCAGCAGCCCGAGCCGCGGTGGCGGCGGCAGCGGCAGCGGCGGGAGCCCCGGCCGCCCCATGCTCCGCCTCAGCGCCATCGGCGGCGACGCCGCACCATGCCGGGCCCGGCCCGCGAGCGAGGAGGGAGGAGGGCGGGGAGGAGGCGGCGGGAAGGGAGCGGGAGGGAGGAGGGCTGCGGGAGGGGCTGGGGCCGCCCGTGGGGCGGTGCTGAGGCGACCGCCTCCGAGACCCGCGCCCGCCTCCGGCCGCGGTCGCCGCCGTCAGCAGCGCGGGGTCCCCGGGGCCGCTCCCGCGCCACCGCGCTCCTTCCACTGCCGTCGCCGCCGTCGCCGCCGCTGATTCATGTTCTTCTCGGAGCCGCCGCCTCCTCCCGGCCCGCCCGCAGCCCGAGCTCGCACCGCCCCCCCGCGGAGCCCCGGCGACTGGCTCGGAGCGCGAATCCCAGCCAGCGCCGCAAACCCCCGCGGCCCCGCCGGCGCCCCGCCGGCACGCCGGCCCCAGCCGCCCCCTGGCCAAACCTGAGGATCCGGCTTGGCCTCCAGGATGGGCTCCCCGGCCACGCCCCTCCTTTCCCTAAACCCGCTCCGGCATCTTTTCTAACCCAGCCCTCCAGAGCCTTCCCTCAAAACCCCGCTGTCAGCCCCCACCACACCCCAACTCTTGTTCGGACTCTGATCCCAGAATCCAGCATCCCCCTCTCAGGACTTAGAGCACCTCAACCCCTAGACACTCCCATCCATCTGGCTCCCCGAAACTGCCGTGACCCGGGGCTCCCCCAACAGGATCGGCTAGCATCCCTTCGTGCCTCCCTTTCATTGAGCCATTCACCCAAAATCCCCATATTCATGTCCTATTGCCATGCCTTTATCTCCAAGTCCCTCCCACCTGAAAAATGCCCATTTTCTCCAGCCCCAATTGCCGTATGTTTTCCAACTTGGGTCCTGAGTTTCCCAAGATCTTGGTAATCCCCAGGTTTTACCTAATATATATCCCCACCACTACACTACACAGGCCAAAGCCTAATTGCCCGTATCTTTTTGGGCTGTCATTTTTCCTGGTTGCTTCCCCTGCTTCTACCCCTTTTCCCAGGACCTGGTGTGAAAGTTGGCTGTGTCGTCACACTGTCCAGTCAAACATTAGCTATTATTAGTAGACCACCTTGCACACAGTAGGCTTTCCATAAATAAATAGGCAGATGCCTGTTAAATGAATGAATAATTGCTTCAGAGCCTGCCCCACAACCAGTAATCACGAGGGTGGCCTTGCCCACAGACATCCTGTTAGGCACATGCAGAGCTGGTTCCAAACCAAGCCTACCAAGTGTGCTCCTCCCCTTGCCCTTCCCTCCAGGGGGAAGCCCACCCCACACCCCTTCCAGAGGTCCTGGGTAGAGAGGAGGGACCAGCCACTCAGCTCCGGTTGCCGCAGGCTCACTGGATCTTTTCAGGGATTCTCCTGAGCAGCAGGGGCCTGCCTCTTCTTCCACTTGGCCCCAGCAGTGCTTGTTTATTAATTACCCTAATGATAACAACAGCAGTGCTGGCAGCAGCCTGAGACCCAGCTGGGGGCGCCCCCAGGCGGCAGCAGGAGGAGAGACTCATGAGGCACTGTCAAGACATGGATGGCAGGGGCCAGATATCTCTGTCTCTGTTTCTTTCTTTTTTTTTTTTTAATTGGCATATTTGTTTATTTCTCAGTTTGTGAAAATGTTCTTAATTTGTTGATGTAGCAAACAAATTTCAACTTTGATTGCTATGAAAAAAACAAGATAATCTGCTTTGCAATGAACTTTATATAGTTAAACTGCATACAGGCAACATGCTATATATGAAAAAGTTACTAACTGATCTACAGGTATTACATACTGAAAAGAGTTAACAGTTTATTATAATTTATTTTATTTAACAATCTAGGAAGTTCGCAGCCATCAGCAGTTCTAGTACAATTTCAGGTGCAATTGGGAATTCAGGAATCTCGATGGAGCTGTTAGTGTAGCGAACCTTGTAGGTAAAATACATGCATACTTTCGATAGCACATGTGAAGGTATCTCTCTAAAATTGACCTCATTGGTTTCGTTCTCAGCAAACTGACCTCACAGCATAAACAAAAATTAACTTAAGACCAAAGACCTAAATTTAAAAGCCAAACCCATAAAACGCCTGGGCCACTCAACATGGCTTTTATCGTGCCTGATGTTAATGCATGTTCTCTTTTTACAATAAATTCATGGCCATCAGATGATATCAATTTGACATACGTGGCATCAGGGCCTTCACAGCCACCATAGGTTTTCTCCTCTCCATCCATTTTGTTCTTATGAAATTCTACTTTGCTTCCCCAGGAACTTTAGTAGTTTCCTGGTGAGGCGAGGACACAGAGTGTGTGGCTCACTTCCGTCTCCTCTGTCTCTGTTTCACTGAGCTCTCTGGCAATTATGTTCTTCTTCCTTCTTCCTTCTTCTTCCTTCTTTCTTCTTCTTCTTCCTCTCCCTCTCTTCCCCTTCCCCTTCCACTTCCCCTTCCCCTCCTCCTCCTCCTATTCTTCTCTGCTTCTTCCTCTTCCTCTCTTTCTTCTTCTTCTTCTTCTTTTTTTTTTTTAGATGAAGTTTCACGCTTGTCGTCCAGGCTGGAGTGCAATGGTGCGATCTTGGCTGACTGCAACCTCCACCTCATGGGTTCAAGCGATTCTCCTGCCACAGCCTCATGAGTAGCTGGGATTACAGGTGCCCACCACCACGTTCGGCTCATTTTTGTATTATTAGTACAGACAGGGTTTCACCATGTTGGCCAGGCTGGTCTCAAACTCCTGACCTTAGGTAATCCGCCCACCTCGGCATCCCAAAATACTGGGATTACAGGTGTGAGCCACTGTGCCTGGCCTCTCTGCCAATTTTCTTGAGCACTGTGGGTCAGCTTCAGGACCCTTTCCCAAAGGAAAAGTCTCGTTACTTTCCAGAATCCACAGTTTCTGAGTTTGGGCTGAGTCAGGGCAGGCAGACAATAGTCTGGGGCCGAAGGCAGAATTGCCTGGGCTGCTCTTGGGCACTTGTCACTTTTCCAAGCCCTCTCTCCCGCCTTTTCTCTGAGGGGGACTTCAAGTTTCCAGTGAAGGGGAGCCTCCTCCTCTTGATTCCAGCTGACATTAGTAAGATTCATTCTAGAGGATGTTGGACCCAGAGCCCAACCCAGCCTTTTACTTCCTTATCTCTCTTCATTCCCTCCGCACCATTTCCTGAGCTGATAGGGAATCCCACCCTAAAGGCCATCCTTTTCTACTGGTCAAAATGGGCTTCTCGGACATGTGATGGATGCCACTTACAGCCTTGACAAACTTCCCACCTCAGCCACCAGCCTGAGATACATCACTGTCACAGAGGCAGCACACTTTCTGTGTGGGACAGGGGGCCCTGAGTTCCTGCTTCCCCTACCCCTAATTCTAAATCTCTCTCAATTCATAGTATTTCTTTTTTTTTTTTTTTTTTTGAGACGGAGTCCCGCTTTGTCACCCAGGCTGGAGTGCAATGGCGTGATCTCGGCTCACTGCAACCTTCGCCTCCCAAAGTGCTGGGATTACAGGCATGAGCCACCTTGCCCAGCCGTAGTATTTCTACTTACAGGGGCAGAGAGGAGGCCGGGAGCAGTGACTCACACCTGTAATCCCAGCACTTTGGGAGGCCTAGGCAGGCGGATCATGAGGTCAGGAGTTCGATACCAGCCTGGCCAACATGGTGAAACCTCATCTCTACTAAAAATACAAAAATTAGCTGGATGTGGTGGCGGCTGCCTGTAATCCCAGCTACTTACTGAGGAGGCTGAGGCAGGAGAACCACTTGAACCTGGGAGACGGAGGTTGCAGTGAGCCGAGATTGCGCCATTGCACTCCAGCCTGGGCGACAGAGCATGACTCCATCTCAAAAAAAAAAGAAAGAAAGAAAAAAAAAGGGCAGAGAGGAGTGGGGGGTCCTGGTCTTCTGACTTTTCAGCTCCTACAGAGGTTTGACCTCCTGAGCCCTTCTAACCCATTCTCCTTGCTTATCTCCCCCACCTTTCTCTCTCTGGGCACAGTACAGGAATGTGCTTCTAAGGGTATGTGAGCAGGTGTGATTTTGTGGAAGAGACATGTAGGTGGATGAGAGGGTGTGCATTGTGATGTATGAGGGAGGGTGTGCATTTGTGCAAATTCTAAATGTGACTGATGCTTTGTGGGCGGATGGGAAGAAAGTGTGTGCGTGTGGGTGTGGAGGTGTGTGTGTGTCTGTGTGTGACTGGAGGAGGTTGGCTGCCTGTGCAAATGCATGCCTGCAAAAGCTCTTCTTCTTCCATAAATGCATTGTTTGGAAGGAAACTAATAAAATCAACAGGAAATGTTTTTGACCTAATGCGGGAGTGGCTGTCCCAGGAGTTCCTGTCCTTAGAACAGAACCAGAAGCAGCTATACTCTATTCCAGAGGAGTAAGAAGGGGCCGCAAGGGTGGAGGAAGACTGAGTGAGAGGAAGGGCCAGCGGCAGCCCCTGATTATGGATGGGACTAGGTTGGGCACAGCATCTCACTAATCTAGTAAAATAACTCTCTGCCCACTCTCAGCCTTTTATGACCCAGAACTGTTCAAGGAGGCCAAGGATCCAGAGAAGATGAAGACAAACCTGGAGATAAAAACCATTGTCCACAGAAGCAGGGCACTCTGCTACCAACTTCCGGCACTCTGAAGAAGCAGCTGTTTCAGCTTTTTCAGAGTTAAGGCCTTCTGCCCCACCCCTAGAGTGGGGGAAACAAGAGGAAACCATGGTGAGCTGCAGGATCATGACAGTCTCACTGGTCATATAACCAAAGACCTGTTCTTTCCCAACTACTGTCTCAAGAGATAAGAGTTGCCCAGGCGTGATGGCTCCCACCTATAATCACAGCACTTTGGGAGGCTGAGGCGGGAAGATCACCTGAGGTCAGGAGTTCAAGACCGGCCTGGCCAACACGGTGAAACCCTGTCTCTACCAAAAATACAAAAATTAGCCAGATGTGGTGGCGCATGCCTGTAGTCCCAGCTACTTGGGACACTGAAGTGGGAGGATCACTTGAGCCCGGGAGGTGGAGGCTGCAGTGAGCTGAGATGGTGCCACTGCACTCCAGCCTGGGTTACAGAGCGAGATCTTGTCTCAAAAAAAAAAAAAAAAAAAAAAAAAAAAAAGAGGTGAGAGTGGGCAAGTTCCACTCAAGGGATGGGGGGATGGGGCAGGCCACAGACTATGTTCCTCACCTTAGAGAAACCTCTGGGACTGGTAGAAACATTACCTATATGTGTAATTCCACATGTGCTGGGGACTGTTGCTGTCCCTGTCAAACACCCACTGCCTGAAATTCCTAAGCCAGAAACAATGCAACTTCTTGCCCCATCAAAGATGACACAGAAATGTAAATTCCTAAGAAGACCACACTTTGACTTTCAGTCACAGGAAATATTTCAAATGATCAGATTTCCCTCCAAAAGCAGATTTAGGAAGCAGTAGAGCAATAAGGTTGCGGTTTCTGAAAGGGCAGATGGGTCCAAACATGGAAGAAAAACTTTCATCTTCAAAATTTCACCTAAAGATGGCTGTGGAAGAGTTTTGTGTGTGTATGGACACGTGTGTATGTGTGTGTGTATGTGTGTGTGCCTGTGTGTATGCGTGTGTGCGTCTGTATGTATATGTGTGTGTATGCATGTGCGTGTATGTATGTATGCTTGTGTGTGTGCCTGTATGTGCATGTGTGTTAATGCCTTGTATCTGGCTGGCTGTCTTTCTCTATTTGACCCTCTTTAACTGCAGCCTGGTCAGTGAGGGTTTTCTGGCTCTATTTTCTTATTTTATATGTGTATGTATGTATGTACATATTTATTTATTGAGACAGAGTCTCGCTCTGTTGTCCAGGCTGGAGTGCAGTGGCACGATCTCAGCTCACTGCAACCTCTGCCTCCCAGGCTCAAGCGATTCTCCTGACTCAGCCTCCTGAGTAGCTAGGATTACAGGCTCATGCCACCATGCCCAGCTAATTTTTGTATTTTTAGCAGAGACAGGGTTTCATCACGTTGGCCAGGCTGGTCTCGAACTCCTGACCTTGTGATCTGCCCACCTCGGCCTCCCAAAGTGTTGGGATTACAGGCATGAGCCACTGCACCCAGTCATATTATTTTGTATTATGGAATATTTCTTTTTCTTTTTTTTTTTTTTTTTTTAAGACTGAGTCTTGCTCTGTCACCCAGGCTGGAGTGCAGTGGTGCTATCTCAGCTCATTGCAACCTCGGCCTCCCGGTTCAAGCGATTCTTCTGCCTCAGCCTCCCGAGTAGCTGGGACTACAGGCACATGCCACCATGCCCAGCTAATTTTTGTATTTTTAGTAAAGATGGGGTTTCACCATATTGGCCAGGCTGGTCTTGAGCTCCTGACTTGTGATCCACTTGCCTCGGCCTCCCAAAGTACTGGGATTAGAGTCGTGAGTCACTGTGCCCAGCGGAATATTTCAAACATACATGCAAGTAGAGAGAACAGTATAATGAGTGAATCCCCAGTGTACCTGGCATCCTGCTTCAATGACTATCTTAGTCAATTGTATTTCATTGTCCTAGTTTGTTGTTTTGCTGGGTTTTTTTTTTCTTCAACTTTTATTCCTAACCGCTAGACAACCAGAGATTGCTAAAGTTTGTTTTTTTTTTGTTTGTTTTTTTTTTTTTTGAGACAGAGTCTTGCTTTGTCACCCAGGCTGGAGTGCAGTGGCGCTATCTCGGCTCACTGCAAGCTCCACCTCCTGGGTTCACACCATTCTCCTGCCTCAGCCTCCTGAGTAGCTGGGACTACAGGTGCCCGCCACCACGCCCGTCTAATTTTTTATATTTTTAGTAGAGACGGGGTTTCACCGTGTTAGCGAGGATGGTCTCGATCTCCTGACCTCGTGATCTGCCTGCCTCAGCCTCCCAAAGTGCTGGGATTACAGGCATGAGCCACCACTCCCAGCCGGATTGCTGAAGTTTCTAAAAGCAAATCTTAGCCATATAATTTCAGCTGTAAATATTATAATATATATCTGTAACAGGTAGACTTAAAAAAAAAAAAACTGACCTGGCCTGGCGCGGTGGCTCACACCTGTAATCCCAGCACTTTTGGAGGCTGAGGCAGGTGGATCACGAGGTCAGGAGATCGAGATCGTCCTGGCTAACACGGTGAAACCCCGTCTCTACTAAAAACACAAAAAATTAGCCGGGCGTGGTGGTGGGCACCTGTAGTCCCAGCTACTTGGGAGGCTGAGGCAGGAGAATGGCGTGAACCCGGGAGGCGGAGCTGGCACTGAGCCGAGATTGCACCACTGCACTCCAGCCTGGGCAACAGAGCGAGACCCCATCTCAAAAAAAAAAAAAACTGACCCATATATACAGATGATTACATAGAGAAAGTTATAAATATGTGTGTATACTGTAGTATATACATATATTCACTTACTCTGACAGTTGAGAAGGTCCAAAAAGCAAGACACCCCAGTAGCAATGAGCATACTTACCACGCAGATCTTAGTTTAATATTATTATTATTATTATTATTATTATTATTATTAGAGATGAGGGTCTCCCTTTGTTGACCAAGCTGATCTCAAACTCCTGGCCTCTGGCTGTCCTCCCATCTAGGCCTCCCAAAGTGTTGGGATTGCAAGTGTGAGCCACTGTGCCTGGCCCAGATCTCGGTTTCTAATACCATTCTCCAATAACAGTTATTCTCTAATAACTTCTTCAAGAGTCCTTGAAGAAATGACTGATTCTAGGATTGGGGCAGGAAATATACAAGAGGAGCTATTTCCTTACTTTCTTGTAATGCCAGAACGTAAGGAAATGCACACACGCACCCCGACAGGGTATAGTAAAAGGTCATTGGAGAGGTGAAAAAATTTGAGCAACAAAATAAAATAGTATTGGCTGGGTGTGGTGGCTCACACCTGTAATCCTAGCACTTTGGGAGGTTGAGGTGGGTGGATCACTTGAGGTCAGGAGTTCGAGGTCAGCCTGGCTAATATGGAGAAACCAAACCACATCTCTACTAAAAATACAAAATTAGCTGAGTGCAGTGGCACATGCCTGTAATCCCAGCTACTTGGGAGGCTGAGGCAGGAGAATTGCCTGAACCCAGGGGCTGGAGATTGCAGTGAGCTGAGATTGCGCCACTTCACTCCAGCCTGGGCAAAAGAGCGATACTCTGTCTCAAAAAGTAAATAAATAAAATGAAATAGTATTAAATCACAAACCAATATATAAAAGCCTGTATCTATATTAATAAATAAATCAATGGGGGCCGGGTGCGGTGGCTCACGCCTGTAATCCTAGCACTTTGGGAGGCTGACACAGGTGGATCCCTTGAGGTCAGGAGTTTGAGACCAGCCTGGCCATCATGGTGAAACCCCGTCTCTACTAAAAATACAAAAAATTAGCCGGGTGTGTTGGTGTGTGCCTGTAATCCCAGCTACTTGGGAGGCTGAGGCAGGATAATTGCCATAAAAGAGAGGCAGAGGTTTCAGTGAGCCGAGATCGCGCCATTGCACCCCAGCCTGGGTAACAGAGCCAGACTCTGTCTCAAAATAATAATAATCAATCAATCAATCAATGGGGAACACAGACCTCTTCCATGCAGAAGAATTCCAAATAATGTATGTAGGCGCTCCACCCACATGGAGGCGGAGCACGACTGCCCACTCATTGTGATCTGCACATAGTGACATACTACGTGATCTGCACATAGTATGAAAAGCAGGGGTGAAAGAGTAACTTTACAGTGGAGAAACTTGACAAACATTACCTCAGCCGGTGATTAAGGTTAATACCACTAGTGATAAGACATGTTGATAGTACGTACCCTTAACAGGATGTAATAAAATTGGCAGGGTAACCTGTGGTCTTCCTCTCAAAAACCTATAACCCCAGTCTAATCATGAGAGAAACATTAGACAAATTCTAATTGAGAGGCATTCCTTTTTTTTTTTTTTTTTTTTTTTTTTTGAGACAGAATCTCACTCTGTTGCTCAGGCTGGAGTGCAATGACGCAATCTCAGCAACCTCCACCTCCCAGATTCAAGGGATCCTCCTGCCTCGGCCTTCCAAGTAGCTGGGTTACAGACACGTGCCACCACTGGCTAATTTTTTTGTGTTTTTAGTGGAGACAAGGTTTCAGCATGTTGGCCAGGCTGATCTCAAATTCCTGACCTCAGGTGATCCACCAGTCTTGGCCTCCCAAAGTGTTGGGATTACACACATGAGCCACCATGCCAGGCCTCCAACTGAGGGGCATTCTACAAAACACCCTACCAGTATTACTCCAAGCTGTAAAAGTCATCAAAAATATAAAAAGTCTATGAAATTGTTATAGCCAAGAGGCGCCTAAGGGGACTTGACAACTAAATGTAATGTAGGTCTGGCACAGTGGCTCACACCAGTAATCCCAACAGTTTGGTAGGCCGAGATGGGAGGATCCCTTGAGGCTGGGAGTTCAAGACCAGCCTGGGCAAGATGGCAGGACTCTGTCTCTACGAAAATAAAAATAAAAAATTAGCCAAGCCTGATGGCACACACCTGTGGTTCCAGCTACTTGGGTGGCTAAGGTAGGAGGATAGCTTGAGCCCAGGAGGTTGAAGCTGTGGTAAACTGTGATTGTGCCACTGCACTCCAGCCTGGGCAACAGAGGAGACCCTGTCTCAAAAATAAATAAAGGCCCAGCATGATGGCTCATGCCTGCAATCCTAGCACTTTGGGAGCCCAAGGCTGGCAGATCACTTGAGGTCAGGAGTTCGAAACCAGCCTGGCCAACATGGTGAAACGCTGTCTCTACAAAAAATACAAAAATTAACAGGACATGGTGATGGGTGCCTGTAATCTCAGCTACACAGGAGACTGAGGCACGAGAATCTCTTGAACCTGGAAGGTGGAGGTTGCAGTGAGCTGAGATTGCGCCACTCCATTCCAGCCTAGGCGACAGAGCGAGACTCTGTCTCAAAAAATACATACATACATAAATACATACATAAAAATAAATGTAATGTGGTATCTTTGATGTGATCCTAGAAAAGAAACAATGGCCGGGCGCAGTGGCTCACGCCTGTAATCCCAGCACTTTGGGAGGCCGAGGCGGGTGGATCACGAGGTCAGGAGATTGAGACCATCTGGCTAACACGGTGAAACCCCGTCTCTACTAAAAATACAAAAAAATTAGCTGGACATGGTGGCGGGCGCCTGTAGTCCCAGCTACTCGGAGGCTGAGGCAGGAGAATGGCGTGAACCCGGGAGGCGGAGCTTGCAGTGAGCCGAGATCACGCCACTGCACTCCAGACTGGGCGACAAAGTGAAAAAAAAAATTATTCTTTTGCCAGGTGCAGTGGCTCACTCCTGTGATCCCAGCACTTTGGGAGGCTGAGGCAGGCGGATCACCTGAGGTCAGGAGTTTGAGACCATCCTGGACAACATGGCGAAACCCCGTGTCTACTAAAAGTACAAAAATTAGCTAGGCGTGGTGGTGGGCACCTGTAATCCCTGCTACTTAGGAAGCTAAGGCAGGCGAATAGCTTGAACCCGGGAGGTGGAGGTTGCAGTGAGCTGAGATTGCACCATTGCACTCCAGCCTGGGCGACATGAGCGAGACTCCGTCTCAAAAAAAAAAAAATTCTTTTTAGCGACAAAGTCTCATTCTGTCACTGAGGCTGGGGTGCAGTTGTGCAAACAGCTTGCTGCAGCCTCACATTCCTGGGATCAAGCTATTCCCCCGCCGCTGCATCGCTAGGACTATAGGTGCCACCACACCCAGCTAATTAAAAAAAATTTTTTTTATAGAACAGGGTCTTCCTACGTTGCCCGGGCTGGTCTTGAATTCCTGGCCACAAGCAATACTCCTGCCTCAGCCTACCAAAGTGCTGAGATTATAAGCATGAGCCACCACACCCAGTCTTTGAAACAAAAAAACATAGTCTTACCCAATAAAAATTTCATAAATCCTCGCTGGGTGTGGTGGCATGCACCTGTGGTCCCAGCTACTTGGGAGGCTGAGGTGGGAGGATCACTTGAGCCTAGGAGGTCGAGGCTGCAGTGAGTCATGACAGCACCACTGCACTCCAGCCTCGGTGACAAAGCAAGACCCTATCTCAAAAAAAAAAAAAAGTAAATCCTTAATATCATACAAAATCTAGTTTATATTTAGTATTCCCTAACAGTCTCAAAAAAACAGTTTCAAAAATGAAGATATAAACAAAGACCGCATTTCATATGTTATAGTCTCTGCCCAGTGCAGTGGCTTACACTTGTAATCCCAGCATTTTGGGAGGCTGAGGTGGGCAAATCACCTGAGGTCAGGAGTTTGAGACCAGCCTGACCAACATGGTGAAACCCTGTCTCTACTAAAAATACAAAAATTGGCTGGACGCAGTGGCTCACGCCTGTAATCCCAGCACTTTGGGAGGCCGAGGTGGGTAGAACACCTGAAGTCAGGAGTATGAGACCAGCCTGGTCAACATGGTGAATTGAAACCTTGTCTCTACTCAAAATACAAAAATTAGCCGGGCATGGTGGCATGTGCCTGTAACCCCAGCTACCTGGGAGGCTGAGGCAAGATAATCACTTGAACCCAGGAGGCAGAGTTTGCAGTGAGCCGAGATCACACCATTGCCCTGCAGCTTGGCAACAAGAGCGAAACTCCGTCTCAAAAAAAAAAGAAAAAAGTTAGCCAGGTATGGTGGCACACGCCTGTAATCACAGCTACTTAGGAGGCTGAGGCAGGAGAACCACTTGAACCCAGGAGGCGGAGGCTGCAGTGAGCCGAGATCATGCCACTGCACTCCAGCCTGGGCAACAGAGCAAGACTCCATCTCAACAACATAAAATAAAATAAATAATAAATAAATAGTCTCGGCTGGTGCAGTGACTCATGCCTGTAATTCCAGCATTTTGGGAGGCTGCGGCGGGTGAGTCACTAGAGCCCAGGAGTTTGACACCAGACTAGGTGACATGGCAAAACCCTGTCACTACAAAAAATAAAAGAATTAGCCACGTTTGGTTCAGGCCTGTGATCCCAGCTATTCAGGAGGTTGAGGCAGGAGAATCGCTTGAGCTCAGCAAGCAGAGGGAAGCAGAGGTTGCAGTGAGCTGAGGTTGCACCACTGCACTCCAGCCTGGGCAACAGAGCAAGACCCTATCTCAAAACAGTAGAAAAGATTCATCAGTAAGTTCATATAATGGCAACCTGATCCATCCATATAAAGTCTGCATCAACCTTTCACCTAGTTGTTAAACAATGACTGTTAAAACTATTAGGTCAAAGGTTGATGAAGACTTTATATGAGGCTGGGTGTGTTTTCCAACCTTAGCAGGCACCAAAATTAAGTGGAAGGCTTGTTAAAACAGAATGCTGGAGCTGGGGATGGTGGCTTATGCCTATAGTCCCAGCATTTGGGAGGCCAGATCACCTGAGGTCAGGAGTTCGTGACCAACCTGGCCAACATGGTCCAACCGTGTCCCTACTAAAAATACAAAACTTAGCTGGGCGTGGTGGCACCATTGCCAGGAGCCATTATCTCGTTATTTCATTGCGAACAATTATTTTCTACTATCATTCATTCTGCATATTTGGCTCCAGTTCCTCTCCCTCATCCCGCTGCCTCCATAACTTCTGACCAGGTCTAGTACTATTTTGGACCTCAAGATGACTAAATCCTAGTAGCCGAAATTTACATCTGTAGTTGAAGCCAAGAGGATTATAGATCTGCTATAGTGCGGGACCAGCAGCATCACCTAGAAACTTGGTAGAAATACAAATTTTGGGGCTCTATTAGAAACCTACTGAATCGGCTGGGCACGGTGGCTCACGCCTGTAATCCCAGCACTTTGGGAGGCCAAGGCGGGCAGATCACGAGGTCAGGAGATGGAGACCATCCTGGCTAACACGGTGAAACCCTGTCTCTACTAAAAATACAAAAAAGTAGCCCGGCATGGTGACAGGTGCCTGTAGTCCCAGCTACTCAGGAGGCTGAGGCAGGAGAATGGTGTGAACCCGGGAGGTGCAGGTTGCAGTGAGCTGAGACTGCGCCAGTGCACTCCAGCCTGGGCGACAGAGCGAGACTCTGTCACAAAAAAAAAGGAAACCTACTGAAACAGGCCAGGTGCAGTAGCTCATGCCTGTAATCCCAGCACTTTAGGAAGCTGACGTAGGTGGATCACCTGAGGTCAGGAGCTCGAGACCAGCCTGGCCAACATGGTGAAACCCCGTCTCTACTAAAAATACAAAAATTAGCTGGGCATGGTGGCGGGCGCCTGTAATCCCAGCTACTCGGGAGGCTGAGGCAGGAGAATCACTTGAACCCAGGAGGAGGTTGCAGTGTGCCGAGATCATGCTATTGCACTCCAGCCTGGGCGACAAGAGCAAGACTCCGTCTTAAAAAAAAAAAAAGAAAGAAAAAGAAAAACCTACTGAATCAGAAACTCAGAGGTTGAGGCCCAGCAATCTGTTTCGTTTTGTTTGAAACAGAGTCTGGCTCTGTGGCCCAATCTGGAGTGCAGTGGTTCCATCTTGGCTCACTGCAACCTCCGCTTCCCAGGTTCAAGTGATTCTCCTGGCTCAGCCTCTTGAGTAGCTGGGACTACAGATGGACACCACCATGCCCTGCTAATTTTTATATTTTTAGTAGAGATGGGGTTTCACCATGTTGGTCAGGCTGGTCTCGAACTCCTGACCTTAGGTGATCTGCCAGCTTCAGCCTCCCAAAGTACTGGGATTATAGGCATGTGCCACTGTGCCTGGCCCCAGCAATCTGGTTTAACAAGACTTCCAGTTGATTCTGGTGCCTGTTAAAGTTGGAAAGCCACTGGACTAACATTGGCTGCCCCATGATGTCCTTTGGTCTAGAAATGATTTACTTAAGGTCCTACTATGTGCATGGCAACACGTTGGGTGCTCAGTATTTAGATGCAAAGTACAAGGTCTGGTGCCCACAAGGAACTGACAGTCTATTCAAGGGAACAGGACATAAGCCTGTGAAAAGGTAACCGGTGACAGTTGGTAGTTGGCAGTGTGTTCTTAGCATACCACACAACTGGTGCAGGCGGTGAGATTCCAGGTGAATCCAAGGAAAGTTTGGTGAGTAGGCGTGGCTGGCAGAGGTTTTAGAGTTGACGCCAGCTAGGCCTTAAAGAGTTATCCTTTGGAGACAGGGGTGGCAGGGAAAAGAGGGAGGATTTCCAAGAAGGGAGAGTGGGATGAACAAAGGCAAGATTCTGGAGAAGATGATAACCTTGCTAGCAAGGAAGCTTTATTCCCTCTCTTCTCACCACCACTATTTCTGCAGTGCACACTGGCAGTGTTCTTTCCTTGGGCCTTTTTCATGGTTACCTTCTAGCTCTTCCATAAACACATTCGTCACGTTGGGGTGTGTGTGTGTGTCCACGTTTCTGTGTGCTGCCGTGGGCGTGGGTGCTGGGATGTGGGATGTGGTAACACTGGCTGGTGAGTGCAGAGGGACGTCTGAGGAACGCTGTGTCCCTGCCAGGGGTGTCGTAAGTGCAGAAGGGGCTGTGCCTGCTGTACATCAGAAGCATGTGTGGGCCAGGCGCGGTGGCACATCCTGTAATCACAGCACTTTGGGGGGCCGAGGCGGGCGGATTACCTAAGGTCGGGAGTTCGAGACCAGCTTGGCCAACATGGTGAAACCCCGTCTCTACTAAAAATACAAAAATTAGCCAGACGTGGTGGCGGGCACCTGTAATCCCAGCTACTCGGGAGGCTGAGGCACAAGAATCGCTTGAGCCCGGGAGGCGGAGGTTGCAGTGAGCCGAGATTGCGCCACAGCACTCCAGCCTGTGCGACAGAGCAAGACTCTGTCTCAAAAAAAAAAAAAAAAAAAAAGGATGTGTGTTCTGGGTGATGGTATAGAGCTTACGTGGGGGTAATAAACCGCCAGCCGCGCAGCACCGCGCTCACCAGTCCGCTGCACTGAACAAGCAAAGCCCAGAATGCTCCGAGATAAGACCGGGAGAGGCGGGGCTGGGCTGCGGGGCGGAAGCTGGAATCTGGCGGCGGCGGAAACGCGATCTCTGCGGGGCAAGATGGCGGCGCCCAGACAGGCCTGGAGCACGTAGGTGGCGGGGCTGGAGGGACGGATTTCAGGTGATCTGGGAGGAGGACCCAGGGTAGCGTGTCCAGTTTCTTTGCTGGAACCTGCCTGCGGGCCTTTGGTCTGTAAGGGAGCAACTGTGGCCTCCTCTGTGCATAGATCTCGGGCACGGCCCTTCAACGGGCGGCGAAAGCTGCGACTCGATGATTCCTCATTGTAGAGTTGGGTGGTCCAGGAGGCTTAACTGGAGCCCTTGACCTGAGCGGTAAGGGCAGTCACGCGTCCCGACTCGGGATTGGATCCTGGCTCTGGAGGATAGGCTGCAATGTAAGAGCCCCAGAGACTCCTCAGAGGCCAACATAAACCCAGAGGTCCATTGTTAGGACTACTTTTTTTTACGAGTTACTCTTTAGGCATTACTCTTTAGGATTACAGGCGTGAGCCACCGCGCCCGGCCAACCCATTCTTATTCTATTAATAACTGAAAATGTTATCACTTCTAGCACTGATTGGTTCTGGACAAATCTGCGCTGGATTTGTGGGGAAACACACTGGTGGCTTTACTTAGGACTAAAATAATTGTTACTGAGGTTTATTTATATAAGTAACAGGCACTGGGCTAGGCGTTTTGCGTGTATAGTCATTTAAATCCTCACACATTTCCTATTATATAGGACCTGTTACTCACATTTTACAGTTGTGGAAATGGGACTTAAGACAGCATAGAGGCCGCGCACGGTGGCTCACGCCTGTAATCCCAGCACTTTGGGAGGCCGAGGCGGGCGGGTCACCTGAGATCAGGAGTTCGAGACCAGTCTGGCCAACATGGTGAAACCCCGTCTGTACTAAAAAAATACAAAAAATTAGCCGGGCGTGGTGGCAGGCGCCTGTAATCCCAGCTACTCGGGAGCCTGAGGCAGGAGAATCACTTGAACCCAGGAGGCGGAGGTTGCAGTGTGCCGAGATCGTGCTATTGCACTCCAGCCTGGGCAACAAGAGGGAGAATCTGTCTCAAAAAAAAAAAAAAAAAAAAAAAAAGGACAGCATTGATAATTTGCCTAATTTCGCACATTTAGTGCATTTAGTAAGTAGCGGAACTGGTATTTGACTTCTGGCCTATTGATTCCAAAACTGGTGCCCATAACCCCCTGGCTCTCTTTGTGATGTAGGTATGGCGCACCCTATGAAGTGAGCTGGACTTTGCTTTTGGATCACATGAATCCATGGATAAGTAGGAATTGTTTCTGCTTATGTAGACTCTTATAGGAGTGAATTGTTACCATACTATGGATTCTCAGTTCATCTAGTTCAGCCTTCCTTAGGGCCTTTGGGTAGGCATTGGGGTAGGAGACTTTTTCCTTGTTTGTTGGTCAGACTGCCCAACAATTAGATATGGTTATCTGCCCTTTGGCTATATAAATAATAAGAATCATAACTGGCGTTTGTGTCCTTTCATGTATGAGACTCTGTTCTAATCTTCTTACATATATATAATTAATTCAGGAGGTAGGTACAGTTATCTTCATGTTACAGATGAGGAAACAAGCACAGTAACTTCAGTAAAATACCTTGCTTAAGCTTACACAGTTAGTAAATGGCAGAGCCTGGATTTGAACACAGGCAGTCCATTTTCATACTGTTTACCTCCCATCCAGGAAAAGGCACATCTGTATACTTCGCTGTTGTCATGCTACAAATAGTAATTAATACAAGTTCTATGCCAAATTTAAGATGAAATTTTGTAGACAGGTCTTTGCTCACTTCATCCACTTCCTTCAGTTCTCTACTTATCTAAGTTTTCTCTTTCAATATTGACCTCTATTTTTAACCTTTAGGGATTTTTCCCACCTCTGAAATCGTGTAGCACTGATCTTCTATGCAATTAATTTCATCACTGGGATGTACTGCCTTGTAAATTTATATGTGTGTTTACCATATTCTCTCACCCCAACTTTGGGTACATCATTGACCAAAGGAAGACCTTTACAATCTTGGAGACATCATTTAAACTGTAAACCTTTGGAATTTCTAGACTTGTGTGGGCAAAGAGAGATAATGAAGTGGGAAATTATTAAAAGACCCAGCATTTCGGCATGGTCTCTGTCTCCCCAGTAAGCCCCTTGAACCCAGGGACTGGATTTTACTCCCATTTCTTTATATTTACAGCCCCTTGTACACCGCTCAGCCCAGAGTAAACTCTCAAAAAATTTTTTGATAATGTTCTTAAGGTCACACCGTCATGTGATTGTTTCACCATTTCTACCCCTTTAGCCTGCCCCCAACCCCTGTGTTGGGAGGTGTTTCCAAGGCTGGCTTAGTTATTAGATCTGATCCTGCTTAGAAGTAGATGAAGAAAAAGTAAGGAAATGTGTCATTCAGCACTTTTTTTTTGAGACAGAGTCTCATGCTCTGTCCCCCAGGCTGGAGTGCAGTGGCACGATCTTGGCTCATTGCAACCTCCACTTCCCGGGTTCACGCCATTCTCCTGCCTCAGCCTCCCCAGTAGCTGGGACTACAGGCGCGTGCTACCACACCCAGCTAATTTTTTGTATTTTTAGTAGAGACGGCATTTCACCGTGTTAGCCAGGATGGTCTCGATCTTCTGACCTCGTGATCTGCCTGCCTTGGCCTCCCAAAGTGCTGGGATTACAGGCGTGAGCCAGCACACCCGGCCTTCATTCAGCACTATTGTTAGTTCCAGCTATCTAGCTTGTCTACCTCTCCATCTCATCCTCCTTCAACTTTTAGGAGGTGGTCAACTTCATCATGTTCTCCCATGTACCATATTTATTCCCTGCTTTTTTTTTTTTTTTTTTCAAGATGGAGTCTAGCTCTGTCACCCAAGCTGGAGGGCAGTGGTGTAATCTTGGCTCACTGCAACCTCCACCTCCTGGGTTCAAACCGTTCTCCTGCCTCAGCCTCCCAAGTAGCTGGGAGTACAGGCACATGCCACCACGCCTGCCTAATTTTTTTGTATTTTTAGTAGAGATGGGGTTTCACCATGTTGGCCAAGCTGGTCTTGAACTCCTGACCTCAGATGATCCACCCACCTCAGCCTCAAAGTGCTGGGATTACAGGTGTGAGCCACTGCGCCCGGCCCTATTCCCTGCTTCTATACCTTTGCCCAGCTCTCCCTTCTGGCTGGAGGCCTATCTTATCCTTCAAGGTCTGGTTCAGTGGTTTTCAACTGGGGGTGATTTTTTTCTGAGGTGACATTTGGCAATGTCTGCAGACATTTTTACTTGTCACAACTAGGGGAGGAGGTTTGATGATGACGTCTAGTGGGTAAAAGCCAGGAATGCCGCTAAACATCCTACAGTGCGCAGGACAGCTTCCCACAGCAAAGAATTACCCAGCTATAAAGATCAATAGTCCCTATTGAGAAACCTTAGTGTAGTTGCAGCCTTTGCTCTTCAGGAGATTCTTTATAGTTCTTCCCCATCTGCCTCACTATTCCAGACTTCCAGGACACCCAGGCACCACACAGCAGTAGGCAGTAGAACATAGTGGGTAAGAGCATGGACTGACTGGGATTGAATCCTAATCCTAGCACACACTTACACTGAGACCTTGAGCAAATACTTAACTTCTCAGCACTATTCTTTTCTCAGCTGTAAAATTTGAATAATAGTAGTAACTGGCCCGTTGCAGTGGCTCACGCCTGTAATCCCAGCACTTTGGGAGGCAGAGGCGGGCAGATCACCTGAGGTCGGGAGTTCGAGACCAGCCTGACCAACATGGAGAAACCCAGTCTCTACTAAAAATACAAAATTAGCTGGGCGTGGTGGCACATGCCTATAATCCCAGCTACTAGGGAGACTGAGGCAGGAGAATCGCTTGAACCTGGGAGGCGGAGGTTGCAGTGAGCCGAGATCGTGCCATTGCACTCCAGCCTGGGCAACAAGAGTGAAACTCCATCTCAAAAAAAAAAAAAATAGTAGTAACCTACCTCCTAGGCTGTTATGAGGATTAAATGAATGAATATGGAAAAAGTGCTTAGAGAACAGTATGTGGTGCATACTAAGTGCTCAATAAGTGTTAGATATAACAATATTTTTATTATTATCAGCATCTAGCTCAGGGGTTCCAAAACTAGCCAGCCAGCTTGCAGATATCTTTGGCCAGCCCAGCGTTTTTTGTTTTATAATTGATTTATAGTTTATATACCACAGAAGTCATCATTTTATTTTATTATTATTATTTTTTTGAGACGGAGTCTCACTCTGTCGCCCAGGCTGGAGTGCAGTGGTACGATCTTGGCTCACTGCAGCCTCCGCCTCCCAGGTTCAAGTGATTCTTCTGCCTCAGCCTCCTGAGTAGCTAGGATTACAGGCACCTGCCACCACACCCGGCTAATTTTTTTTGTATTTTTAGTAGAGACTTCACCATGTTGGTCAGGCTGGTTTGAACTCCTGACCTCGTGAGCCACCTGTCTCAGCCTCCCAAAGTGCTGGGATTACTGATGTGAGCCACCGAGCCTGGCCAGAATTCATCATTTTAAAAGTTTACAGGCCAGGTGCAGTAGCTCAGGCCTGTAATCCCAGTACTTTGGGAGCCCAAGGTGGGCAGATTTCTTGAGCCCAGGAGATCGAGACCAGCCTGTACAACATGGTGAAATCCTGTCTCTGTAAAAAACACAAAAATTGTGGGGCACGGTGGCTCACGCCTGTAATCCCAGCACTTTGGGAGGCCAAGGCAGGTGGATCATGAGGTCAGGAGTTCGAGATCAGCCTGACCAACATGGTGAAACCCTGTCTCTACTGAAAAACTACAAAAAATTAGCCAGGCATGGTGGTGGGCGCCTGTAATCCCAGCTACTCAGGAGGCTGAGGCAGGAGAATCACTTGAACCTAGGAGTCAGAGGTTGCAGTGAGCCGAGATCGCGCCATTGCACGCCAGCCTGGGCAACAAGAGCAAAACTCCGTCTCAAAAAACAAAAAACAAAAAACAAAAAAAAAAACAAAAATTAGCTGAGTGTGGTGGTGCATCTGTAGTCCTAGCTTTTTGGGAGACTGAGGTGGGAGGACGGCTTAAGCCCAGGAGGTAGAGGTTGCAGTGAGCCAAGATCACGCTACTGCACTCCAGCCTGGGTGACAGAGCCAGACTCTGTCACAATAAATTAATAAAGTTTACAATTCATGGCTTTTAGTATATTCACAAGGTTGAACATTTTCATTACTCCAAAAAGACGCTCCATACCCATTAGCTGTCAATTCCCATTTCCCTCCAGCTCTCCTAGCCCCTGGCAACTACTAATCTACTTTCTGTCTCTATGGATTTGCCTATTTTGGACATTCCATATGAACAGAATCATACAATATGAGGTCCTTTTTGGCTAGCTTCTTTCTTTCTTTTCACTAAATAAAATGTTTCTGAGTCATATAGCTTCTTTCACTTAGTATAATGTTTTCAATGTTTGTGCATTGGAACTTCATTCCTTTTTGTTGACAAATAAATGTAAGGTCTCTATGTTAATTTCTTTTTTGCCTTTGTGCCATGGTTACGTAAAGTCTTAACCTTTGGAGAAACTGGGTGAAGACTACATATGGAAACTGTTCATACTATCTATATAAATCTGTAAATCTAACATTATAACAAATCACAAGTTTAAAAAGTACATAAATTTACAGTATATAGAGAAAAATAGAAATATGCATATTTTATCATGATACAAAACATTTGATTGCTGACCTGTTTGTTGATTTTTTTTGTTTTTTCTTTCCTTTTTTATCCTCTAAGCCTCTGATCACTTATCATTGTCAAGGTTGAGCAGACAGAGAAGTGCATACATTCTGCAGCTTGAGTGCCTAACTTGAGATTCTGTTTCTGACATTTACTGTGGATTTGGGGCAATTAAATTAACTTTCTGTGTCAAGTGGGAGGATCACCCAAGCCCAGGAGTTTGAGGCTGTAGTAAGCTATGATAGCAGACTGCACTCCAACCTAGGTGACAGAGTGAGATCCTGTCTGTTTTTTGTTTTGTTTTGTTTTGTTTTTTTGACAGAGTCTCACTCTGTCGCCCAAGCTGGAGTGCAGTGGCTCCATCTCAGATCACTGCAAGCTCCGCCTCCCGGGTTCACGCCATTCTCCTGCCTCAGCCTCCCGAGTAGCTGGGAATACAGGTGCCCGCCACCACGCCCGGCTAGTTTTTTATATTTTTAGTAGAGACGGGGTTTCACCGTGTTAACCAGGATGGTCTTGATCTCCTGACCTCATAATCCACACGCCTTGGCCTCCCAAAGTGCTGGGATTACAGGCGTGAGCCACCGCATCCGGCCAATGCAATTGTTTTCTTAATTCCATTTTCTGCATGTTCTTTGCTAGTGCATAGACATACAATTTTTTTTTTTTTTTTTGAGACGGAGTTTTACTCTTGTTGCCCAGGCTGGAGTGCAATGGTGCAATCTCGGCTCACAGCAACCTCCATCTCCCAGGTTCAAGCGATTCTCCTGTCTCAGCCTCCCAGGTAGCTGGGATTACAGGCGCCCACCACAATGCCCAGCTAATTTTTTGTATTTTTAGTAGAGATGGGGTTTCACCATGTTGGCCAGGCTGGTCTTGAACTCCTGGCCTCAGGTGACCCACCCTCCTCGGCCTTACAAAATGCTGGGATTACGGGCGTGAGCCACTGCGCCTGGCCACAAATGTTTTTTATATTGATATTTTACAGCCCAAGGTTTTTAATAATTTACATACCTTTAGGCCAAGCATGTTCTCTCCAGTTTGATACAGAATCATCACCCCCCCATTATGACAACATTTATCTGCTCGGCCCCTGATGACATTTTCCTCAGGTCTCCTGCTGGTTGTTCCTGAGAGTTTTATCACCTATAGATTGTAAACAACCTAAGTTGGCTATAAATATTGTTGCTAGGCTGATGACATCAGGGAGGGCTGAAGACAGAGGGAATGGCAGTAAGGTATGAATGAGGAGGAATGAGTTCATGTTAACCCAAGGATAAAGAAGATCTTCGCTGTTGCCCAATAAAGAGAATCAGGGTTCAGTTGCAGAGGGCCCATATTCTTTCTTGCTCTTAGGGATGAATAAGAGGGAACCCCCACACGGAGACACTGCTGGAGAGAGTCGTACTGGGGAGGCAGCTGGAGCAGCAAGATGCTGTCGAGACCGAAGCCAGGGGAGTCCGAGGTGGACCTGCTGCACTTCCAGAGTCAGTTTCTCGCAGCTGGTGCAGCCCCAGCAGTGCAGTTGGTGAAGAAAGGAAATAGGGGCGGTGGTGATGCCAACTCAGACCGGCCTCCGCTCCAGGACCATCGGGATGTGGTGATGTTGGACAGTGAGTTCCCATGGATGTGAGGCTGAGAAGTAGAGAGGGTACAGCCTCGGGCCCCTCCCTCTTCCTGTTGTGGTTGGATTCAGACACATCATTATTATTTCAGACACTGCATAGCCTGTGTTTCTGCAGCCCCATTTTACAGAGGAAGAAAATGAGGCTCAAAGAGGTTAAATATCTTACCCAAGATGACACAGCTTGAGCCAGGGCCCCATGGCAGCTGTCTTTCTTCCCTAGCCTGCAGTGTCTTCCTAGGAAGGTGTGCATATACTCACGTTTGGGATCTTTTCTTTCTCAGATCTCCCAGATTTGCCCCCAGCTTTGGTCCCTTCTCCTCCAAAGAGAGCCAGGCCCAGCCCTGGCCACTGCCTGCCTGAGGATGAGGACCCAGAAGAGAGGCTGAGGAGGCATGATCAGCACATCACTGCTGTCTTGACTAAGATTATTGTGCGTCTCACTCTGGCTGAGTAGGATAAGATGTTCTAGGGCAACAGGGATATTGGATGCTCGGGGTGGGTGAGGCTTATCAGTGGAGGGTGCTTCAGAAAGGTAGACTTTTACCCCTGAGGTCAGGTTGGGGGCTGGGTTAGAATCACTGCCCTGAAGGGAGGAGGGTCCGTAACCCCCCAGAGTGAGGTTCTCATCGTTCAGAACTGGGCTAATAGGATCGGGTCCAGCCTGGGGAAGTTTCTCCATTGTGCTTCACAACTTTGTGCTTTGTTGCTACAGGAACGAGATACAAGTTCAGTGGCCGTGAATCTGCCTGTGCCCAGTGGTGTTGCTTTCCCTGCTGTGTTCCTTCGCTCGCGGGACACACAGGTAGGCAAGGGTAAGCTTAGGTGGTGCTCAGGAGACAGACAGGTGAGTCTCATAGTGCATCTTCTCCAGGCAGGTAGTTTTAATGATGATAAGCAATTTAATTTACAAAGCAGGATCATACTAAGCACTTCATACCCATTACTTCTTTTAATCTTCATAACAAACATATAAGGCAGGTATCATGATGATACCTTGGGGATGAGGAGTCCTTATTCCCATTTTTCATATGAGGAAACTGAGACCCCAAAGAGATAAATAACTTGTCCAACACCACACATCTAATAGGTAGAAGAGCCAGAACTTCAACCCAAGTCTGTCAGAGTCTAAGACCTTTACTCTTATAGACCTCTCCTTTTTCTGAGAACTAGGGTTGTGATCCCTGGAAATTGAGCAAATCCCCTTTTATCTCTTTGTTCCAGAGGCCTTGATATAAAGAGGTTGAGAGGAAAGTGGGATGATGAGCATCAGTAACCTGGGTTTTCTTTTTGCCCCACAGGGGAAATCAGCAACATCTGGTAAGAGAAGCATCTTTGCCCAGGAAATTGCGGCAAGGAGGATAGCTGAAGCCAAGGGCCCATCAGTTGGGGAAGTTGTGCCCAACGTGGGCCCACCAGAGGGTGAGCCGGGGTTGAAGAGGATTGGGCTTGGCCTTTTTAAAAGACACAATCATAGGGTCATTTTTGAAGATATGTCTTCCTGCCTCAAATGAGAGGTGCATTTGAGCCATCTCAAGTAGTCTGAGAATACTAGGTATGGGAGGCTTGGGTCCATATCTGGGTCTCAGGTGCTGGGAGTGGGGCAGGCCATTATGCAGTCCTAAGAGAAAGGGAATAGGGCAGAAGTGTCTGGCAGAGACTGTAAAATAAATGTGTTGGCCAAGATCCCTTTAATGATGCAAATTATTAGCTTAACAGCTGGGAGCAGGCCCCTGGCTATAGATGCCTGCCTAGATATCTAAGAGGAGTCAGAAATTAGGATGTTTCTGAGGAAAACCTTTTCATATAAGTACTAGGGAAGCAGTGAGTGGAGAAGCCACCTGGAGTCCCTGTGCCAGACCCAGTGGGGTCTCCACTCTGAGGAAAGTTTGGGTCTATACCTGTCTCCAGGGCTAATAGCCTTATAGAAGAAGGCCAAAAAGCCCAGTTAGAGCCCTGGAGGACAGAGCAATGAATGTGATCATACCTTTCTTCCAGGTGCCGTGACCTGTGAGACACCCACTCCTAGGAACCAGGGCTGCCAGCTTCCTGGGAGCAGCCACAGCTTTCAGGGACCCAATCTGGTCACAGGGAAGGGGCTCAGGGATCAAGAAGCTGAGCAGGAAGCCCAGACTATCCATGAAGAGAACATAGCAAGACTGCAGGCCATGGCTCCTGAGGAGATCCTGCAGGAACAGCAGCGGTTGCTGGCCCAGCTTGGTATGGGTGCCTGGCTTTCCTGCTGAGACCAGGCTAGGAGAGGAATACCACTTATTGAGCTAGGCTTACTGTGAGTTCCGGGCACTGTGCTGAGTACTTTAATGCTTTTTTTTTTTTTTTTTTTTTTTTTGAGATGGTCTTGCTCTGTCACCCAGGCTGGAATGCAGTGGCACGATCTCGGCTCACTGCAACCTCCACCTTCACGGCTCAAGCAATCCTCCCACTTCAGCCTCCTGTGTAGCTGGGATTATAGGCACACACCACCACACTCAGCTAATTTTTTTTTTTTTTTGGGGGGACAGAGTTTCACTCTTGTTGCCTAGGCTGGAATGCAATAGCACAATCTCGGCTCACCACAACCTCCGCCTCCCGGGTTCAAGAGATTCTCCTACCTCAGTCTCTCGAGTAGCTGGAATTACACGCATCTGCCACCACGCCCAGCTAATTTTTTTATTTTTAGTAGAGGTAGGGTTTCTCCATGTTGGTCAGGCTGGTCTCGAACTCCCAACCTCAGGTGATCTGCCCTCCTCGGCCTCCCAAAGTGCTAGGATTACAAGCATGAGCCACCATGCCCGGCCTTTTTTTTTTTTTGAGATGGAGTTTCGGTCTTGTTGCCCAGGTTAGAGTGCAATGGCGCGACGTAGGCTCACTGCAACCTCCGCCTCCTGGGTTCAAATGATTCTCCTGCCTCAGCCTCCTGAGTATCTGGGATTACAGGTGCCCACCACCATACCCAACTAATTTTTGTATTTTTAGTAGAGACGGAGTTTCACCATGTTGGCCAGGCTGGTGTCGAACTCCTGACCTCAGGTGATCCACTGGCCTTGGCCTCCCAAAGTGCTGGAGCCACTGCGCCTAGGTTTTTTTTTTTTTTTAAGACGGATTTTTCCTCTTGTTGCCCAGGCTGGAGTGCAATGGCGCAATCTCTGCTCACTGCAACCTCTGCCTCCCAGGTTCAAGCAATTCTCCTGTCTCAGCCTCCAAAGTAGCTGGGATTACAGGCGCCTGCCACCATGCCTGGCTAATTTTTTTATTTTTTGTATTTTTAGTAGAGACGGGGTTTCCCTGTATTGGCCAGGCTGGTTTCGAACTCTTGACCTCAGGTGGATCAAAGTGCCTCCCAAAGTGCTGGGATTACAGGTGTGAGCCACCGTGCCTGGCCCCCAGCGAATTTCTTTTAAGGTTTTTGTAGAGATGAGGTCTCACTATATTGCACAGGTTGGTTTTTGTTTTTTGTTTTTTGTTTTCAGAGTCTCCCTCTGTCACCCAGGCTGGAGTGGAATGGCACGATCTCGGCTCACTGCAACCTCTGCCTCCCAGGTTCAAGTGATTCTTGTGCCTCAGCCTTTTCAGCAGCTGGAATTAGAGGTGTGTACCACCATGCTTGGCTAATTTTTTTTATTTTCAGTAGAGATGGGGTCTCACCATGTTGGCCAGGCTAGTTTCGAACTCCTGGCATCAAGTGATCCACCGACCTCAGCCTCCCAAAGTGCTGGGATTACAGGCATGAGCCACCGTGCCTGACCTTTAATGCATTATTCAGTTCTGTCCTTAAACTTGTCCTGTGAGGTAGGTGGTATTAACCCTATTTTACTTATGAAAGAAACTGAGGCCTAAAATTTAAAAGAAATTCTACCCAGGTCACACACCTTATAAGAAGCACAGGACACAGGATTTAAACCCAGATCTACCTGGTCTCATATGCCCTGCTTTTTTTTTTTTTTTTTTTTTTTTTGAGACGGAGTCTCGCTCTGTTGTCCTGGGTGGAGTACAGTGACACGATCTCAGCTCACTGCAACCTGTACCTCCCTAGTTCAAGCGATTTTCCTGCCTCAGCCTCCTGAGTAGCTGGGATTACAGATGTGCACCACCACACCCAGCTAATTTTTTTGTATTTTTAGTAGAGATGGGTTTCACCATGTTGGCCAGGCTGGTCTTGAACTCCTGACCTCCAGCGACCCATCTGCCTCGGCCTGCTGAAGTGCTGCGATTTTTTTTTTGAGATGGTCACCGTGCCCAGCCGAGGCCCTACTTTTTAACCACTGTGCTATGTATAACTGTACTACCCTGGTATAGTATACACTATGCTTTATTATAGCTATACTCTAGTATATGTATAGTCTCTTCTACTCTGTGATACTGTTCTATGCTATGCCTCACCCCTAGTGTCTGTTCACCAAAATGCCAGGCACTCAGTCAATCTTGTTACCCACTGTATACTAGCACCTCTATAGAGTATAATACGTGTTAGGGCTCAGTATGGTGCCTTGCCCTGTAATTCCAGCACTTTGGGAGGTTGAGGTGAGAGGATTGCTTGAGGCCAAGAGTTTACGACCAGCTTGAGGAACATCATGAGACCCCATCTCTACAAAAAATAAAGATATAAAAAATTACAGCCAGGTGTGGAGGCTCACGCCTGTAATCCCAGCACTTTGGGAGGCTGAGGTGGGCGGATCACAAGATCAAGACATTGAGACCATCCTGGCCAACACGGTGAAACCCTGTCTCTACTAAAAATACAAAAATTAGCTGGGCGTGGTGGCACACGCCTGTAGTCCCAGCTACTCGGGAGGCTGAGGCAAGAAAATCACTTGAACCCGGGAGGCGGACCTTGCAGTGAGCCGAGATCGTGCCATGGCACTCCAGCCTGGGCGACAGAGTGAGACTCTGTCTCAAAAAAAAAAAAAAAAATTAGCCAGATATGGTGGTGCATGCCGGTAGTCCCAGTTACTTGGGAGGCTGAGGCGGGAGGATTGCTTGAGCCCAGGAGTTTGAGGCTGTGGTGAGCTACGATTGTGCCACTGCACTCCAGCATGGGTAACAGAGCAAGACCCTATCTCTTTAAAAATATATATTTACAGCCTGAGCAACATGGTAAAACCCCGTCTCTAGTAAAAATACAAAAATTAGCCAGGCGTGGTGGCAGGCACTTTTAATCCCAGCTACTCAGGAGGCTGAGGCAGGAGAATCCCTTGAACCTGGGAGATGGAGGTTGCAGTAAGTTGAGATTGCACCACTGCACTCCAGCCCGGGCGACACAGCGAGATTCCGTCTCAAAAAAAAAAAAAAAAAAAAAAAAAAAAAAATATATATATATATATATATATATATATGTGTGTGTGCATAAATAAATTAGCTAAGAGAAGGAAATTCTTTCTGTAAATGCCTTCTTTTTGGCCCTAGTCAACATTAACTTATTCATTCTACAGCCACTTACATTGGAACTGTGACCTGAAACCAAAGGGATAGGCATAGGAACCTGGGCCAGTGGACTGTGAGGGATAGAGGGAAAGGTGGGCAGGTGGGCAGGTGGGCCTAGTGACCCCACAGGTGTGAGAAGGCTGGGTCATTGATGGGCCACAGGAGCACCCAGAAGGCTCAGGCCCAGGCTCGGAAGCAGCTTGTCCTGTCCTTGGCACCCACAGACAGGCGATATTCAGCGGGTTCCAGGTCTGTAGGAGGCCAGGGAGGATCTACCCTCACTCACTCTCCCCTCTACCTTCGCCTCTAGACCCCAGCTTGGTTGCTTTCTTGAGATCTCACAGCCACACGCAAGAGCAAACAGGAGAGACAGCCTCTGAGGAGCAGAGGCCAGGAGGACCCTCTGCTAATGTCACCAAGGAGGAACCCCTCATGTCAGCTTTTGCCAGTGAGCCCAGGAAGAGAGACAAGCTGGAGCCAGAAGCCCCAGGTTTGCAGGAGGCGGGGGTCATATTTTGGTGGATAAAAGTAGGGGAAATTGTCCCTTTTCCTAGGCCTGGCAAATGAGAGAAGAGAGAAGCTTCTGTGCTTTTGGACATCTAACATTAATCCTCATTATTGGCTTCAAGTCAGTCTTCATTGCTGATGCATGTCTTCTTCCTGCACATGCTTCCTGTTTTCTTGTCCTGTTACTGCCCCTTCTCCGCCTTCCCTTTTAAGAGGCAGCAATGCGTGATGGCTGAATCCCACTCCACCCGCTCCCGGCAGACTATCTTCCTGTCCTTGCTGTAGCTGCCCCAGCTCTGGCTCTGTCCATCCCACTGTTCTTTCTCTCTCTGCTCACAGTGCTGGGGGAAAGATGGCAGGGCCAGAGTAATAAGAGAGGCAGAATCTGACAAAGATCTTATGAACATGCCAGACCAGAAGCAGAGAGGCCAGTGGAAGCACTCATTTCCCAGAAACTAGATTATTTCATTAGTGATTAACAAAATAAGAAATTGAATTATGAGAGCCAGGAACCTCATGCCCCCGGAGGAGCTCCAGGCCAGCTGAGCAGGTTGGGTGGGGGTAGGCGTGAAGGAGGAAAATGCTGTGGGATTTGTTTCTGTATCCTGCCCCCCAGGAGCAGTATAGTTGCCTCCTCCTCATTGTCCCCACTCTCCTACTCCTTTAAGGGCTGGTACTGGAAAGTGGAGATGGTGCCTTCCTGACATATGTGGTCCTCCTTCTTCATCTTTTTCTCCTTTCTTTCTCTTTCTTCCTTCTCCTTCTCCTCCTCTCTCCCCTCCCAACAAATCCTTGGGGTCAGCAAGGGGCTGGAGCCCAGGATGGAGTGTGTCTGTCATATTTGAGACTTTCACCCCAGCCCCAGGAGTTCCAGTCCCTGGGCCATGCCATTTAGCCATAACCGAGGGTAGAAGCTGGCAGATCCTGGAACAGAAGTGGATGTGGCAGCTGCTGGGTGATGGTGGGGACCCCTGTGGATAGTGAGCTGAGCCGTTTGGGTAATACTATCATGCTTTGTCTCCCCAGCTCTGGCATTGCCCGTGACCCCTCAGAAAGAATGGCTGCACATGGACACTGTCGAGCTGGAGAAGCTCCACTGGACCCAGGACTTGCCCCCTGTCCGGCGGCAGCAGACACAGGAGGTGAGGAGGGCCACCTGGCCTACAAGGGGTGGGTGAGATAGGGCAGGAGAGGAGCTGCTGCTCTTGCCCTCAGAACTCAGGCCTTTCTATTGCCCAGAGCCTGAGAAGCATCTCTCCTTTGCTCTCACCCACCTTTACCATCACTCTGCCTGGCCCCCAAGGCCAGATAAGCCCCATTTCTGGTAGAAGTAGAGTCAGTACCTAAGTCCTGAAAGGCCTGGGATTAAAGGTGGGGAGTGGGTGTGGGAAGGTTGCTGGAGCCCCCAGACCACAGTCCTCTTTCTCTTCCCATTAGAGGATGCAGGCTCGATTCAGTCTTCAGGGAGAACTACTGGCCCCTGACGTGGACCTGCCCACCCACCTGGGTCTGCACCACCATGGAGAGGAGGCAGAGGTGAGGCATGGGACTGGAGAGGATGGGGCAGCTCTTTTAACAACCCCATGGAAAAGGATCTCTGGTCAACTGCCTTTGACCTTCTGTGTGCCCTGTTCTAGTTCATGCCTTTGCTGTGCATTCAGTTTCTTTTTTTGGAGACAGAATCTCGCTCTGGCCCAGGCTGGAGTGCAGTGGTATGATCTTGGCTCACTGCAGCCTCCACCTCCTGGGTTCAAGCCATTCTCCTGCCTCAGCCTCCTGACTAGCTGGGATTACAGGCGCATGCCACCACGTCCAGCTAATTTTTGTATTTTTAGTAGAGACGGGGTTTCACCATGTTAGCCAGGATGGTCTTGATCTCCTGAGCTTGTGATCCGCCTGCCTCGGCCTCCCAAAGTGCTGGGATTACAGGCGTGGCATTCAGTTTCTTAGGCTCAAAATCTTGATCCTCTCTCCGTATTCTGGTCAGTTGCTAGAATTTGCCGATCTTCTGTCACCTCCTCATGATGCCTCCTGCACTGTGGCCTTGCTTCCTTGGTCTGCTCACTCTCCATGCCCTCCATTCTCCGCCCCCCTGCCATTCCATGTCTCTCGGGGCTGCTGTGCTGATTTCTTCTGGCCCAGCTCAGGCCATGCCTTGCCTCCAGAAGTTTCCCAGCTTCCCTCTGCTCACAAAATAAGGTTCTGGTCTCAGCTGGGCAAGATATTCCTTCTACCTTTTGTCCCTGCTGACCCTGCTGCTCTGCCTCCTTCACTTCCTGCTACACCACTCTGCTGGCTTCTCCCCACATACCTCCTGTGCTCAGGGCCCTCCAGGACTCCACTCGCTCCAGGAAATGCCTTTGCCTTTTGCTCCATGTCAGGCCATCAAAGCTCTACCCATCCACTGAGACCAATTTAATTTTCCAGGTTCCCTTCTCTCTCTCTCCTGTCCGCCGGTCGCAAATTAAACATCAGTTATCACGTTCCTCTGCATCTGCCTCATGGCATGGTTACTTGTATGCAAGTCTTATCTTTACCGGCTTGAGGCTCCATGGAAAGCAGGGCAGATTTCACTTATTTATCTTTGTCTTTCCTGTGATACCTTGCTTGGTGTTTTGGGGGCACTGTGCTGTATCCTGGCTGCTTCTGACTTCTTGTCCCTGCCCCAGAGAGCGGGGTATTCCCTACAGGAGCTGTTCCACCTGACCCGCAGCCAGGTTTCCCAGCAGAGAGCACTGGCACTGCATGTGTTAGCCCAGGTCATCAGCAGGGTGAGTGGATTGCCAGCCTGGTCCTGCCCACCCTTCCCTTCACCCCACAGCCTCAGACTTCCCCATCTCCTGCCCTTTTCACTCTGGCTCACTAGCCAGCTATGTGCTTTTAACAACCTAGGATCATAGGGGGGCAAACGAAGGATTAGGGCAAAGCCTCTAGATAACTTCAGCATCTTCAGCAAGGTTTTACCCTCCTGCCCTCAGGCCCAGGCTGGTGAGTTTGGGGACCGGCTAGCAGGCAGTGTCTTAAGCCTCCTTTTGGATGCTGGTTTCCTCTTCCTACTGCGCTTCTCCTTGGATGACAGAGTGGATGGGGTCATTGCAACCGCCATCCGTGCTCTTCGGGCTCTGCTGGTGGCTCCTGGAGATGAGGTACCACAGGGATAGGAATGGGGCTTGGGCTGGGAGGTGCCAGGGTCCATATTCCTGTTCCTGGGCATGGCCCCATTGCTAAGGCTTTGCGGGCAAGATGTAGAATGGGATGGCAGGCGTCTCCCTCATCTCCTAAAGTCCCTAAAGCCCAGGAGGCTTGCCTTTATGGTTTTTATTGGGGAGCATCCTCTCTACTCCTGGATCCATTTCCTGGCCCCTTCAGCATTGCCCCCCAACTCCCGTTCCTCTGGCAGGAGCTCCTCGACAGCACCTTCTCTTGGTACCATGGAGCTTTGACGTTCCCTCTGATGCCCAGCCAGGAGGACAAGGAGGATGAGGACGAGGATGAAGAATGCCCAGCAGGAAAAGCAAAAAGGAAAAGCCCTGAAGAAGAAAGCCGGCCTCCACCTGACCTGGCCCGACATGATGTCATCAAGGTAAAGGGACAGCTTCTTTCCCATCCCATGGCCCAGGGGACAAGCACATGCTGGAAAGAGGGGCCATCAATGCCCAGGGTCCAGCTGCATTTGTCAGTGGGTTTCTCTCTCCAACTCCCAGGGGCTCCTGGCTACCAGCCTGCTGCCTCGGCTGCGCTACGTGCTGGAGGTGACATACCCAGGACCTGCGGTGGTCCTTGACATCCTGGCTGTGCTCATCCGCCTGGCCCGGCATTCCCTGGAATCAGCCACAAGGGTGAGAAAAAAGGGAGCAGGGAATGGGCAAAAAGCCTAGCTGGGCCTTGTCTTGACCCACAGCCTCCCTTCCTCCCTTTTACCTCCTGTCTCCCATAGGTCCTGGAGTGCCCTCGGCTGATAGAGACTATAGTTCGAGAGTTCTTGCCCACCAGTTGGTCTCCTGTGGGGGCAGGGCCTACCCCTAGTCTATACAAAGTACCCTGTGCTACTGCCATGAAACTACTTCGTGTCCTGGCCTCAGCTGGGAGGAATATTGCTGCCCGGCTGGTGAGCAGGACACAGGGCAAGGGATGGGGGAATGCATGGGACAGGGTTGGGTTGGGAGCTAAACATGGCTCCTGAACTCTGGGTGGCCAGCTCTTGCCATCTTCTTCCTCTCTGATCCAGTTGCTTAGAAATGCAACAGAAATCACCAGGCATGAACCTGTTTACTGGAGCCTGTTTACTGGAGCCTGGTGCATCATATAGGTATACTGTGGTCTCATGATGTAATAGGAGGTCTCCCTGTTCCCTAGACCCAGATCAGAAGGGCTTCATGCACATAGGCATTCATCATCTATAGCCAAGTAGCCCTAGAGAAGGTGCCCAGCAAGCCTTGCTATAAAGAGGGAGGGCTGGGTGTAGTGGCTCAGGCCTGTAATCCCAGCACTTTGGGAGGCCAAGGCAGGAGGATCACTTGGGGCCAAGAGTTCAGGGGCCAGCCTGGACAACATAGCAAGACTCTGTCTCTACAAAAAACAAAAACAAAAAATTAGCTAGATGTGGTAGCACATGACTGTAGTCTCAGCTACTCGGTAGGCTGAGGTAGAAGGATCACTTGAGCTGGGAGGTGGAGGCTGCAGTGGGCTGGTTGCACCAATCACTGCACTACAGCCTAGGCAACAGGGCGAGACCCCGTCTCAAAAATACTACTACTGGCCAGGTGCAGTGGCTCACGCCTGTAATCACAACACTTTGGGAGACCGAGGTGGTGGATCACTTGAGGTCAGGAGTTCGAGACCAGCCTGGCCAATATGGCAAAACCCCACCTCTACTAAAACTACAAAAATTAGCCAGGTATAATAGTGTGCGCCTGTAGTCCCAGCTACTTGGGAGGCTGAGGCAGGAGAATTGCTTGAACCCGGGAGATGGAGGGTGGAGTGAGCCAAGATCACACCACTGCATTCCAGCCTGGGTGGCAGAGCAAGATTCCATCTAAAAACAAATAATAGGGCCGGGCGCGGTGGCTCACACCTGTAATCCCAGCACTTTGGGAGGCCAAGGCAGGTGGATCATGAGGTCAGGAGTTCAAGACCAGCCTGACCAAGATGGTGAAACCCTGTCTCTACTAAAAATACAAAAAATTAGCCAGGCGTGGTGGCATGCGCCTGTAATCCCGGCTACTCCAGAGGCTGAGGCAGAGAATTGCTTAAACCTGGAGGGGCAGAGATTGCAGTGAGCCGAGATTGCGCCACTGCACTCCAGCCTGGGCGACAGAGCGAGACTCCATCTAAAAAAATAATAATAATAAAAATAAAAAAATAATAGGGGCTGGGTGCGGTGGCTCACACCTGTAATCCCAACGTTTTGGAAGGCCGAGGTGGGTGAATCACGAGGTCAGCAGTTCGACACCAGCCTGGCCAACATAATGAAACCCCGTCTCTACTAAAAATACAAAAATTAGTCGGGCATGGTGGCGCATGCCTGTAGTCCCAGCTACTTGGGAGGCTGAGGCAGGAGAGTCTCTTGAACCTGGGAGACAG
This sequence comes from Homo sapiens, assembly GCF_000001405.40. Lineage (NCBI taxonomy): Eukaryota > Metazoa > Chordata > Mammalia > Primates > Hominidae > Homo > Homo sapiens. The sequence continues at coordinate 41,525,422 of NC_000015.10, read as the reverse complement.
AAGTTGTGGTGAGCCAAGATCACTCCACTGCACTCCAGCCAGGGCAACAGAGCAAGACTCCATCTCAAAATAATAATAAATAATAAAAAGTAAAATAATAAAATTGAAATTTTAAATAAATAATAAGAAGGAAGGGCAGGGTGGATGAGGTATGACTTTGTGGCACCAGAGGGGCCTGGGTCAGGGTTGAGTTAAGCCACTCTCTGTCCAGCTGAGAGTAGCTGGACTTGAGACTCACAGCTGACCCTGATCCTCAGACTGTGCCCATTTCCAGTTGAGCAGCTTTGATCTCCGGAGCCGCCTGTGCCGCATCATAGCTGAGGCTCCCCAAGAACTGGCCTTGCCCCCAGAGGAAGCTGAGATGCTGAGCACCGAGGCCCTCCGTCTGTGGGCTGTGGCTGCCTCCTATGGCCAGGGCGGTTACCTTTACAGGTGAGGAGAGGCAGGGGGTAGGCTCCCCCTAGACACCTTCAGTTCTGCTCTTCTGGCCAAATCAAACACCTCAGCCTTGCTCAAGGTCCCAAGCTTGGAGGAAGGATAAGAATGAGTGGGAGGGCTTCTGCCAGATGTGAAAAGGCTTAGGAGTCAGGCCCAGCCAGGGAAGAGGGGGATAAACCTGGCTTAACCGTATTCTATGCTCAAAATCATTAGCCGGGCACTGTGGCTCATGCCTGTAATCCCAGCACTTTGGGATGCCAAGGTAGGCGTATCACGAAGTCAGGAGTTCGAGACCATCCTGGCCAATATGGTGAAACCCCGTCTCTATTAAAAATACAAAAATTAGCCAGGCGTGGTGGCACACACCTGTAATCCCAACTACTCGGCAGGCTGAGGCAGGAGAACCGGTTTAACCTGGGAGGCAGAGGTTGCAGTGAGCCGAGATCACTCCATCACTCCACTGCACTCCAGCCTGGGCAACAGAGAATGTCTCAAAAAAAAAAAAAAAAAAGCATTGGTATCTGTGAAATCACATTTAAATTCCCTGTTGGGGGCAGCCTTGAAGGACAACATCCTTTCCATTCTTTAGGGCTGAGCCTTCCAAGAGTGCCCCACTCTTCCTCCTCATCCTCCTTTATCAAACTGCAGATCCCTGGGTCAGGGCCATGACCTGTGTCTCATGTCTCCACTTGCTTTCATACAGTGAAAATCAGTCCCTGTTCTTCCCTAGGGAGCTCTACCCAGTGCTGATGCGGGCCTTGCAGGTGGTGCCGCGGGAGCTCAGCACCCACCCACCTCAACCCCTGTCCATGCAGCGGATAGCCTCACTGCTCACTCTCCTCACCCAGCTAACCCTGGCAGCCGGCAGTACCCCTGCTGAAACCATCAGGTAGTTTATAGCCAGGACCCACAGGACAGGTGGAGGGCTCCTCCACAGGGCTGGGGTGGCTGGAGTGTAAAGGGGCGTGAGGCAGCCAGATCCTCACTGTGGCACCCTTTGGCACTTTTGTAGTGATTCTGCTGAGGCCAGCCTCTCGGCCACCCCTTCCTTAGTCACTTGGACACAGGTGTCTGGGCTCCAGCCTCTTGTTGAGCCGTGTCTAAGGCAGACCTTGAAGTTGCTGTCCAGACCTGAGATGTGGAGAGCCGTGGGCCCAGTGCCCGTTGCCTGCCTGTTGTTCCTGGGAGCCTACTACCAGGCCTGGAGCCAGCAAGTGAGTGCCTCCTGCCGGCTGTCCACCAGGCCCCCGCACCCTGCCTTCAGCTACATTCCACCCGTTGCTCCCTCTCTGTGTCCATCTCTCCACTCCTACTTCCCCATTTACTATCTTCCCTTTTAATTCCTACCCTTCCTCCTCTTTCTACCTCCATATCCCCGTGGAGCTTCCCAGGAGCCATGTTGGTGGGGACCAGAGAGCCCACGCAGCAGCTCAGCCTTCCTGTAGCCTGTGTGCTCCCTCTTTATGCCCCCTACACATCGGGGCCTTCTCTCCCTTCAGAAGGCTCAGCCTGCAGAAGCCTCCAAATGTGCTCTTTTGGGCTGTTGGGATGGTGGCATTGGCCTGGGTACACAGGGTCTAGGAGAATGAATGGCTGGGCCATCAGCTCAGTGAATTCCTTGGTCCACCAGCCAAGCTCATGCCCGGAGGATTGGCTCCAGGACATGCAGCGCCTGTCAGAGGAGCTGCTGCTGCCACTGCTGAGTCAGCCCACACTGGGCAGCCTGTGGGATTCCCTTAGGTATGTACTGTGTTTGGTAGCTGGGGGAAGCAGGGGAGGAGGCAATTTCTTTCCTTGTGGGATTCCTGGGTCCAGCTCCCAGGTCCATCCCAGGGTGCAGGCCCTCGGCCCGAGGGAAACCCGAGTCCCTAGCAGGCAGCAGTGGGGTGGGCTCTGAGGAGTGTGAGCAGCACTGACCTCCACAGCCAGGCCCCCCGTTAGTCTTAGGTACAGACCCAGAAGCTCTTTCCAGCTTGGCACACGCCAGGCCAGAGTCCCCCTCAGACTCTCCACTTCACCTACAGGCACTGCTCCCTTCTCTGCAACCCGCTGTCCTGTGTGCCAGCCCTTGAAGCTCCCCCCAGCCTCGTGTCACTGGGCTGCTCGGGAGGCTGCCCCCGTCTCAGTCTGGCTGGCTCAGCCTCACCCTTCCCATTCCTCACTGCCCTCCTCTCTCTTCTTAATACCCTGGCCCAGATCCACAAGGGGCTGTGTGGCCAGGTAAGTGTGGGGTGCCTGATTAGGGGCCAGGCAAGGGGCCAAGATGGCAGGAATCAGAAAGAAAGTGGGAGGGTGGGATGGGCGCGGTGGCTCACGCCTGTAATCCCAGCAGTTTGGGAGGCCGAGGTGGGCAGATCACCTGAGGTCGGGAGTTCGAGACCAGCCTGGCCAACATGGAGAAACCCCATCTCTACTAAAAATACAAAATTAGCCAGGCATGATGGCACATGCCTGTAATCCCAGCTACTCGGGAGGCTGAGGCAGGAGAATCACTTGAACCCGGGAGGCGGAGGCTGCGGTGAGCTGAGATCACACCATTGCACTGCAGCCTGGGCAACAAGAGCGAAACTCCATCTCAAAAAAAACCAAAAAGAAAGTGGGAGGGTGTCCCATGGGGAAGGGAGGCCTTCTGCTGGCACTCATTTCCCTGAGTCTGGAGAGGGGCAGCCACCTGGGGAGCCCTAGAAGGCATGAGAGTCAATTTCTAGATCTGAACAAAATTGCTTTTCCTCAGCTGGCTGCCATATTGGCTGCCCCGGGACTCCAGAATTACTTCCTCCAGTGTGTGGCTCCTGGGGCTGCCCCACACCTCACACCTTTCTCTGCATGGGCCCTGCGCCATGAGTACCACCTGCAGTACCTGGCACTCGCTCTGGCCCAGAAAGCGGTAGGTCCCCCTGTCTGACAGGTTCTCCTGTCATCCCATTATCTCCTTCCTGTTTCTGTGGAACCCAGCCTGCTTCTGCCAGGCCATGCAGCTCCCACTTTCCTCCAGACATGCCCTGGACCTCTGCCCTTCAGCCTCACTTTTATCCTCTTCCTCACTTCTCTCTGCCACGTCCCCTTCTCCTGTACTAGGTAGTTCCCTGCTTTTCTGTCTGCAGGCAGCGCTGCAGCCACTGCCAGCCACCCATGCTGCCCTCTATCATGGTATGGCCTTGGCCCTGCTGAGCCGGCTGCTGCCCGGAAGTGAGTACCTCACCCATGAGCTGCTGCTGAGCTGTGTATTCCGGCTGGAGTTCCTCCCGTAAGTGCTTGGTTGGTGGCATCAACTCAGCCCTTTTGGACGCTGCTGCAGTTGTTAACAGAGCAGCCCTGAATTTGGAGCCAGGAGACCTAAATTCTCTTTCTTCCACCGACGACACTTAACTCTTCCGAGCTTCCATTACCTCATTAGTGAAGTGAGGATCAGGCTAACCACACCCAAGAATGATTGTGAGACTTCAGTGTGACTGCATGGCTAAAAAAATGGTATCTAAATCAGTTACACACATGTAATAGCCATCCGCTACTGAGTGTTTACTCTGTGTTTGATACTCCCTTATGTATTTATCTACATTTTAAGTATTTTACTTGGACCATGAGATAGATACTATTATTATCCTTATTTTACTCTGAGGAAACTGAGGCCCAGAGAAGTTATGTAAACTCATGCCTAGGCAGCTGGCTGTAGTGTGCATCCTCTTAACTGCTACACAGCACTGCGCGGGAAGTAGTTAAGGGAGCAGAGAGGCACAGGTCTGGACCTAGGAGCCTCCAGGAAGTTCCAAAGAGCTGGCACAGCCTCCAAGTGCTGTGGTTCCAGCCCTCATTTTTGGCTTTTGGGTCCCATTACAGGGAAAGAACATCAGGGGGTCCAGAGGCAGCCGACTTCTCTGACCAGCTGTCGTTAGGAAGCAGCAGGGTCCCTCGGTGTGGGCAAGGGACTCTGCTGGCTCAGGCCTGCCAGGACCTCCCCAGCATCCGCAACTGCTACCTGACTCATTGCTCGCCAGCCCGAGCCAGTCTGCTGGCCTCCCAGGCTCTGCACCGAGGGGAGCTACAGCGAGTCCCAACCCTGCTACTGCCCATGCCTACGGAGCCGCTGCTGCCCACCGACTGGCCCTTCCTGCCACTGATTCGCCTCTACCACCGGGCTTCAGACACCCCCTCGGGACTCTCTCCCACAGACACCATGGGCACAGCCATGCGGGTCCTGCAGTGGGTGCTAGTTTTGGAGAGCTGGCGCCCCCAGGCTCTCTGGGCTGTGCCCCCTGCTGCCCGCCTGGCACGGCTCATGTGTGTGTTCCTGGTGGACAGTGAGCTGTTCCGGGAGTCCCCAGTACAGCATCTGGTGGCAGCCCTCCTCGCCCAGCTCTGTCAGCCTCAAGTCTTGCCAAACCTCAACCTGGACTGCCGACTCCCTGGCCTGACGTCTTTCCCTGACCTCTATGCCAACTTCCTGGATCATTTTGAGGCTGTCTCTTTTGGGGACCACCTCTTTGGGGCCCTGGTCCTCCTGCCCCTGCAGCGTCGGTTCAGTGTCACCTTGCGCCTTGCCCTCTTTGGGGAACACGTGGGAGCCTTGCGAGCTCTGAGCCTGCCTCTGACCCAGGTACTTTCTCAGCCCAGCAGGACCTGCAAGGGTACCCTGCACTGGGCCTCGGGGGCAGTCCTGAGCCTTGAGGAGCTTTGGAAGACCTCAGCTTCCTCATCTTACCTCTTGGGGGCTTTGAGGGGATTAAGAGAATCAATGAAAAGGGCTTAACATGGGCTGGGTGTGGTGGCTCACGCCTGTAATTCCATCACTCTGGGAAGCTGAGGTGGGTGGATCACTTAAGGTCAGGAGTTTGAGACCAGCCTGGGCAACATAGTGAAACCCCATTTCTACTAAAAATACAAAACTTAGCTGGGCGTGGTTGCGGGTGCCTGTAGTCCCAGCTACTCAGGAGGCTGAGGCAGGAGAATCGCTTGAACCCGGGAAGCGGAGGCTACAGTGAGCCGAGATCGCGCCACTGCACCCCAGCCCAGTGACAGAGCAAGACCCTGTCTCAAAAAAGAAAAAAGGAAAGGGTTTAACCTGGTGTCTGGCATATAGTGGGTATTCATTACTATTAATAAGGCATAGCTCCTTGCTTATCAGTGCTACAATCTAGATAAGAAGAGATTTACTGAAAACCTACATAGTTGTGAATTATTCAGATGCTAGGTGGTATCAGGATTCAGAGAAGGGAAAGATCAAATTGGGCTTTGTGGAAGAAGTGGGGATTGACCCAGGCACTGTAGGTTGGGTAGAATTTGAATTGGTGAGGAGGTAGAAAGGCAGGAGATTCCTAACAGAATAACATAAGCAAAAGGAGCATGACAAAGGGCAGAAGGAGGGAGGAGAGATTTCTGTTGGGAACTTAAGGCTAAAAATAAGAAGTGAAGTCTGAGAGGGCCTCAAATATTAGGCTAAGGACTTAAATTTATAAGCTGTAAAGAGTTACTATGTTTGCCAGGTGCGGTGGCTCATGCCTGTAATCCCAGCACTTTGGGAGGCCGAGGTGGGCGGATCATTTGAGGTCAAGAGTTTGAGACCAGCCTGGCCAACATGGTGAAACCGTCTCTACTAAAAAAAAATACAAAAAATTAGCCGGGTGTCGTGGTGCATGCCTGTAATCCCAGCTACTCCGGAGGCTGAGGCAGGAGAATCGCTTGAACCCAGGAGGCAGAGGTTGCCATGAGCCGAGATCATACCACTGCACTCCAGCCTGGGCAACAAGAGTGAAACTCCATCTCAAAAAAGAAAAATAAAAAAGAGTTACTGTGTTATGGCTGCGTGAGGTGGCTCATGCCTGTAATCCAACATTTTGGGAGGCCAAGGTGGGAGGATTGCTTGAGGCCAAGAGTTTCTGACCAGCTTGGGCAAGAAAGCTAGACACCATCTCTACAAAAAATTATTGGAAAATTAGCCAGACCTGGTGATTTGCCCGTAGACCCAGTTACTCAGGAGCCTGAGGCAGGAGGATCACTTGAGCTCAGGAGGTTGAGGCTGCCAGTGAGCTATGATCACACCACTGCATTCCAGACTTGGAAATAGAACGAGACTCTATTAAAAAAAGAAGTTATTGTATTTTGTTTTTTGTTTTTAAGATTTTGGGTTTTTGTTTTTGTTTTTGAGACAGAGTCTCGCTCTGTTGCTCAGGCTAGAGTGCAGTGGCCTGATGATCTTGGTTCACTGCAACCTCTAGCTCCCAGGTTCAAGCGATTCTCCTGCCTCAACCTCCTGAGTAGCTGGGATTACAGGCACACAGCACCATGCCTGGCTAATTTTTTTTTTTTTTTGAGACGGAGTCTTGCTCTGTTGCCCAGGCTGGAGTGCAGTGGCGCGCTCGGCTCACTGCAACCTCCGCCCCTGGGTTCAAGCGACTCCCCTGCTTCAGCCTCCCAAGTAGCTGGGACTACAAGCACCCACCACCATGTCCAGCTAATTTTTGTATTTTCGGTAGAGATGGGGTTTCACCATGTTGGCCAGGCTGGTCTTGAATTCCTAATTTCGTGTGATCCGCCTGCCTCAGCCTCCCAAGTGCTGAGATTACAGGCGTGGCCCACTACACATGGCCAATTTCATGCTTTTTAATGGCTGCTTCTCAGTTCCCAGTTTTCCCCAACATCTGCTCTGTAGTCTTTAACCCTGATCCTTGTGCTAGAAGGACAGATGTTTGTCTAGGACCTGATCTCTGCCCTCATGATTTGGTTTCATGTGATCGTTATCCACACACCTTATGTATGTATATACATTCCTACCCTCCCCCTCAGCACGTCATTTCCCCTGTCACAGTTGCCTGTGTCCCTGGAGTGTTACACAGTGCCTCCTGAAGACAACCTGGCCCTCCTTCAGCTCTACTTCCGGACCCTGGTTACTGGTGCGCTCCGCCCACGTTGGTGCCCCGTGCTCTATGCTGTGGCTGTGGCTCATGTCAATAGCTTCATCTTCTCTCAGGACCCACAGAGCTCAGTAAGTTACATCTCCATCTTCAGAGGAAGGAAGGGAGCTAGCAATTGAGCTGCCTCTGGGCCAGCTGGGGAAGAGGTAAGTGTCAAGCAAGGCCAGTGGTGGGTACCAGCCCTCGGCTCAGTGCCACCTCTCCCTGTTCTGCTTCTAGGATGAGGTCAAAGCTGCCCGCAGGAGTATGCTGCAGAAAACATGGCTGCTGGCAGATGAGGTAGGGTCAGGGCCATTAGGAGGGTGGGATATTAGAGGATCTTGGGGGACAGAGACCACAACAGGATCTCATTACCCACTTCATAAGTTTTCTTTCCTTTCTGCAGGGTCTCCGGCAGCACCTCCTGCACTATAAGCTTCCCAATTCCACGCTCCCAGAGGGCTTTGAGCTCTATTCTCAGTTGCCCCCTCTGCGTCAGCACTACCTCCAGAGACTGACTTCAACAGTGCTCCAAAATGGGGTATCAGAGACCTAGGATAGTTGATATAGATGGAAAGATGGGTACGTTGTCCTGTATCCAGCCTTTCAACAGATGTCTGGCCAGACGAAGAACATTGTGTCCTAATGGTAGGCAGGAGACCAAGGAGCAGAAGGCTTGCCTTCCTGGGAGCAGGTTGTTTGAGCTGTTTTAGAGCAGTGAGCCCTACCATTACATCCTGATATCTGGGGCTTCTGAAGGTCTGTACTGGGAGTGAAGAGTGGCTTAGCTATTTACCCGCTCTTTGGGGACAGGGCAAACTAAATGCATCCCTTCTTACCTAACTCCCAACCCCTGCCCTGGGCTGAGGCATATGAATGCTATAGTTGTGCATTAAAATAAATGTTTTTTATCTCCTGGAAATTTGATCTGGACTGATTTCAGCCATGTTAGTTCAGGGTTAGTATCTGGGGGTGGGTTATCCCAGGTGAGGAGCAGGACTGCTGTGAGAGAGATGGGGAAGAATCATAAGTGGGAGGTAAAAACTTTGTCCACATCTGGAGACAACAAGAATGTGGGGCCTGCCAGGCACAGTGGTACACACCTGTAGTCCCAACTACTTGGGAGGCTGAGGCAGGATGATCACTTGATTCCAGGAATTCAATTCCAGCCTAGCCAACATAGTGAGACCCCATGTCTGTCTGTCTGTCGGTCGGTCGGTCTGTCTATCTATCTATCTATCTATCTATCTATCTATCTATCTATCTATTTCTGAGACAGGGTCTTGCTCTGTTGCCCAGGCTGGAGTGCAGTGGCGTGATCATAGCTCACTGCAGCCTCGACCTCCTGGGCTCAAGCCATTCTCCCACCTCAGCCTCCTGAGTGGCTGGGACCACAGGCAAGTGCCACCACGCCTGGCTAATTTTTTGTATTTGTAGAGACGGAGTTTCACCATGTTGCCCAGGTTGGTCTTGAATTCCTGAGCTCAAGCAATCCACCCACCTCAGACTCCCAAAGTGCTAAGATTACAGGCATGAGCCGCTACACTTGGCCTATTTTGGTAGTTTCTACATTGTTCTTTGGTCTGAATTCTAAACTTTAGGCTTTCTTAGACTGTCTTTTGCTGTGTGGATTACTTATTGTGTTTGCAAGTAACCAGAGTCAGAGCAGTGTGCCAAGGCCTAGCCCTGTCAGTAGGTAGAGAGAACCCAGTCTTCATAAATGGAGCTGCTGAACACAGAATTATCCAATAGGTTTTTTTGGGTTTTTTTTTTTTTTTTTTTGACACGAAGTCTTGCTCTGTTGCCCAGGCTGGAGTGCAGTGGGGCAATCTCAGCTCACCACAACCTCCCCCTCCCTAGTTCAAGCCATTCTCCTGCCTCAGCCTCCCAAGTAGCTGGGATTACAGGCGCGTGCCACCACGCCTGGCTAATTTTTGTATTTTTAGTAGAGATGGGGTTTTGCCATGTTGGCCAGGCTGGTCTTGAACTCGAACTCCTGACCTCATGATCCGCCCGCCTCAGCCTTCAAAAGTGCTGGTATTACAGGCATGAGCCACTGGGCCCAGCCTTTTTTTCTTTTTTTTTTTTGAGACAGAGTCTTACTCTGTAGCCCAAGCCAGAGTGTAGTGGCATGATCTTGGCTCACTGCAACCTCCGTTTCTGAGGCTCAAGTGATTCTCATGCCTCAGCCTCCCGAGTAGCAGGGGCTACAGGCATGCACCACCACACCGGGCTAGTTTTTTGTATTTTTATTAGAAGCGGTGTTTTGCCATGTTGCCCAGGGTGGTCTCAGACTCCTAAGCTCAGGCAATCCGCCCACCTCAGCCTCCTAAAGTGCTGGGATTATAAGTGTGAGCCACAGCATGTGGCCCCAATAGGTTTTATTAAGCAACTACTGTATCAGCAAATACCAATGATTCTCAAACTTTGTGACAAAAATCATCTGGAGGATATTTTAAAACAGATCACTGGGTCCTACCACCAGAAGCTGCTGATTCAGTACATCTGGGGTGAAACCCAAGAATCTGCATTTCTAACAAGTTCCCAGGTAATACTGATGCTGATGTTCAGAACAAACCACACAACCACAATTTGAAGAGCAGTGGCTTAAAGAGACTTTGCAAGGTAAATTCTGTGATCTCATAGTGTGATATCTAGTGTTAAGTAGGGCATAGAGACCAGGGTTTTTTTGTTTTTTGTTTTTTTTGAGATGGAGTCTCACTCTGTCACCCAGGCTGGAGTGTAGTGGTGCAATCTCGGCTCACTGCAACCTCTGCCTTCCAGGTTCAAGCAATTCTCTGCCTCAGCCTCCCAAGTAGCTGGGATTACAGGCACCTGCCACCACGCACGGCTAATTTTTGTATTTTTAGTAGAGACGGGGTTTCACCATCTTAGCCAGGCTGGTCTTGAACTCCTGACCTTGTGATCCACCCCACCCCCACCGTCCCCTTGGCCTCCCAAAGTGCTGGGATTACAGGTGTAAGCCACCACGCCTGGCTGAGACCAGACTTTTTACAAAATCACTGTTCTGTTTACACCTTGAATTATACTCAGACTTTACCAAGTAGCTAACTACTATAACTTCTCTTTTGAAGTATTTTGTATTAAACATAGGTCTCAGACTTTCAAGTTAGGATTTTTTTTTTTTTTTTTTTTTTGAGATGGGGCTTTGCTCTTGTTGCCCAGGCTGGAGTGCAATGGTGCGATCTCGTCTCTGCAACCTCTGCCTCCCAGGTTCAAGCCATTCTCCTGCCTCAGCCTCCAGAGTAGCTGGGATTACAGGCGTGCGCTACCACGTGTGTCTGATTTTGTATTTTTAGTAGAGACGGGATTTTGCCATGATGGTCTAGCTAGTCTCGAACTCCTGACCTCAGGTGATCTGCCCGCCTCAGCCTCCCAAAGTGCTAGGATTACAGGCATGAACCACCGCACCCGGCAAATGATCATTTAAGCAAATGATCGAAGACTCAAGACACAAAACTACCTGAAGGGAGTGGCTCCCACATTTGTAGGGTACCTTACAGAGCAATTTCCCTTCATATGATTTTGCAGGTGGTGGGGAAACTCTCAGGGCAGTTGTGGCCTGTGCTACATCACCCATTGACCAGAGGTGCCAGTACTAGTGCTCAAGATCAATCGATCGATCGGTCTACCTACCTATCATCTATTGACCTTCAGTGCTACTAAAAACACTCGGATCTTCTAACGTCTGGTCCAGTCTTTCACCCCATCACAGTGAGAGGCTGTGCACAGGGGTAACACAGGCAACGGAATTATATGAGGCAAACACAGAGATCCAGGTTTCTGGGAGTAGCAATGAGGTTCAGCCTTGCAGTCACAAAGGCACCACTAAAAGGCACAAGTAATGGCAGGTAATGAGGCCTTACTTGGAGCAGTTTAGAGTACTTCCCACGTGTGGTGACGCATGCCACACACTCACCACCACCACCACTGCCACAAATGAAGTGCACACTCCACTGCTCCTGTCCTCAGGAACCTGGAAGCCCCCACCTGGTGTCCGAGGTGTGGCTCCCACTTTAAGCGTGGGGCACCTCCTCTCCGGCCTCAAACCTACCGGAGCTCCCAGCAGGCTGCGGCACATCTGACGGCTGGAAACTAGAACCCCTGGGTGGGGACTCCTTAAGGCTCCTCCCGGAAGCGTAGGGACCTCGCTGCCCACACGCCCCTCCCTTTCCTCCTCTGGCGTCCTGGGGTCTGAGGTGGGCGTGGCCAGACCAGCTTTAGGTCCGGGGAGTGTCTCGCCAGCGGCAGCACACCCCTGTAAGTGGTGGCCAGGGCTGCCGTGGCAAAATGAGCTGTCAACTTTAGGTTGACAGGGGTGTGGCCGCGACCGCAAGGGCTTTTGTTGCCGGGTGGACCCAACAGGGATGGGCTGCTGGGGACAGCTGCTGGTGTGGTTCGGAGCCGCGGGTAAGTGCTATCTGGCGGTCAGGGGACCGTCCAGCCTGAGGCACTTTCCTAGGCTTGGGGGTGGCCGGTCAACAGGCCAGGTGTCAGTGGTTCCTCCAGAGGCCTCGAACTCTCACAGCCAAATTTCTCCGGTCCGTGCTTCTGGAGTGCGGGCCGAGAAGCGCCAAGTGCGTGCGAATCCCAGAGTCTGGATCACGCAGCTTGGGAAGGAGGAACATTCTTTGGGGTCTCAGCACCGCCTTGGGGCGGGGCCACCAATCTAAGTTGAGGAAAGCATTGGGGAGGCTGCAGGACCAAATTCATTGCGGCCCCTAAGTTATTCACTGGGAAAGGCGCTCGAGGAGAGAAACTGGCAGACCTATCAGCGCGCACCCGCGGGGCTTCTGCGACCGGAGTCGGGTAGTGGCTTCCAGGCTGAGAGCGCGGCTGGGCCGGGTGACGGGTGTGGCCGCGACCGCAAGGGCAGCTGTTGCGGGGTTCTCTCTTTCTTTCATATCCTATTTCCACCCGCCTTAACGTCCTGCGCCTTCTCCCAACACCTTTCAGGCGCCATTCTCTGCTCTAGCCCGGGGTCCCAGGAGACTTTTCTGCGGTCCTCGCCCCTGCCGCTGGCAAGTCCCAGCCCCCGGGACCCGAAAGTCAGCGCCCCGCCTAGTATCTTGGAGCCAGCCTCCCCGCTGAATTCTCCGGGTGAGCTTTAGACGCCTCCTTCCTCTTTCGCTCACCATACCAGACCCCTCTGGCCCAGCCAGGGGCTCGACGACCCTTGCCTCGCTCCTTGCTCTCAGGCACCGAGGGGTCTTGGCTGTTTTCTACCTGCGGGGCCAGCGGCCGGCATGGGCCCACACAGACACAATGTGACGGGGCGTACGCGGGGACCAGCGTGGTGGTGACCGTGGGGGCCGCCGGGCAGCTGAGAGGCGTGCAGCTGTGGCGCGTGCCGGGCCCTGGCCAGTATCTGTAAGTGCACGGCGGAGGTAGGGTGGACAGTGACCTGCTAGTTGGAGGTTTCACCCTCAGGGTAACGAAGTCCACGTGCGCACCGACTTGCGTCTTGGACTATTCCGCGGGGAGGTCCACCTTGAGTGCCCTTCAAGGTGGCAGTAGTCGCCACCGAGTTAGCCCTTACCCGGAACCTCTTACACCGAGCGGAAGGCCCCCAACCAGGGCGGCGCCAAGGGGTGCTTGAGCCTCCCCACATTTCCACGAACCCTCCTGAAATAAGTGTAATATCTGATTTTTCGGTGTGCAAACCTACCCTTCCCATCCCGTCAGAGTCGATTGCAGCCTCCAAGTCCCTCAGATAAAAAATAATTCTGGAGCCTCCTCTGTCGCCAACTTCTGCCCGGAGCGGCCGGCCTGAGCACCGAAGGCCGGGGACTCACCGTCCGTTCCCCGCAGGATCTCAGCCTACGGAGCCGCGGGCGGCAAAGGCGCCAAGAACCACCTGTCGCGGGCGCATGGCGTCTTCGTCTCAGCAATCTTCTCCCTCGGTCTCGGGGAGTCGCTGTACATCCTGGTGGGGCAGCAGGGAGAGGACGCCTGTCCCGGAGTGAGCGCAGCCAGTGGGGATGGGGCGGCGCCGGCGCCGGGGGCGAGGGCTGCCTGGGGGCCGGGGGAGCGTGCTTTCCTCGGTGCCGGGTCACCAGCACAGCGAGGGGAGGCTCCCGGGCCCCGCCGATTCCCTCCCCCGCTGCCCGCAGGGTAGCCCGGAGAGCCAGCTCGTCTGCCTCGGGGAGTCTCGAGCCGTTGAAGAGCACGCGGCGATGGATGGGAGCGAAGGGGTCCCGGGGTCGCGGCGCTGGGCGGGAGGTGGCGGGGGTGGCGGGGGCGCCACCTACGTTTTCCGGGTACGTGCTCCCTTCGGCGCTCAGCGTTGGGGTCCCAATCCTCTCCCCAGGGGCGCTCACGCACCGGCTCTCCGTCCGTCCCTTGGGGTCCCCCTATCCCTGCGCTGGGCTGGGCTGGCCTGGGCTGGGCTGGGGGCCCCTGCCCTTATCCAGGCCCCCTGGGCGGGAGCCCTCTCCCAGTGGCAGTGCCCCTGGACAGCTGGAGGGCGCTTCCTGGAACACGCCGCTGGCCCCACAGGTGCGCGCTGGCGAGCTGGAACCGTTGCTGGTGGCGGCCGGAGGCGGCGGTCGGGCCTACCTGAGGCCGCGGGACCGAGGCCGGACTCAGGCCTCCCCCGAGAAACTGGAGAACCGCTCGGAGGCGCCCGGGAGCGGCGGGAGAGGCGGGGCGGCAGGTGAGGGCGCGGGCCGCGGGGAGAGGCGGGCGTGCTCCCCGTGTGGCTGCCAACCTTCCTGCTGTCGCTCTGCAGGTGGTGGGGGCGGCTGGACGTCGCGGGCTCCCTCTCCGCAGGCCGGCCGCTCACTGCAGGAGGGGGCGGAGGGCGGCCAGGGCTGCTCCGAGGCTTGGGCGACCCTTGGCTGGGCCGCGGCCGGCGGCTTCGGGGGCGGCGGCGGGGCCTGCACTGCGGGCGGAGGCGGCGGCGGCTACAGGGGTAGGTGCACCGTTGGAGAGGGCAGCTGAGCAGGCCCGAGGGTGAGGTGATGTTAGAACCTAAGTACAGGCCGGAGCCCTCGGGAGGATAGGTGTGGGAGAGGCATTAAGCCCTGCTCAGCAGCTCCAAACAAAAAGCAGGAGCTCTTAGAAAAGGAGGTCAAATACACTGCAAATCAGCATGCAGACAGGACTCCCTAGATTTCCGTTTAATCCAGGATCTTTCCCATCACAGCAGGTCCCTGCCTTGTTCTGCAGCAGTCTTCAGAACTTAGAGCTGGCCGAGTGAGCAAGCTGAGCAAAGGGGCAGAAAGGCAGGATTGGGTTAAGTCAGTGGTTCTCAAAGTGTGGTCCAGGAACAGGTAATATCCCCACAACCTAAGTTGTTCGAAATGCACATTATCAGCTGGGCCTGGTGGCTCACGCCTGTAATTCTAGCACTCTGGGAGGCCAAGGCAGGTGGATCACCTGAGGTCACCAGTTCGAGACCAGTCTGGCCAACCTGTGAAACCCTGTCTGTACTAAAAATACAAAAATTAGCCGGGCGTGGTGGCGGGAGCCTGTAATCCCAGCTACTCTGGAGGCTGAGGCAGGAGAATTGCTTGAACCTGGGAGGCGGAGGTTGCAGTGAGCCGAGATCACTCCATTGCACTTCAGCCTGGGCGACAAGAGGGAAATTCTGTCTCAAAGATTAAAAAAAAAACAATGGAAATTATCCTGGGAGTTGGGGGAAGGTTGGGGAGATGCTGGTCAAAACAATGCAAAATGGCAGTTAAATAGGAGGAATACCTTCCAGAATCTACTGTACTACATGGTGACTGTAGTTAATGACGATGTATTCTTGAAAATCGCTAAGAGAGGCGGGGCGCGGTGGCTCACGCCTGTAATCTCAACACTTTGGGCGGCGGAGGCGGGTGGATCTTGAGGTCAGGAGTTTGAGGCCAGCCTGGCCAATATGGTGAAACCCCCATCTGTACTAAAAATACAAAAATTAGCCGGGCGTGGTGGCATATGCCTGTAGTCCCAGCTACTCGGGAAGCTGAGACAGGAAAATCGCTTGAACCCGGGAGGCGGAGGTTGCAGTGAGCCAAGATCGTGCCACTGCACTCCAGCCTGGGTGACAGAGCAAGACTCTGTCTCAAAAAAAAAGAAAAGAAAATTGGTAAGAGCGTAGATTATAGGTGTTCTTACCACAGAAAATAAGCATGTGAGGTGGTGTATATATTGGTTTGCATTAGCCATTGCACAGTGTGTACATATTTCAAAACATCATGCTGTATACAATAAATATATGAATTTTTTTTTTAGATGGAGTCTGGCTCTGTTGCCCAGGCTGGAGTGCAGTAGTACAAATCTCAGCTCACTGCAACCTCCGCCTCCCGGGTTCAAGCAATTCTCCTGCCTCAGCCTCCTGAGTAGCTGGGATTATAGGCATGCGCCACCATGCCCGGCTAATTTTTGTATTTTTAGTAGAGATGGGGTTTCACCATGTTGGTCAGGCTAGTCTCGGACTCCTGACCTCGTAATCCGCCCATGTCGGCCTCCCAAAGTGCTGGGATTACAGGCGTGAGCCACCACACCTGGCCCTGAATTTTTATTTTTAATTAAAAATTAATTTTTAAAAAGAAATGCGAATTCTCAGCCCTTCTCTAACATACTGAATCAGAAACTGTAAGGGAGAGTCCCAGTCATCTGTGTTTTGATCAAATAACTAGTGTAAATGCCTTTGTGCCTGTCTGGGCTGTACTGCTCATACATACACACATGATCTACATTCTCACAGAAAGGGACTGTGAGGACATGGGACAGGAGGGGCTCAGGCAGGCAGGAGGCATCCCAGCCAGCCTCAGCGAGGCCTTCAGGCTCCAGCTGATTACCCCCTCCTCACCTCCTTCACTCCCACTTGTGAACAGACAGCATTTGCATCATGATGCTGGAGAAGAGAGGGCCACACTGGGATTTCCACCGGGAGATTCCAGCTTCTCCCCCATCCCCCATTTTTGTAGTCAAACTCTCCATCACTCTCCACTTCCAGGGGGCGACGCTTCAGAGACTGACAACCTCTGGGCTGATGGGGAAGATGGAGTATCCTTCATACACCCCAGCAGCGAGCTCTTCCTGCAGCCTCTGGCAGGTATTGGCCCCAACCCCACCTCTGAGCCTGGCCTGGACTTCTTCCGCAGTCCCTGAGCCCACTCCTGCACTGCACTGAAGAGCCACCTGCACTGTGAATAACCTTGCATAGCACAGGATTCTTGCATAGCATAGGGTCATTTGAAAAGTGGGCTGTCATCATGCCATTGCACTCCAGCCTGGGCGACAAGAGCAAAACTCTGTCTTAAAAAAAAGGAAAGTGGGCTGCCAGTCGTGCTGGATGGCAATGCAGGGCATGCTGCGTGCTTTTCAAGTACCCCCTTGCTATGAATTCGCTTCAAATACCTGGGAGTGTGCAGGCTTGACAGAAGTCCCCCAGCTTCTCTCACCACCCTTGTAAGCTTGGTGCTGCTCTTTGCTCTAAAGTCCTGGGCTAGAATTAACCATGTGGCTGGAAAAGGCATGTATTTATTTATTTATTTATTTATTTATTTATTTATTTATTTTTATTTTTGAGACAGAGTCTCGCTCTGTCACCCAGGCTGGAGTGCAGTGGTGCGATCTTGGGTCACTGCAACCTCCGCCTCCCGGGTTCAAGTGATTCTGCAGCCTCAGTGCTGGAGTAGCTGGGATTGCAGGCGTGCGCCACCACACCCGGCTAATTTTGTATTTTTAGTAGAGGCGGGGTTGGCCAGGCTGGTCTTGAACTTCTGACCTCCGGTGATCCGCTCACCACGGCCTCCCAAAGTGCAATGATTATAGGCGTGTGCCACTGTACCCAGCCAAAGGCATGTATTTACTATATCCCAGCCCTACCACACCATATCATATCAGTTCTTTTACTCACAGTCACCGAGAACCACGGAGAGGTAGAGATCCGAAGGCACCTCAACTGCAGTCACTGCCCTTTGAGAGACTGCCAATGGCAGGCAGAGCTCCAGCTGGCTGAATGCCTGTGCCCAGAAGGCATGGAGCTAGCTGTGGATAACGTCACCTGCATGGGTATGTCCTACCTTTGCCCAAGGTCTGGACTCCTGGGGTCACAGACTGGGAGGAGCAGTAGGCCACTGGGAAAGATGGTATAGAGATTTGCTGTGTGCCAGGCCCTGTGGTGGGTGCTGGGCAGGGGATTGGAGATTCATCGGTGCACAGTGCCTTTCAGAGGCCTGTCGTCCAGTGTGGGAGGATGTTTAGATATAGCTATGTAAATGTATATCTCAAGTGACGATTGTTGTGGGAGGTATAAAGTGCTTTAGGGGTGTTCAAGAGGGAGAGGTTGCTTTTGCCCAGGATAATGGGGGAAGGCATCATGGAAAAATTAACACTTGAGCTGAGTCTTGAAGCGTGGGTAAAACTTGAGGGTAAAGGAACAGAGAAGACCTTCCCACTGGAGGTGTCTCTCTTTCTCCCTAGACCTGCACAAGCCCCCAGGCCCTCTGGTTCTGATGGTGGCTGTGGTGGCAACCTCAACACTGAGCCTCCTTATGGTGTGTGGGGTCCTGATTCTGGGTACGAAGCGTCTAGCAGGCACAGTTGATTCAAGGCTGCTCCTCTCCAGTGAGCTGGGATGGGTTTCTGCGGGGTCCCGGGGCTGACTTCAAGACCACTCACCGCAGCAGAGCCGTGGTAGACTCCTCTGGGATTCTAAGATAGGAAGGAGCTGGGGAGGCCTGGGGAAAACGTTTACCTTAATGAGCATCTGGAGGGGTGTCCTGGGCAGGTGGGGGAGGGAGAGTTGATGGGCAGGTGGAGGGTGTGCCGTTATTCTTCCCACCCCCAGTGAAGCAGAAGAAGTGGCAGGGCCTGCAGGAGATGAGGCTGCCGAGCCCTGAGCTTGAGCTGAGCAAGCTTCGAACCTCTGCCATCAGGACAGCCCCCAATCCCTATTATTGCCAGGTGGGGCTTGGCCCGGCCCAGTCCTGGCCTCTGCCACCAGGTGTCACCGAGGTTTCCCCAGCCAATGTTACTCTGCTCAGGTAAGTCTTCTGCCTCCTTCTGAGAACCTATGCACTCTGAATCCCCACCTCTGATTCTCTCCCTGCTGTAGTGAATTATAAGTCCCAGAAAAAATCTGGCCCACATCCCTTGTGTAAGGGAGAGGGAGGCCCTGAGAAGCTCCAGAAGGGGAAGTAACTTGCTCAATGTCACCTCTCCGTCCCAGTTCTTAGAATATGATCTCTCAGCTGGGCGTGGTGGCTCACACCTGTAATCCCAGAACTTTGGGAGGTCGAGGCAGGCAGGTCACCTGAGGTCGGGAGTTCGAGACCAGCCTGACCAACATGGAGAAACCCCATCTCTACTAAAAATACAAAATTAGCTGGGCATGGTGGCGCATGCCTGTAATCCCAGCTACGTGGGAGGCTGAGGCAGAAGAATCACTTGAACCTGGGAGGCGGAGGTTGTGGTGAGCCGAGATTGCGCCATTGCACTCCAGCCAGGGCGACAGAGTGAGACTCTGTCTCAATAAAAAAAAAATATGATCTGGCGCCTGTAATCTCAGCACTTTGGGAGGCCAAGGCAGGTGGATCACCTGAGGTCAGGGGTTCGAGACCAGCCTGGCCAACATGGTGAAACCCTGTGTCTACTAAAAACACAAAAAATAGCTGGGCGTTGTGGCGCTTGCCTGTAGTCCCAGCTACTCGGGAGACTGAGGCAGGAGAATCACTTGAACCCGAGAGGCAGAGGTTGCAGTGAGCCGAGATCGCGCTATTGCACTCCAGCCTGCATGACAGAGTGAGACTTCGTTTAAAAAAGAAAAAAAATCATGACTCTTGGAGCCCAGGGATTGCCTCCCGCCCAGGGCGTCTGCAGGGACCAGGGAAGTCCTCATCATGCACTCCCACCTTGACTCTGGCCCGCATCTGCCCTCTTTTTTGCCCTGGCTCTATGCCAGTGAGCACCACCCTTGCAGGGCTTCTACCTGGGGACATGCCATGGTATGGAGAGAGTCTATATAGGGTCAGCTGGGCATATGGCAGGGGCAGGGGAGGTAAAGGGGGTACTAGACTCTCTAGGACTCTTCTCCAGGCCGCCTGCCCACTCCCTTCCAACGTGTCTTCCTGCAGAGCCCTGGGCCATGGTGCCTTTGGGGAGGTGTATGAGGGACTGGTAATTGGCCTTCCTGGGGACTCCAGTCCCCTGCAGGTAGCTATCAAGGTGAGAGGAGTGGGACTTCTGGCTGGGGGTAGGAGAGCGGAACACCCTGAAGGGAAGGACAATGACTAGAGCTAGGGTTAACCCCCTCTCCTGAAGCGTGCAGGGCAGCTCAGAAACTGTGCCCTTTTCCTCCCCAGACCCTGCCAGAACTCTGCTCGCCTCAGGATGAGCTGGATTTCCTCATGGAGGCCCTCATCATCAGGTGCACCTGGGACCAGGGGCAGGGCTGGAAGGCGGGAGGGGAATGCCCGGGAACAGTTTCTCTTCACCCTGAGGCTGAGGTAGCAAGTCAGGGGACACAGAGGGCCTCTCCAGCTTTGTGGAGCCTAAAACATGGTTTCCGTCTCCCTCCTGGTAACGGGATATGTCCCCCACCCCACTCAGCAAGTTTCGCCATCAGAACATTGTGCGGTGTGTGGGGCTCAGCCTCAGGGCCACCCCTCGCCTCATTCTGCTGGAACTGATGTCTGGAGGGGACATGAAGAGTTTCCTGAGGCACAGTCGGCCACACCTGGTGAGACCCTTGTCTTAGCCCCCCCAGGCCCCTCTAAAGACCCTGTCCATGTGTCTGAGACCTACATGGACTGATGCCCCCTCTGCCTGACCCAGGGCCAGCCATCACCTCTGGTCATGCGGGACCTGCTGCAACTGGCCCAGGACATAGCCCAGGGCTGCCACTACCTGGAGGAAAATCACTTCATCCACAGGTTAGGAGCAGTCCTGGCTCAGGGGACCCCCATCCCAACTCCCTCCCCAAGGAACAGCCCTTCCACACAGCTTTTAAGGAAATAGATCAGGAAGAGCAAGAACTTCTAGATTCTGGCAGTGATTTTTTTTGCCTACTCTGTAGGGATATTGCCGCCCGGAACTGCCTGCTGAGCTGCGCTGGACCCAGCCGAGTGGCCAAGATTGGGGACTTTGGGATGGCACGAGATATCTACCGGTGCGGGACTTGGGAGGTGGGAAGGCTCTTGCTCCAAGGGGGTTTTCCCCGCACCTTGGTGGTGAACAACTCATCATTCACCTCCTCCCTCCTGTAGGGCCAGTTATTACCGCAGGGGGGACCGGGCCTTGCTCCCAGTCAAGTGGATGCCCCCAGAGGCCTTCCTGGAGGGCATCTTCACATCCAAGACAGATTCCTGGTGATAACACCCTTCCCCTCCCCTTCCCCACTGTTCCCCTCCCCTGAGGCTAATCCTGTCCTTTCCAGCCACCTCATGTGAGGGGAGGCTACACCTGACGGGCCTCACTTGGTTCCCCCACTTGTGATGCAGGTCTTTTGGGGTGCTGCTCTGGGAGATCTTCTCACTGGGCTACATGCCCTATCCTGGGCGCACCAACCAGGAGGTGCTGGACTTCGTCGTTGGAGGAGGCCGGATGGACCCTCCTAGGGGCTGCCCAGGGCCTGTGTGAGTTGAGTGCTGCCCGGGAAGGGAGGTCCTTCACAACCATGGGTGGGCATGAACTCCTGCCTCTCCCCAGGTACCGCATCATGACCCAGTGTTGGCAGCACGAGCCTGAGCTCCGCCCTAGCTTTGCCAGCATCTTGGAGCGTCTGCAGTACTGCACTCAGGTGTGCCCCCGACCTAATCTAACATCCTGGTCTTGTGGGTCAGGAGGGAGGGCCAGAAAACTCTATGCCCCCCTGCTCCCTGACTCTTCCATTACAGGACCCGGATGTGCTGAATTCACTCCTGCCAATGGAGCTGGGGCCCACCCCAGAGGAGGAAGGGACTTCTGGGCTGGGGAACAGATCTTTGGAGTGCCTAAGACCCCCACAGCCCCAGGAACTGAGTCCAGAGAAGTTGAAAAGCTGGGGAGGTAGCCCTCTTGGCCCCTGGCTGTCCTCTGGCCTCAAGCCCCTCAAATCCAGGGGCCTCCAACCTCAGAACCTTTGGAATCCCACTTATCGCTCCTGAGCCCCAAGGGGCCCTGAGGGTAAGGACTGAGGCACTGAGGGTCCCTCCCTATACTCCTCAGGCTCCTGGGTGGCCTGTTATGCCAGCGGCCTCTGTTCCCTGCAGTCTGTGCTGTGTGTCTGGGCCTGTCTCGGGGCTGGCCTGGCAGCGCTGCACTTGCCATGCTGGAAACCAGCCCAGGCCTCCCAGGGAAGGGCCCAGCCACTTCCAGCTTTTGATCTTGGGGCCAGAGGCCGCCTTACACACACCCCAGGTGTCCATGGGGAGCACTGGATTGCTCTCCCATTATGAGCATCCTTCATCTGGGCAGACCCCCCACCCTGCAGATGCTTCTAATAAAAAGCTCTTCTCATCCTCCAGCGATCTGTGGATGCCAGGGACCGGAACTGAGGAAGAGGGGGCCGGAGGAGGGAGGGGCTGAGGCCTGAGGCACAGGAAGCTGCATCTTGTCTTTGAGTTTTATTAGGAAGGGGAGTCCGTCGTGGTGTGAGACGTTAGACCGGAAGGTCTGGGCTTGCTAAATAAAATCCGCGGTCTGGCACCTCTGGAGAGGGCAGAGCCTCCTCAGAAGAGCTGGCCTGAGGAAGAAGCCCTTTGCCCCCTCCCCTTCTATAAGTTAGTGTCATTTGGCTCTGGGAACGCTGGGGCCCGGGTGGGCAAAACCCCTGGCATCGGCGGTGCCCCCCCTTAGTGGCTGGCACCTGGTCCTGCAGGACCCGGTGAACTGCCCTGCACCGCGGGGCTCCAGTCTCAAGCCGGCATGCACAGTGGGGACAAAGCTGCAGGTCCACATGTCAGGTGAGCGGCCCGCGGGGACAGGAGTCCAGCCTCATCTCTCAGCCAGGCTGGCCAGGATGCCAATGAGATTGTCCAGCCCCAGCAAATAGCCGTCCTCGCGGTTGCCCTCCTCCCAGGGCCGCCGGTGGTCCAGGATCTGGCCATCGGGGAGGGGCGTGGTCTTGCCGAAGTCGATGAGCCACACGCCGGCGCGATGGCAGTGATCGTGCACAAAGAGGAGCGAGCTGCCGATCACCTGCGAGCCCCGCACCGTCAGGCCGCGGCCCTGCCCAGAGACGCCCTTGCCGGGTTCCCGCCCTAGCCCTCGCGGCCCGGGCACCCGGGCAGCCGCCGCTTACCTCGTGCCTCCTGAAGAACTCGGATACCTCCAGGGTGTCCCGGATCTGCTGCAGGCGGTTCAGATACCGCCTCTGCAGAGGGTGGGGTGGGAGAGGAGGGCAAATTAACTAAACGCCAAATGAGCCCCTGCTAACGATGAGGAGCCGGGACCCACGCTGTGCTTGGCAAATGCCGCCAGGAGGAGGACCCAGGGCCCCGCCCAGCGTGGCCCAGAAGGGAAGGAGCGTAGAGCAGTTGCGAGCCAGCGCGGTGAGGGCCATGGTGGGGACACAGCCGAGGGCACTGGGCCAGATGACAGGGGCAGTCCTCGGCTTCAGGCTCCCCAACACCTCAGGGTTTGGGATCCCGCTCTCACCAGCACTTCCTCATCTCCTTGCACAAACTCTTCAAAGACGCGAAGCACCTGCTCTCGGCTTCGCGTAGTCTTGAAGTCGGTGCTGCAGGAGCCGTCCGCTTTCTGGATGTGGGACAGGAGTGTCAGGGGCCCCGGGCCCGCCAGTGGGGAAGAGGACAGCGTAGAGCAGCGGTACCTCCCAGTTGCAGGGGACGGCGAGGCGGTGGGAGAGGGCGGAGGGGCAGGCGGGGCGGGAGCGGGGGATCGGGAAAGACAGCGCGCAGTGGGGCTGCGGCGGTGCCAGCGAAGCGCGCCTGCCTCACCTTGATGCCCTCGATGCGGAAGCCGAGGGTGGTGCTGGAGCTGATGCCTTCCCGCCACTGCATGTAGCGCGGCTTGGTGACGGCGCGCTGCGCGTGCTCCTCCTCCGTGGGAGCTTCAGGATCCACCGCCAGCATTTTCTTGTACATGTCCTTCCGCAGCTTGGGCCGCTCACGGGCCTTGGTCAGCTCCTCCTCTAGGTAAGTCCTGTGGGGGCGCAGGCAGCGGCCAGGGCATGAGGGGGCGCACACGGAGACCCCTTCGAGCACTCGCCCCGGGTCCCCCTCAAGCAGCTGTCCCGGCCCCGGACCCCTACTTGATCCCCCCAACCGACCTGGCAGGGCACGCATACCTGACGCCCATTTTGCAGTCGAGCACACAAGGTCCGTCGAAGCCATCGAGCAGGTCCTGCAGCTGCAGGTAGCTTTCGCCGTCGCGCTCCACCACGCCGTGGAAGGCAGGCACGCAGCCGCGCAGCGCGTCAGCCATCAGCCGCGCCAGGCAGTAGCGCTCCGGCTCCGAGCAGCGCTTCAGGATCAGCCCGCTGGTGCCCGCCGCCTTAAAACTCCCTGAGGACCGGCATCCGTCAGCGCCGCCCAGCCCCTTCCCGTCGCGGGCACCCGCCCACCCGCCCCACTGCTCACCAGTGTGCCCTGCCAGCTGCACCCAGGCGTAGCGCTTCTTGAAAGGGCTTATGACCGGCAGATTGACCATGGTCCGGATCTTCTGCCAGTGGTTTTTCTGAAAGCGACAGGGTCAAGGTCTGATAATCGGCGTCTCGGCAATGCATAAGCCCTCCCTCCACTGAAACAGGGTCTCGCCACGCCCCCGACCCACCGG
Source organism: Homo sapiens (assembly GCF_000001405.40). Taxonomy (NCBI): domain Eukaryota; kingdom Metazoa; phylum Chordata; class Mammalia; order Primates; family Hominidae; genus Homo; species Homo sapiens. The sequence goes on along the minus strand of NC_000015.10, from coordinate 41,501,363 downwards.
AAGCAGCTGGGGCTGGATGAGTCATTAATTCATTCATTCACTCTGGGAAGGTTTATTTGTGCGCCTGTGTGGCGGGTGCTGATACAGGCGCAGTGAAGGTGATTCCAGCGTCTCCAGTGAGCTGTCAAGAGCCTGGACTTAGCATCTGAAGCCCCCGGTTTGCGCTCCAGCTCTGCCACTGAAGAACGCGTGGGCAGGTTACGAAAATGCTCTGTCGAGGTTTTTGAACTGTTGTGAACATCGGAATTACCTGATGGTCACCCTTGTTAAAAATTGCAGATTATCAGGCCTACCGCAGGGATGTTCTAAGTTGGTCTAGAGTAGGGCCATTTTTTTTTTTTTTTTTTTTTTTTTTCAGATGGAGTCTTGCTCTGTCACCCAGGCTGGAGTGCAGTGGCGCGATCTGGCCTCACTGCAACCTCTACCTCCCGGGTTCAGGCGGTTCTCTTGTTTCAGCCTCCCGAGTAGCTGAGACTACAGGTGCACACCACTATGCCCGGCTAATTTTTTGTATTTTTAGTAGAGACAGGGTTTCACCATATTGGTCAGGCTGGTCTCCAACTCCTGATCTCAGGTGTTCCACCCACCTCAGCCTCCCAAACTGCTGGGATTACAGGTGTGAGCCACCAGGCCCGGCCCCCCAAATTTTTATTACTACCAATGCCTCAAAAGATTCCAGGGCCCAAGAAACAAGCCTCTGTGCATCTGTAAGAAAAAGATCTATAAAATGAGGAAATAACTATCCTTACTGGGTTGCTGTGAGTAGTACATAAGGCTTAAGCATGATAGGCGCCCAGCTCCCCCATCCCATTCCATGGTATGAGGCAGAAGCTGAACAAATCTCAATCACTGATTCCTTCACTCAGGACCTTGGTTCCTCTCATTTAGGGAGACAGACATACACAGAAACAAACCTGTACACAGGCCCAGGGCAGGAAGGCCAGCCTGGCAGGGCCTGGAGAAAGAACAGGGCTGGAGAAAGAAAAGGCTCTCCAAGCCTCTCTTGCTATCCCTGGATTCTATGCACTCATTAGCTGGCAAGGCCCAGGGCACCCTTGGTTTTTATCTGGACCTAGAAATCTTAAGCCATGAAAATAAGATGCCGGGCTGGGCGAGGTGGCTCATGCCTGTAATCCCAGCACTTTGGGAGACTGAGGTGGGCGGATCACAAGGTCAAGAGATCAAGACCATCCTAGCCAACATGGTGAAACCCCGTCTCTACTAAAAATACAAAAATTAGCCGGACATGGTGGCATGCGCCTGTGGTCCCAGCTACTTGGGAGGCTGAGGCAGGAGAATCGCTTGAATCTGGGAGGTGGAGGTTGCAGTGAGCTGTGATCGAGCCACTGCACTCTAGCCTGGCAGCAGAGTGAGACTCCGTCTCAAAAAAAAGAAAAAGAAAGAAAATAAGGTGCAAACCTGAGGGCCTGTCAACTTAGACAAACCTGGGAAGGAGACGAGGGTTGTTTTTTGTTTTTTGTTTTTTGTTTTTGTTTTTTTGGTGTGCCCCTTATCTCTTCTAGCCTCCAGCTAATCTTGAGAGCATCCCATCCTCTGGACCTCTCCTCTTACCACCCGCAACTCGGCAGCCCTGTGTCCTCTCTGAAGTACACAGGTTGGCTCATGTCAACTGTGTCTGCCGCCTCCCCACAGAGGCACTTGCCTTTTAGCACAGTTACACATGTTGTACCCCCAGAGGAATACACCTCCCTGACAAGAGGGAGTTCTAAGAGGGAGAGAGAGAACTGAGGAGGTGGCCTAAGTAGAAGAGGGCTGCTGACCATAAAGCCCTTTCCCATGGGGAGGAGATGGAAGTTATGGTAGAGCACTGGGTGGGAAGTCAGTAGTTGGTTCCAGTCATGGCTGTGTCACCTTCCAGCTGAGTGAACCCAACCAAGTACTGCCATCTGTGTGGGCCTGTTTCCCCTGGGAGGACATAGCTGCTGCCGTAACACGAACCATCAAATGCTACCTGCCTATTGCATGTCAGGCACTTTCTCATCTTCCATCAGGCAGCATTGCTCCCACTTTCCTACTGAAGCCCTTACATGGCACACTAGGGTGTGATCACGTGCCCAATCCCCAGGGATCTGGGGGTGTAGCCAGAAGCAGCCCACTAGAAGCATGACATCACTTTCAAAACTCCTTTTAAAATCTTTAAATACACACCAGGTTTGCATTCTGCTGCATAATAAATCCAAGTTTTATTATAAAACTCACCACCTCCAAACCCTCAAGTAAAATTCCAGGAAGATGATGTATGTGCCATGTATATTCAGCAGCACCATCCTGTACCCCCTTCTCCCACACTCAGTTTGAGAGCCATAATGAATGCACATGCATAGCAAGTGCGTGAAGTGGTATCATTCCCATTTTACAGAAGGAAATCAAGGGGAGTTACATCCCCTCATGCCCTGCCTCCAGCCTCCCAATCTCTGGCTGAAGCTATCAGCCCATCCTCCCTCCCCAAGTTCCAACTGCCCCAGCAGGTTCCAAAGTATCCCCAGCAGGATGCTACCATCCTGCCTCCCTTTGGGGGTTAAATGGGATGTGGCCTGAGAAAGTGCTTTGTGCGTGGTGAAGTGATGTGCAGCAATAAGGCAGTCTGAGTTTTGACTTCTGGGGAACACTGAGACCTGCCTGGGGGCCCTTCTCTACTGGATGGCCACCTTTGCCTTTATCCAAAAGAATGAGTTTAATGGCTGTAGGGACCTGCTAGAAGAATTTAGGGGATAGTGGGACCAGAATGGACTTAGTGAAGAGGAAACTTGCCTTGGGTTAGGCAGGGTGAGGGAACTGAACCATCCTTTTAGAACTGTGCAGAAACAGTGAGGAGGGCTGGCAGGTGGGCCTGGCAGAAGAGGATTTGATGTGTGTCTAAAAACCTGGGCTACTACCATTTGATTGATGGACCTGCTCCCAAGCAGGGGTAAAATGGTGTCATCACCTACTCTCTTGACCTTGGTTTTCTGCATCTCATAAGAATCAAGAGCAGCAGCAACTAAGGCCAGTCCTAGCTAGCAGGTTACAAAATACTTTTTTTTTTTTTTTTTTTTTGAGACAAGGTCTCACTCCCATTGTCCAGGCTGGAGTCCAGTGGTGCGATCACAGCTAACTGCATCCTGGACTTCCAGGGTTCAGGTGATCCTCCCACCTCAGCCTCCAGAGTAGCTGGGACTACAGATGTGAGTCACCATGCCTGGTTGATTTTTTGTATTTTTGTATGTATGTATGTACATATTTATTTGAGTGGTGCGATCTCGGCTCACTGCTACCTCTGTCTTCCAGGTTTGAGCGATTCTCCTGCCTCAGTCTCCTGAGTAGCTGGGATTATAGGCGTGCACCACCAACGCCTGGCTAATTTTTATATTTTTAGTAGAGACGGGGTTTCATCATGTTGGCCAGGCTGGTCTCAAACTCCTGGCCTCAAGTGATCTACCTGCCATGGCCTCCTAAAGTGCTGGGATTGCAAGTGTGAGCCACCGTGACATTTTTTTTGTATTTTTAGTAGAGACAGGATTTTGCTATGTTGCCCAGGCTGGCCTCGAACTCCGGGGTTCAAGTGATCCTCCCGCCTTGGACTCCCAAAGTGCTGGGATTACAAGTGTGAGCCACTGCTCCCAGCCTACAAAAGATTTTCATACCTATTATCTCATCTGAGTCCTCCGTCCTACCACCTGAGGTTGCTATGACAGGATTTAGCCCCCCTGCCAGTAATGGGTATGGCCAAGCATGGCAGGAGTTGTGCAAGTGTCATGGAACTCAAATCACTGCCACCTTCCACCTTAGGGAGATACCTCCCCCAGAGAACATCACGCTTTTAAAAATGAATGTAAGCCCAGGCGCGGTGGCTGACACCTGTAATCTCAGCACTTTGGGAGGCCAAGGCAGATGCATCACTTGAGGTCAGGAGTTCGAGAGCAGCCTGGCCAACATGGTGAAACCCCATCTCTATTAAAAATACAAAACTTAGCCGGTGTGGTGGTAGGTGCCTGTAATCCCAGCTACTCGGGAGGCTGAGGCAGGAGAATCGCTTGAACCCGGGAGAAGCTTGAACATCCTCTGGCTCGGGCCTCCCTCCATGAAGGTGCCCTCTCTGGGAGACTAACACACAGCCAGAGGCTACCTGGGTATCTTGAGGCAAAGGCTAGGATTGCTGACTGTGTGAGAGACTTTAATGAAGTCACAGGAGGGCCCTCTGATAATTCCTCACTCCTAGGGCTGAACAGGGAGTACCTCTCTCTGGGCAGGGCTTGGCTGGATACTAGCCTCAGACCCTCCTTTGTCTAAGCTCCATTCGGAAGCCTTGAAGACACCTGCTCATGCCAGATACACAGTGTATCTTCTGCTGGAGCAGACCAGCAGGTGGGTGAGTGCTCTGTCTTTGGCACTCACCCTTGCTCCCTGCCTCCAGTCATCCAGGCTCTGGTTGAAGCTCTCTACCAGCCCAATACCCTCCCCATGTTCCAATTGCCCTATCAAACTAGCACTCCCTGTGGTCGTGGTGGTGGGAAGAGCAATCAGTTTAAATTTATAAAACGATTTGCACTAAGGTATAAGTGACCCACGACTTCACCTTCCCATGGGCATTAGCTGTTTAAAAAGGAAGTCTGTTAACCTAAATTCTGCTCTATAATTAGTGGAAAGCGATGTGTGGGAATTCTGAGTCCAGGAGGGGATGGCATCCAGGTCTCCTTACCTATCCTGGAGCACAGAAAGAAGAAAACCAGATGAACAGGAGCCAAACACCCTCTCTTTTCCTCCAGCAATACCCCACAATTGTTTGAGGAGGCAGGCAAGGCCATAGAGTCATGCAGCTGACCTTGCGGGTGGGCCTCCAACTTCTCCCCTGGCTGGTTAGGAAAAGCCTGCCTGTGACTTTTTCCTCTGCCGGAGTGAGGCTGCCCAGTTTCAATTTCCCTGCTCTGGGCAGGCTGGAGAGGGCTCCTAGGAGGTGAAGGGGACTACGTATGCCCCAGGCAGAGAGGTAGGCAGGCAGGCAGGCAGAAACTTCCTGGGCTCCGGCCTGCCTGGGCCGCGCGTAAGGGGCTGGTAAGCCGGGAGTCCTAGAGTCCGGCCCACGTGCATCCTTCACGGTCAGCCGGACCAGCCTTGCTTCCTGCCTGGGGAAGCCCTAAATTGGCCTGGGCCGGCGCGCTGTGCGGCTCTGGGACCTGCGGCGAGGCAAAGTCCGCCCTGGGCCCTTCCACACGGACTCAGGCAGCCTCTGTCAACAGCCCCTGGCTTATCTGCCGCCGCTGTGGCTGTTTGACTTCGGGGAGGCCCCGGCGGGCCTGGGGGTGGGGAAGGCCTGGAAGCCGCAGCCTTGGAGCTGGAAGGGCCCTCAGCGGCGATTTGCACCGGCTCCCGACGGCTCGGAGGGCGGCGGGGTCGCCCAGGTCCCCGAGGCTTGACCTTAGCCGGGGCGGTCTCTACACCCAGGCTTGGGCCGCAGGACCTCCTCCTAGCGCACTCCCTCTCCCAGGCACTTCGCCGAGTCCCTGCGGGCGGAAGAGGGAAGCGGGACGCGCCCGCGCTTCGCGCCCTTTCGCCTGCACCGGCTCTCAGGTGTCAGAGCTTCCGCGCCCCGGGAGCTGCTGCTCAGGCTTTTCCGAAGAGGCGGGGCGGGGGGCCTCTCACTGCCCCACACTCCACATCCTGGGAAGCCCCGGCATCCGCCCCCCGACCTAGGCAAGGGTTACCCCAGAAACGATCCTGGGTCCGGGGCTGCTCTGACCACCGGGGAAGAAGGGGAAGCGGCAGGCTAGTGACCGAGCCGGCGCACCCAGCACCTGGCGGCGGGGGGTGTTCCTGCTCTGTGAGGCTTTTCCCCTCTGGTGTCACTGACAAACCCCATCGGCCTCCGGGCTTGTGAACCCCTGCAGGTCGCCACAGCTTCCCTGCCTTGTCCCAGCCGATTGTGCGGCGGAGCAGGCGCGCGGCCACAGCTCTCCCCGCCCCGCCGCGCCGACCCGGACTTATGGGCAGGCCCCAGACGCCCGAGGCCGGGGGCGCCCCTCGCCTCTTCCTCGGCCTCAGGGACACTTGCGAAACGTGGATCTAAAGAAAGTCCTTCGCGCTGACCACGGACAGTTATTCAAGGTATTTGGCCTTGGTTAAAACGAGGGGAACAAGGAGGGTGTCCCGGGAGCCGCACATCCCTAAGTGGCGGGCGTCAGGAATGACTTAACAGTGCCCAGGGCTGTGTTTTCCGAGGGTCAGACCTGGTCCCAGAACACCCAGGCTATCAGAGGCAGAGACTAGCAGAGTGATCCTGCCCCCTTGCAGCCTCAGTTTACCGCCCCTCTCTGCCGCGCTCAGGAGCGGCGAGCCGGGAAGATGGGAGGCAGGGCGCGCACTGGGTGGGCTGCGTTCCGCTCCCAGCCAGAGCTCCCAGGCCCACGCCCCTCCCTCCCCTGCGTCCACGCCTCGTGCGGGCGCTGGGAGCAGACGGCAGCGGCTCCCGAGCAGAGCCTGGAGCGCCGCTCCACTCCCACTCAGGAGAGGGAAACCGTGGCAACGGCGGGGGTGCGGCCGCGGCACCGGAGAGGGGGCGGGGGGTAAGGGAAACTCTCCTTCGCCTCTCTCCTTCCGAGGGTTCACCCGGCAAGGCTCAGCCCCTCCGATCCCTCCTGTCCTAACCCACAGCCAACAAGGTCCGCTACCCCCGCTTCGCCCAGTCCCCGCGGCGGGTCGCCTGCTCCTCGCCCCGCTTCTTAGACGCCCCAGGGCCAGCGCCACGACCCGCCGGCGGAGCCGAGGTGAAAGTTGCCCAGGCGAGAGGTCGGCCAGGCGCCTCCCTCTGACCCCCAGATTCCTCCTAAACCGCGAGAACAGGACCTTCCGCTGGAGGGAGCATGGACAGGAGCGGGTCCTCCGGGAGCACCCAGCCAGGTCCCCCGTGCAGCCCCCGCGCCCGGCGCTGGCCCCGCCCCCGCGGCCCGTACCTGACCCACGTCCTCGCCCGCTTCCAGCTGCACGTTGCCGCGGCTCCGGCTCTCACTGTCGCTCAGCAGGTCGTCCTCCGAGTCCTCGAGCAGCGACGAGGAGCCAGTGGAGGAGACCGACGAGGTGGAAAGGCGGCGCGGCTGCTGCAGGTGCGAAGAGCCCGCTGCCGGGAGGCAGTCCCTCTCCCGCTCCGGCGGCCCAGGGCTGGTCGGGGGCACGTCGGGCTCCTCGGCTGTCACGGTCAGCTGAGGGATCACCGGGGCCGGGGGAGCCCGCGGAAGCCCGTTGGGGACCTGTCCCCCACGCCGCTTGGCCCCGCGGGCCCGGGGCTCCCCCGCGGCGGCGGCCGCAGCGACCGCCGCACAGCGCGCCTCGAAGAGCAGGCGCAGCTCCCCGACACTCCGGCGCGGGGCCCGCTCCAGCCCCGGGCTGCAGGGCCTCGCGCCCCCCGGCCGCGCCATGCCCGTTGGGCCCCCGGGCAGGGTCATTTCCCAGTGCCGGCGCCGCCGCTGAGCCCACCAGCCCGCGGCGCGCCGGGGACTGGAGCGGCTCGGCGCCCCCGGCTGGAGACGGCCCCGGGGCGGAGCCTGCGCCGCTGCACGCCCGCGCCCCGCCTCGGCCGCGCCCCCCGCCCACTCCTTCCACTTTCAGAGAAAGCGCGGGCCTCCCAGGGCCCCTGCGAGGGAGAGAAGGCTCTCGGTGACTCCTCGGGGTGGCGGGGAAGTCCAGCCTCCGTAGGCACAAAACCTGGGCCCGGGCCCCGAGGCTTCGCTCCGCCTGCCCTCGGGGAGGTGGGAGGGGCCGCTCCGCGCTGGGGCCTCGCAGCCTTCCCGGGCTTCGCGGCTGGGAGAGATTCCTCCAGGCCGCTCCACAGGCCCTGTCCCCGCGCAGGAGAAGCTGGTCCTACTCTTGGTCCCCTACCCCGTTCCTCGGGTTCCTTTGCGTGTTCATCCCTCCCGGGCAAGGGCTTCAAGTCTCGGGGCCTTTCTCCGGCCCGAGCTCCTGAGCAGAGTTGAAGGCCCCCGGCTTCCCGAAGAAGCCCCACCCCAGGGCGTGCACCCAAGTGGAGACTCTGCCCCAGGGACTAGCTGAGGCTGCTCCCCGCAAGTTCCCCACTTCCCGGCGGGCAGAGAACAAGGTCAGGGGGCGGGGCCTGGATCTGTCCCCATGGCCCAGCCTAGTCCCGGGCTGCATCTCCCCCGCTGCTGGGTGGCAGGAGCTGAGCCCGCCTTCCTCCTCCTCTGTTATAGGAGCTCGGGGCTTGGAGTCCGCCGTGTGGCGTTCAGCAAGTCATTTCACCTCCCTCGACTGCGGATTCTCCCGTTGCTGCGAGAATAAAATAAAAGACTTGAAATCAGGTACACCACACTCTAGATGTGATTTGTAGGCAGTCCCTTTACTCCCTCCGTATATTTCTGCATTTGTACATTTAGAAAAACCTCATCCAACCCACAGAGTTGTGTCTGTAAAACTAGGAAGACAGCACTGATGTTTAAGAGTTTCAGACACTGCAAAGTGCTTATCAGTGTCATTCCATGTGGATCTTCGGCCACTTCCCATGTTGGTAGTCAGCTGACCGACCGGCGAGGCTGCTTTGAGGAGAAGCCACTGTTTCCTATCTTACCATAGTGCCACAGGAGTGAGGGTCCCCCCTCAGGCACTCAGTGTCTGGGGATGGCTGGGGCCCTGGAGACAGAGCAGCCCCAGAAGGATTGCCTTGGATGCTGAGATGGCCGCAGGAGGGGCTTTCCTTCCCTTCTCTCCCCTCAGCCAGGGCTCAGGAATGGCCCAGGAGAAGGAAAGAAGAAGGTTCAGTGGGAAGACGGGAATCTTCGGCAAAGCATAGTGGCTCAGGCTTGTAACCCCAGCACTTTGGGAGGGCAAGGCGGGCAGATTGCTTGATCCCAGGAGTTCGAGACCAGCCTGGGCAACATGGCAAAACCCTGTCTCTACTAAAAATACAGAATATTAGGCAGGTGTGGTGGTGTGCACTTGTAGTCTCAGCTACTCGGGGAGAGGCTGAAGTGGAAGGATCACTTGAGCCTGGGAGGTCGAGGCTGCAGTGAGCTGAGATCACCACCACACTCCACCACCACACTCCACACTCTAGCCTGGGCAACAGAGTGATAACTTGTCTCAAAAAAAAAAAAAAAAAAAAAAAAAAAAGCTGAGTGTGGTGGCATGCACCTGTGGTCCCAGCTACTTAGGAGGCTGAGGTGAGAGGATTATTTGAGCCCAGGAGGTCGAGGCTGCAGAGAGCCATGACATTCCACTGCACTGCAGTCTGGGTGACAAGTCATACGCTATCTCAAAATAAACAAATAGGTGAAGATCCTGGAGAACTGAGGAAGGAAGCAAAATAATGTAAGAAAGAATGGCAATGAGAGAGGCAGGAGAAATAGAGGGAATGAAGGGGTAAGAGGAAGAAGGGCATAGAGGAGTTTGAATACTTGACTACTTCACGGAGAACCTGGGAAATCACATCGCCACCTTCTCTAGGACAACCATCTGGAGGAATCTTGAGTATGTGTGTGAGGGATGTACTCTGCAGCTTGAAGGACCTGGATCACTCGTGTCTCAGACACTCACTCCTCTGCCTCCTTCACAGCTACACTGACCTGCGTCAGGATGTGGGAAGGTGCTGCCCTCAGAGACGGGGCTGGGAGGAAACCCAAGGTGGGGAGAGCCTGCAAGGAACTGCCAGAACTGGAAAGGTAGGGAGGGCAATGAGGGGCGAGAACTTGTCCTGCACTCCTGTCTGTCAGGCGATGGATGGGCAGGGTTGGAGGTATAAGCAGGTTGGGCACTGGGTCTCTGTCCTGGCTGCCAAGAAAAAGGGGCAATTCCTTTTCTTCTTGTATCAGGCACTTGCTCAAGCCTTAGGTCTACTATACCAGCAGCCAGAGAATTGCTCTTTGCTCTACCTGCCCAGGTGTCTCTCATTGGAAAGATGAGCGCAAACCTGGAAATGGATGCTGAACTGAAATCCAATCCCATAGATTCTTAGAGCAGTAAGGGGCCTTATATCCATCTATCCTCCTCATTCACATTACGGAAGTACCAAAGAGGTTAAGTGGCTCCACCAGGGAGGTTAAGGACACACAGCCAGTTGATGGAAAAGGCAGTGTATCCTGGCTAGGTCCCCTGACTTCCTGCGTGCTTGTCGCCCAGGCTCGAGTGCAATGGCGTGATCTCGGCTCACTGCAACCTCTGCTTCCTGGCTTCAAGAGCCTCAGCCTGCTTCTCTAGCCTCAGCCTCCTGAGTAGCTGAGATTACAGGTGCTCGCCACCAGGCCTGGCTAGTTTTTGTATTTTTAGTAGAGACGGGGTTTCACCATGTTGGCCAGGCTGGTCTCAAACTCCTGACCTCAGGTGATCCGCCCACCCAGGCCTCCCAAAGCGCTGGGATTATGGCCATGAGCCACCTCGCTCATGTTCTCAAATTCTTTCATTAACATCTTGTATTTCCTGGCCGGGTGCAATGGCTCACACCTGTAATCCCAGCACTTTGGGAGGCTGAGGTGGGTGGATCACCTGAGGACAGGAGTTCGAGACCAGCCTGGCCAACGTGGTGAAATCCCGTCTCTACTAAAATACAAAGATTAGCTGGGCATGGTGGAGGGCACCTGTAATGCCAGATACTTGGGTAGCCGAGGCAGGAGAATCACTTGAACCCAGGAGGCAGAGGTTGCAGTGAGCCTAGGCGACAGTGCCAGACTCCATCTCAAAACAAAGAAACATCTTGTAGTTCCTTCTGAAGGTAGAGTCTGCCCCCACCTACTACAGTCAGAAAACATAAGGGTACGTCTTGGGGCAAGGCCTGGGAGTCCCTGTATAGCTGTAGGATGAGGTCAGCAGGCTCTTCCGTCCTCTTAGTCATGCCAGGAATAAACGTTGAAACCCTAGAACATCTGTTCTTTTATGACTCATTTTTCTCAGTCTTTGATGCTTGAGTAGAAGGGATGTGGAAAAAATCAGACTGACTAGTATGGAGGTGGAAGGGATGGCCTCTTGAGTGCCACAAAAAAAAAAAATGGTGGGGATGTTCAAACACTTAAGCATTAAGCAGGCCAGATAAAATTTTTTTTTTTTTTTTTGAGAGTCTTGCTCTGTCACCCAGGATGAAGTGCAGTGGCACCACCTCAGCTCACTGCAACCTCCACCTGCTGGCACAAGCGATTTTCCTGCCTCAGCCTCCCATGTAGCTGGGATTACAGGTGTGTGCCACCACGCCTGGCTAATTTTTTGTATTTTTAGTAGAGACAGGGCTTCACTACATTAATGGGCCAGGCTGGTCTCGAACTCCTGACCTCAGGTGATCTGCCTGCCTCAGCCTCCCAAGGTGCTCGGATTACAGGTGTGAGCCACTGCGCCTGACCGCCAGAGACAGTTTTTAAAAAATTAAACAACAGAAAAGGGGGACACTGGGGTGTAGAGGAATGTGTCAAGGTTGTTTTTTGTTTGTTTTTGGGTTTTTTTTTTTTTTTTTAGACAAAGTCTCACTCACTCTGTCACCCAGGCTAGAGTGTGCCATCATGGCTCACTGCAGCCTCCACCTCCTGGGCTCAAGGGATCCTCCTGCCCCAGCCTCCTGAGTAGGTGGGACCACAGGCACACACTACCATGCTCAACTAATTTTAAAAACTTTTTGTAGAGATGGAGTCTCCCTATGTTGGCCAAGTCTTGAACTCTAGCCTCAAACAGTCTTCTTCCTTCAGCTTCCCAAAATGCTGGGATTACAGGCATGAGCCATTGCACCCCGCCAGTGTGTCAAGGTTTTGATGGTCATTAGGTGGCTGTTCTGAGATAGGCCATGAGAGTCTCTCTGCCTTGGCCACAAGGCCAGCTTACATGTCTGAGCAGATAACCTTTTTTCTTTTCCTTTATTTATTTATTTATTTTTGAGACAGGGTCTCACTCGGTCACCCAGGCTGGAGTGCAGAGTCACAATCACAGCTCACTTCGGTCTCAACTTCCTGGGCCTAAGTGATCCTCCTGCCTTAGCCTCTCGAGTAGCCGGGACCACAGGCAGAGGCATGTGTCACCATGCCCAGCCAATTTTTAAATTTTTTGTAGAGACAGGGATCTCACTCTGTTGTCCCGGCTGGTCTTGAATTCCTGGGCTCAAGCAATCCTCCTGCTTTGGCCTACCAAAGTGCTAGAATTATAGGTGTGAGCCACTGTGCCCAGCCAGAACCTATCTTCTTGTGGTATCTCAGTTGGTTGATCCTCCTGTTCCCTACAGGTCTGCTTTTTTTTTTTTGAGGCAGAGTCTCGCTCTGTTGCCAAGGCTGTAGTGCATTGGTGTGATCTCAGCTCACTGCAACCTCTGCTTCCTGGGTTCAGGAAATTTCCTGTGTCAGCTTTTGAGTAGCTGGGATTACAGGCACCTGCCACCATGCCCAGCTGATTTTTATATTTTTAATAGAGATGAGATTTCTCCATGTTGTCCAGGCTGGTCTTGAACTCCTGACCTCAGGTGATCTGCCCACCTTGGCCTCCCTAAATGCTGGGATTATAGGCATGAGCCACTGCGCCTGGCCTGAGGTCTGCTTCTTGAAGTGCCTGAGTCTTCACCCCCATCAAAGACCTTCAGGGGTGGGCCCAGTGACTGGTACCTGTAATCCTAGCACTTTGGGTGGCCCAGGCAAGAGGATCACTTGAACCTAGGAATTTGAGGCCAGCCTGAGCAACATGCTGAAAACCCATCTCTACAAAAAATAAGAAAATTAGCCAAGCATGGTGACACATGCCTGTGGTCCAAGGTATTCAGGAGGAAGAGGTGGGAGGATCACCTGAGCCCAGGGAGGTTGAGGCTGCAGTCAGCCGTGATGAAGCCATTGCCCTCCAGCCTGGGCAACAGATTGAGAGACCCCGTCTCAAAAAAAAAAAAAAAAAAAAAAAATTTCAGGATTTATCATGACTGAGGGCTGCATCTCTTCTAGAGAAACATCACCCTCAGGTACAAAACTAGGGAAGAAAAAAGGGCCTGGAAAATGGGATGTGTGATGTGAGGGGTTTCTGGGGTCCTCACCCCAGCCTGCCTCATAGCTGTGCCCACCTCTACCCCATCCCCAGGGCAGCACCAGTGGCAGGAGCAAAATCACCACTCATCACCCTCTGCCAGGCACAGTGCTGGTTTCTGCTTCCTAAGATGACAAGCAGGGCCTTTCACCTTGGGGAGAGAAGGGAAGGCACAGCCTTTGACCTGTGCTCCTGAATGGAGCATCTGTTCCTTTGAGGAGACTTCAAGTCTTCTCCAGCAGGAGCAGAGCCTCTCTAGTGTGTGTGTGGTATGTGTCATTGTGGCATGTGTGGTGTGTGTGGGGGGTTATGTTTGTGGTGTATATGGCATGTATGTGTGGCGCACGTGTGGTATGTGTGTGTTGTGTGTTGCATGTGGTGTGTGTGTGGTGTGTGGTATGTGGTGTGGGTGTGGTGTGAGTGTGGCATGTGTGGTGGGTGTGGTGTGTGGTAGGTGTGGGTGTGAGTGTGGTGTGTGTGGTGTGTGAGTGTGTGTAGTGTGTGTGTGGTGGGTGTGGTGTGTGAGTGTGGTGTGTGTAGTGTGTGTGGGGTGTGTGTGTGTGGTAGGAGTGGGGAGGTGAGAGGGGGTTGGGCTGTCATGTTCCACTGGACCCGGTGGTGCAAGGTCTTATTCTAGTAACAACTCCCAGACATGCACTGTGGGACTTGGTGCCCTTCCAAGGGACTTTATGACCCTAAGACCCCACTATTCTGTGACAATACCTGTGATTCACTCATGCATTCACAGAGCAGACACACTTCCATGGAGCAGCTGCTATTGTGCTAGGTGCAAAGGACACAGGAATGCGTGGATCCTGTGATGCCCCCGCCCGTTTCCGGGAGTGATAGTGTATCATTTTCATTGTCTTACCGAGGAAGGAAACCAGAAAGGGCCCAAGAAGAAAACAGGCCCTGGGACGCTCAGTGGCTGCCTTCCCTCCCTTTCCAAGAGGTTGTCAATGTGCGCGCTGGGAATTTTGGTTTCTCAGCTGCTTCCTGCATCCAAAACATTCCTCACCTCTGGTGGGTTCGATGTCCTTCTCCGTCAGGGCCTACCAGAGAGGGTGCTGGAGGGCTGGCCAGAGCCCAGTGGACACGTGAGAATGGGAGAGAGGTGAGGGTCTCCTTTCTCTTGGAAAGAGGCGTGAATGGGTCTTCACCTGACAGGCGAGCCCTCAGCTCCCAGCCCCAGCCTCTTTTCCTGGCCTCTAGGTTTCCCTTCCTTCCCGGCAATCTCTGACCTCATAAATGGATTGACTAGACGTTGTGGGAATATCCAGGGATGGGTGCAAGGTTACCTCAGCAGGGCTCAGGATCTAGCAGTGTTCATTGACCCTCCACAGTCTGAGTCACTCTTGTCTAAAACGAACAAAATGTGTCACCACACCTGTGTGTGCGCAGTAAGAACATATTCTCTCCTTACACTTCAGAAACAAGGTTTCCGATCCCACTCAGGAGCCTGTGTTCCTGTGATCCTCCTTCTTCTCCAGAACTCAGAACCCTCAGAACCTCACCCAGTGCGAGGGGAGGTGAAGGGGACAGGAAGGGTCTGAGGTCAGGGACTCAGCTTGTGGAGGCGACCACTGTAGGAATGCCTGGGACGTCGTCGGGGGTCCCTGCATCGTGTAGTCATGGTGGCGTGTGATGGGGGGAGGCGGGGGTTAGGAGGCGCCTCCTAATTCCATCTGTGAGCTCTGCGCCTGCAGGCGTGACCTCCACACCTCGGGTGTGCCTGGGGACCGAGTCCACAGAGCATGCAGTGGCCCGGGGTCTGGGACCGTAGTGCCCATGCGTCTCCGCGTGGGCCGCGTGCGAGCCGGGGTCCAGCTCAACTCCCAAGGCGCGCGCCCCGGGGGATCCACGGCTGGAGACGCATGCAGGCCCCGGGCCACTGGGACCCTGGCTCTGAGGCTGCGGGCCCGGAGTGGGGAACGAGGGCAGAGCGCCCTGGAACGCAGCGGCCGCGCGCCTCCTCCCTTGCTGCGTGGACTGGGCGCTAACGGCGCAGGAGGCGCACGGGGCCAGGGATGCGGGGACCGTTGGCGCGGACAAGGGTGGCGCCCAGGCCGGTGCGGGGGGTGGTGGAGACACCAAGCGGGGAGCGCCGAAGGGCTCTCCCGGCAAAACTGATGGAGTCAACCTGAGGCTTCCGGGCTTGCCAGGTGAAGGGCTGTGCTGCATCGCACGCGCTTAGCGAAGCAGGGCTATCCATGGCTAAAAGAGAAAAAGAAATCAAAAGTATTCGATTAAAAAAAAAAATAGAGGCCGGGCGTGGTGGCTCACGCCTGTAATCCCAGCACTTTGGGAGGCCGAGGCGGGAGGATCACAAGGTCAGGAGTTCAAGACCAGCCTGGCCAACATGGTAAAACCTCACCTCTACTAAAAATACGAAAATTGGCCAGGAATGGTGGCACATGCCTGTAATCCCAGGTACTTGGGAAGCTGAGGCAGTAGAATTGCATGGACTTGAGAGGTGGAAGTTGCAGTGAGCCGAGATTGCGCCACTGCACTCCAGCCTGGGCAACAGAGCGAGGCTCCACCTCAAAAAAAAAAAAAAAGAAAGAAAGAAAAAGAAAAAAAGAAATGGAGTCTCGCTATGTTGACCAGGTTGGTCTCGAACTCCTGGCCCCAAGCGATCCTCCCTCCTCGGCCTTTTAAAGTGCTGGGATTACAGGCAGGAGCCATGGTGCAGGGCCCAAAAGTATCTATCTTTTGAAGAAGTATCAAGGTAATCATCATGGGAAGGGTCAGAGCTTTGTTGTGCTTCTTTTACACTTACCTTCTGGTTTGGTACTATTGGTGCTATTTTGAGTATTCACTACTCTTGGGGGTTGTGGGTAGGTCGGGCCTCAGTTGGGGCCAGCTGGAGGGTGGTAAGGTGGCAAGCCTTCAACGCCTTCAGAAGCCTGGTCAGTAAAGGTGGTGTGCGTTGGCCTGTGGGGAATGACAGCAACGAGGGCCTGGCCCAGAGGCAGCACACTTTCTCTGGACGCATCCCTAGGCCAGCCCAGGGTCTCCCAGTGGGAGCCTCCATCTGGAGTCAGGGTTTCTTCCCCCCCTCCCAACCCCAGCCCAAGTGGAGTTTCTGGTCCTGCCCACTGCCCAGTGCTTCCGCCCTCCATCAGCCCACTCCAAGGGCCGTTCCTCTCCTCCAGGGTCCAGCGGCTTCACTCTCATTAACAACAGCATTTATTGGACCCCTACTGGGGACAGGTTGTTTTTTGAAAGGTGGAAAACTTGTGGCTCAAAGGTGTTAAGTAGCTCAGCCCTAGGTAATAGCAAGTGGCAGAGCGGGGATCTGAACCCTTTCCCGAGCCTGGGTGCCTTTTGGCTCTTGGCCCTCCCTTGTATCCTGAGCATGGTCTGGAAGCCCTAGACATGCCTATCTATGCTCCAGTGCCTAAAAGCCGTATCTCCATGTTCCCTGGGGCTGGCCTGTGGAACCTTAGAGAAGGCATGCCTTTTGGCCCTGTCTTAGCACTGCCATTCCCTTCAGCTCCTTAACACCCTCCTTGCCAAGGGAGCTCAGCAGTCTCCGCTTAAGTCAGGGAAATCGTGAAAAAAATTTGAGCTGGGAGTTGATGGCTTCCTAAGGCTGCTGGATCACAGCCACATTATAGTTACTGAAGGAAGATCTCCCTTCTGGAAAAACGTGGCCAGGGAGATGAAGTTGACCAACCCAGCACCCTTCTTCTCTCCACTTGCACCCCAGGTGTTCTTTCTGGATTCTCAGAGATAGGTAGCAAGTGGCTGCCCCACAGCACCCAAATCCTGGAAGATAAGCAAGCTATGTTGTCATCTGCCCAGAACCCCTGCTCTCTAGGTCCCACTGCTCCCACCAGTTAGGTAGTGGGAGTGCTGGGGAGTTGGAGAAAACCTCATTGGACGCACTTGCAGGTAAGCAACCTCTCCACCACCAGAAGCGGTCTTGGACGTGGCTCTTATCACTGTGATTGCCATCCCTTGCCTTCTTAAAGGGTGTGGAAGATCCAGGATCTTCTTGCTTCCTAGCTAAAATGTGTTCAGAAAGGTTGGAGACACAGCCTCAGGCACTGGGGATGGGGAGGCCTATAGACCTCCCCAGCATGAGGGGTGCGTGGATGAAGGAAGATCAGTGTTTCCTCCATAGCCACACTCATGGCCCTTGGGCACCCCCTTCAAACTCATGATAGCCAGAAAAAAGAAGAGCAAAGAAACTGTGCCTAGGCCAATTTAAAGTTGAAAGGAGCTGAGCACAGTGGCTCATGCCTGCAATCCCAGCATTTTGGGAGGCTGAGGCGGGAGGATCACTCGAGGCCAGGAGTTCAAGACCAGCCTGGGCAACATAGCAATATTCCGTCTCAACAGAAAATTTAAAAATTAGCTGGGTGTGATGGTGCATGACTGTAGTCCCAGCTACTTGGAATGGTGAGGTGGGAGGATCACTTGAGCCCGGGAGGTTGAGGCTGCAGTGAGCTGTGATTACACCACCGCACTCCAGCCTAGACAGCAGAGACCCCAGCTAAAAAAAAAAAGGTTGAAAGGCCCAGATTCTCACTAGGGTTAGGCAGTACATCAGGGGTCTACTTAGCTCTGTTAAAACTTATTGGTCTCTTACCAAGACAGGAAGTAAACCAGGACAACTGGAGGTTTCCTTGGGTCTAGGCAACTACCCTACCAGAGAGGCTTCCGGGGAACCAGGCTGCTAAAGAGTTGACGATGGCCACTTTCACTTTTGTGGGCACAGGGCTAAGAGAAGAAGGAAAAGGAGCAAGAGAGGTTCTCTTGGACTTTCAAAACATGGCTTTAGGAGTTGCCACTCAGGATGCAATCCTTAGACTCAATCTGATCCCTTTGTTAAAATGGCATAACATTTATTTACAATATTGGTACAGTTTGAGTGGCAAGTCAGGACTTCACAAAAGCAAAAACATTCTTTTTGAAGGGAGTGGCAGGCAGTAGACTTTCCCTACACCTGCCAGAAGCAAGACAGACAAACAGACCTATAAACATTATGAACTAGGCAGATGGACACTGGCCTTTTTGCTTCTTGGAAGGAACTGAAAAAATGCATAAAAACAACCTTGGGTGCTGCACCCTTCAACACTGAAACCACACTGTGGAGGGAGGAGGGGCCCAATGAGGGAATTCCCCAGCACAAGAAATAGTGTGAACCACCAAGAAATCCTAGTTGGTAGGACAAAGCCAGTGTCTTAATGCCTGACCAAGATCTTGGTTCAGAGGCACTGCCTCAGCTGAGATTGGAGACAAGTCCTTAGTCTTGGTCCCAATCACTACAGAGGCTACTCGGGTGGAAAGATACCCTTCGGTCTTCTTTGGTTGGCTTTTCTCCCTGCTGTGTGCATTGGCATCTCGTGGGGGTTTCAGCGGCTACATGTGGGGAGGTGGTGGCAAAGTGGCTACAGTGTGATGCAGTTTTAATAAAAATTTTATTACACAGCCATAATGTAATCAACACTTCTCCAAATCCAAATGATACTAAATACAGATCTACATGGTGGATCAGAATGACTCCAGCGAATTATCTGGATTCTATAATTTTATGTTTTTTAAAACCAGAAATCAAAAAAAAAAGTCCAAGTTCATCATGATAGGAGAGGTCCCAGCAGCTCCAGGACTCTGCTGAAGTCCAGGCAATGTTAACAGTCTGTGATTCCACATTTACACAATAGTCTATAAAGAGTTTCGGTCAATGGACTATTCAAGTATATATGATTTTAACGAGTCCATCACCACTCCTTTGCCCAAGTGAACTGTGTCACAGCTACCACAAAGCTGTGTTACAGTCATATTTAGCAATTTTACAATCATAATACTCCTTTAAAACCATCCATTGCTGCTTTAAAAATAAAAAAAAAGTAAACTAAGTTAAAGCGACACTGAGGCTCTACTAAACCCAGAAGTTACCAAGTTCATTTTTATGTTTAAATACAACTTACAAGTCCATGATTTCCCATCGTCCCCCTTCCTTGTACGAAAGCAGGGTGAGGAAGTACAAAGCAGAGCTTTTAGATTAGTCTCTCGTGGAGATCGGAGCTCTCAGCTGTTCCTTTAGCTTAGCTCTTGGTATATATAGTCAGCTGTACTTTGTTCTGAAAGATTTGTTAAATGCCACTTTTATTTACACTTGGAGCTTTACACCTGAGAGTGATTATCAAGCAGTCAGTTTATCTCTTTTCAAACATTTCATAAAGACATACACACACCTCTGCTGGCTTCGCCCTAGCTGCACAATATATATGCTGACCATATATATGTATACACACACACAAAACTGCACATGCTTGAAACATTTGCAACCTAAATCTTTTTGAGGCGGAGTCTCACTCTGTCACCCAGACTGGAGTGCAGTGGCACGATCTTGGCTCACCACAACCTCCGCCTCCCAGGTTCAAGGGATTCTCCTGTCTCAGCCCCCCGAGTAGCTGGGATTACAGGCACGCACCACCATGCCCGGCTAAGTTTTGTAGTTTTAGTAGAGATGGGGTTTCACCGTGTTAGTCAGATTGGTCTTGAACTCCTGACCTCAGGTGATCCACCCGCCTAGGCCTCCCAAAGTGCTGGGATTACAGGCGTGAGCTACTGCACCCGGCGTAACCTAAATCTTTTTGTGTTTGCTCTCCACATTCATATTCAGAAATTTCTCTTAAAAACAAAATGTAGTTCTTGCCAAAGCAGCAAAACAGAATCACCAGGAAGAGGCTGGTATACTGGGTGAGAAAAAGAAGTTCTACGTTCAGCCAAGAAGCTGTGGGCTGTACCCATGGGAAGAGCAAGACATTCACTGCCCTCCCTGGTACCTGGCCATGGGCTTCCCTCCCACACCTGCCAGGACACAGCCTGCAGGTCAGGGGGCTAAACTGGGGAGTTTTCTCCAAAGTTGGGAAAGGATGGGAAGAGTAGGTGGGAATGGGGAAGTTACACAGCTACAGCAGTCAGGCCTGTTTAGTAAGAAGAATCACATTTAATGAGTTTCTTTCTTGCAGTTTCAGATGCTCAAGTACAGCTGAAAAAAATCTGAAACAGCTATAGACCCATGACAGACTGATACAAAGAGTACTGCATTTTAAAAAAATGATAAAAAAATCCACACACTTACACACACACACATACACACTCTCGCTCTCAAATTAGACCCCCCCCCCCCACAAATGTACACTTTTTGGAAACTAAACTGGTTTTGAAACCCCTTCTTCCAAAAAGAAGGGCAGAAGAGAAAGATGAAGAGAGGAAAGAGGATCGCAGGTGCCCAATCCCCGCTCCCCCCACAAGGTCACGTGCCGAATGTTCAATGGGTGGGCCAAGGCAGTCTGTAGAGGAGACCGCCTGGTGCTGCTGCTATTGCCCCAGGGGCTCCAGCAAGATTCCCAGCTCCATGGTAATACTGAATGCGTGCAGAGTGGCCAATGAACTGCGCGGTTAAAAAAACAAAAGGCAAACACAAATCTAAAGACATGGATAAAGCCCAAGAGAGCCCAGGCCCACACTGGGTGGGGCCCTGGGGGAGGGGAGGCTGGTGGGAGATGGTGTGCAGACAAAGGAGGTCTATACAGCAAATGGTTTATATTACAGATGACTGGCAGTTTAGAGTCTCTTCCCAGTTCAACAGCTGCTCCAGCCCAAAGAGGCTAAATCAAAGGAAAGGAGGAAAGGTGGGACGCTGCGATGGGGCATGCAGGGTCAGAAGCAGCAGGCTGGGTGTGCTCAAATAAGCCCTCGTCGTTTTTTGTAGTCTTCCAAGTTCAGAGATCTCCTTGGAGCCCCATCCTTGGCTGGCGGAGCCTTGGAGGTGATGGCTAAAGCCTTTGACTCTGTGGGAAAGAAGAGCAAGTTGGCAGCTGAGGTCCCACAAAGTCCTCTTAGTCCTGTGCTACACTCCTGCAGGCAGCCTCCTGACTGTGGCCCTGTTCCCTCTCACCATACCCACAGCCTGTCTTGGCCTGGCCTGTGGATGCTGATGAGCCAGCATTCCCCTTTCTTCCCTAAAAGTGGGCTTCCTTGTTGCCCCAGAAAACCATGGATCCATCTGGTTCTCAGCCCTCACCACCCGCCCCACCCTCACATACCTGAGCTGGGAACTTGTAAGTCAATCTTCACATCAAAATCGTGTACTTTGAACAGATCTTCTGAGAGGTCACTGGCTGACTTAGAATTCAAATCTTTATCTTTGCCTTGACCCTGGAATGTGAAGAGGAAAGCTAATGGTAAGAGCATAAATGCAAGTGGATTTCAAGCAGCAGCAGCCACTAACGGTACGAAGCTCTTATTTGAGTTCATTAGATTTTCCTACTAAGGCCCCTTTCTGATTCCTTCTCTCAGAGGGAGGCCACAGACAAAGAGCTTTCTCTCCTGAAGGCTACAAGCACAGAGAAGAGGGCAGGCTTGTGTCTGTGGTATGAGTGTAGAAAGGGTGGGCTTAAGCAACGGGTCACTTCCTGACCTAAGATTTCAGAAATCCTGAGACCAGTTAGACTACAACAGGAAAAGACTTAACTTGGACAGAAAACTGCTTTTTTTTTTTTTTTTTGAGGTGGGAGTCTCACTCTTGTCACCTAGGCTGGAGTACAACGGTGCAATCTTGGCTCACTGCAACCTCCCCCTCCCAGGTTCACGCGATTTTCCTGCCTCAGCCTCCTCAGTAGCTGGAGTTATCGGAACCCGCCACCATGCCCAGCTATTTTTTTTCTATTTTTAGTAGAGACGGGGTTCTACCATGTTGGCCAGGCTGGTCTCGAACTCCTGACCTCAGGTGATCCGCCCACCTCCGCCTCCCAAAGTGCTGGGATTACAGGCATGAGCCACTGCGCCCAGCAAGAAAACTGCTTTTAAATGTGCCATTTTCAACAAGCTTTCACTTTTACAATGTCTGATCTTTGTATGTTATCTCTCCTCCTGTGAAGCTGGCAGGGTATACAGTAGTACCCTCATTTTACACAGCAGAAAAGGGGATGCTGAGGGCTGGAAGCCAGCTGCTGAAGGACATAGTCAAGGCCCTAGGCAAGTAGTGGTGTCAGGTTTGGAATTAAGGTTGTCTGTTGATTATATCTGTAAATAACTGGGATGGAGAAGGGACTCCAAGAGGGACTCCCTGTTCCTCAAGGTGGAAAAATCAAGCCCAAACTAGACAAGGTACTTGTTCGGTATCTCAGCCAGCAGCCTCACTCAGCAGGCAACAGGGTGGTACCACACTTGCCTTGCTCATTTCCTTTGGAGCATCTGGTAACACTCCAGAACCGTATTTTGCATTCAGCTGGGCCAAGATGGCAGCTTGAACAGCTGGGTCTCTGGACTGAGAGAGAAAATAAGTTGTTTTAGAGATTGCTTGACACTCACAGAGTCCTACTGCCAGATTCTTTCCCACCTACCAAACTAACATCACAAGCACCACAGCCGACCCATCAGCAGCTAGTGGGGTTTTCCTCAAAGCAGCAAAAAAAAAAAAAAAAAAGGCAATTACAAGCTTGAAAGCCAAGCCCAGCCCAGCCAGGCCCTAGCTAAGGGACACATTACTAATGTCTGCTGCACTGTAAACCCACCCTGATACAGGAGGATCAGTCACTAGGTTTTTATAAATCCATGCCACGTTTTCACTACCGATATGTCCTATAGCAAGATAAAAAAGGAAGTATCCAGACCCAAGAGCTTCAGACAAGCAAATCCCAGCTAAGAAAACATTATTTTTAACTTCATTATTAATTTCCTAATGGAATTCATTTTGTGTCCTAGAATCTAGGTCCTGACTAAAATGTCCTCTTTCAGCACTCACATTAGAAACGATGGTAGGCTTGCACTGCCGCCGAGTAAAGGGATCCATCTGTTGGTTTTTCATGTTGTGACTTTCAGCCTGAAACAGAAAGCATGCACCACAGAACTGCACCTCCAGCCCCTCCTCTCATTCACCATAAGCTCACAGGCAAATAAGTCTTTGCACGGGACTGAAAAAAAAAAAAGCTATTATCCTTTTCCTTTTTTTTTTTTTTTAATTTTTTTTGAGATGGAGTCTCGCCCTGTCGCCTAGGCTGAAGTGCAGTGACGCAATCTCAGCTCATTGCATCTGCTGCCTCTCAGGTTCAAGTGATTCTCCTGCCTCAGCCTCTCCAGCAGCTGGGACTATAGGTGCAAGCCACCAAACCCAGCTAATTTTTGTATTTTTAGTAGAGACAGGGTTTCGCCATGTTGGCCAGGCTGCTCTCAAACTCCTGACCTCAGGTGATCCACCCACCTCAGCCTCCCAAAGTGCTGGGATTACAGGCGTGAGCCACCATGCCCGGCTAATTTTTTTTATTTTTTAAATGGATTCTCGCTCTCTTGCCCAGGCTAAAGTGCAGTGGCACGACAGCTCACTGCAATCTCCACATCCCAGGTTCAAGTGATTCTCGTGCCTCAGCCTCCCAAGTAGCTGGGATTACAGGCGTGCACCACCATGTCCGGCTCATTTTTGTATTTTTAGGAGAGACAGGGTTTTGTCATGCTGGCCAGGCTGGTTTCAAACTCCTGACCCCAGGTGATCCACCCGCCTCGGCCTCCCAAAGTGCTGGGATTACAGGCGTGAGACACCGCGCCCGGCATATTATCCTTTTCCCTTCAAGAATACCAGAGTAGATATGGGGGAAACAACCAAGAAACAGAAATTGAGAAAAAACAAATACCTGTGGAGTAGAATCTAAGGGTGGGAAGAGGTAGGACAGGGCAGAAGACTGCTGCTTTTCATTATGAATAAATTATATCGATGTACGTGGACATACAGAGAGAGTGTGTATACGTTAAGTGCCTACGTTATTTCAATAATTAAAAAATAAACTTAGGCAAGATGTAGAAAAGATGTCATGGTTTATTAATTAACTTTGTTTTAGTGATTCAGATAAAGTTTTCTTACCACAAGGGCCTTCTCAGACTCTACAATGTTCCACTCCCGGTTCCGCTGGTTGATGTAACTGTGGGGTAAGAGGGATGAGTCAGTGGCTGTGAAACAAGGGAGGGAGGGAACCACTGAGCCCTGAACTCAGATATCTATGGGGTCAGTGCAGCACAGAGTGTACAGGCCACAGGCTTGCCTGATAATTTTGGCCAAGGTCTGCGGGCCAAAAATAGGCTCCATAACACACCTGATAGCGGATATGTTCTTGGTCCGCTGGCGGTCCAGGGCCTCTGCCCGTTCCTCCAGCTCATTCAGTTGATCTTGGATTTGTTTGGCCTTGTCCTGATCCCCCAGGTCCTCAGCCATGGCCTACACATAGAGAGATGTGTGAGTTCGTTCTTGGCTACATACAACTGACTCCATATCAAGTATCCCCTTACTTCCAGCACAGGCAAAGATATCTCATGTGGTGAGCAAAGGACAGGAGATGTGGAAGAATACTGTAGAAGTACTTTACAAATACAAGATATAATTTATATTATAGTAGTGCACAGTACAGTGGGGAACACCTTCCCATACAGCTACCTGGCTGTGGGTCCCTGGTGGCAGTAGAACCCCAGGCCTCACAGGGTGGCTAAACCACCATAACAAGGCCCACCCCAACCCAGTGTGAAGAATGGAAAATCACCAGCCACAGGTGGCCTTGACAGTGTCATCTGTCTGTTCAGACTCAGTGTTAAATACCACCCCAGGGTCTATTTTATTACAAAGGAAACTGAAGTGACTAGAAAGTAAGAAGACTGGCACACACGCAGAAGATGAGTTTGAATTTAGGGAATGGAAAATGGCCAAGGAACGTTGCCCAGGTGCCAAGAACACACTGTGTTGCTTATAATCGAGCCCAGAATTTTCTCCCAATCCTACCACCACTAACTTGGCAGAGGATGAACAAGTTTGATTTCCACATCTCCTTACAGGATGAGGAAAGAGGCTCGAGTACAACTCCTTACCTTTTCCTTCAGTAGCTGAGTCTTCTTCATAGCGTAGTTGGGTGGAGCTTTTCTGAACCTTTCTTTCTCTTTTACAATCTGTACCAGAGAGGAGATACCAGCAGTGAGGTATTCCTAAGCTATTTTTGTAGACAGGCTAAGTGAGCCCATTTTGGATGCAAACAGCTAGTTACAAAGGGGCTGCTCTTCCTACAGCAGTGTCATGCCCCAGAGAGAGAGAGAGCGGGTTCATTCCAAGGGATACTATGCTGCTTCCTGGGTCACGGAGATTCTTCTGGGACAGGCTGAAGGAACATGCACCAAGAAACAGCAGCCCAAGGGCCTGGTAGTGTAAGGCTAGCCACTGTCCAAGAGAACAGAGATCAAATAATTTTACCAAGATGTTTTAGAAAAGGAAAACTCTTGAAGGATCAAGCCTAGCAGAATACAGACCCCTGAACCCTAAATACACTTTAGTGTATGTAGCCTCATTTGTTGTCTCATCTGAACTCTGAATACACTTCAGTCTATGTTAGCCTCATCCGGACATGAGAATGTATAGAAAAAAGCTTGATGAACTATAAATAATCAGGTAGTAATATTAGTATTCCCTCATTTTCATGCATAGCTAAAAATGTCAAGATATAGGGAAATAAAAGAGAATCATGTTCTCTCAACACTGGTTCTTGATGAACCTCCGGGTTCTGGGGCACCAGTTTTCTTACCTCTTCAATGTCCTGATCATTGAATTTATAATTAAGAGCTTCTTTAATAGATAATTCCTTTTTATTGATTTCATCTAGAGTGGGCAACTGCATGCCAGCAGAGAACATCTGGATCAAAAACACGATACGAGATTATTAGTAAGGGATTTTGGAAAGATATTTTCTCAACGTGCACGAACAACTGCTAGGTAATCTCTAGCCACGTACCGCTTCTTTCCACTTCATAAACTCACTTTCGGTGAATTCTTGGTTTGAGACAAACTCTAAACGGAACACGCGTTGGTCATTGCCATGCCTACATAAAAGAGAGACAGCATCTCCAAGAAATGTGCATGTTGACTGTAGTACAAGCAAAGCAACCTTACCAGACTATGTACCACCTATATATACCTATTGCAGTGGTTCTCAATCCTAGCTACCCTATAAAATCATCCCAGGCTGTTTTAATGAGCTGCCAAGATTGAGATCCCAAAGCTAGCACTGGAAACCAAATGGGCTTGGTCAGTGCTTCAAAAGTCAATTTACAATAAAATCCATTACAGTCAACATCAACAATATGCAACAGAGCCTGGGACAGGGTTACATGCCTGTGGTCACAGCTCCTCAGGAGACTGAGGTGGGAGGATCACCTGAGCCCAGGAGTTCCAAGCTGCAGTGCACTATGATGGCACCTAGAGCAGTGCCTGGCACACTGTACATTCGGTAAATATTTGCTGAGTGAATGACACTTTCATTTTACTGAAGAGGAAATGAAGTCCATAAAAATGATCTTTCTTGTCACAGATGAGGTTATGACATAGAGCCAGAACCAGAAGCAAGCCTCTTGGACATGCTTGCCAAGGAAATGCCAGCGAGGCTCTGGGAGGGTCTCTCATAACCACACATTTCCTTTCTCTGTGTCCTACCCCTTCATATATTTGGTTCCCTCTAGAGGAGAGAATATCCTACCTTCCCTATAGACAAAGATGGAATACAAGTCTCCCTCCAAGTGTACCTTGTGGGGATTGCATACATAGCGTTCATGGTAACAAGGAACATCACACAGAGAGAACAGCAGCCCCCAAAGCCAGTGCCTGTTTGAAGTGGAAGCAGAAGCTACCCCAGAAGTGCCTCCTACCGTAGTTGCAGCCCTTTGTTTGTTCTGGTGCCACCTAGTTGGTAAACTTTGGCAGTTTCCACAACACCCGTAATCTCAGCGACCTAAGTGAGAGGACAGAGACGCCAGTCAAAACCAGACTCTTCCGGAGCTTTCCACAACACTCTTCCTTTGCGTCTCTCTACCTGAACGCAGACAACTGATAGAGTGCTGAGTAGAGTCCACAGCTGCCAGGGGTTCTGAGAAAGGTTTCTCAGGTTTAGAATCCAGATGGCCAAGCACAGGGAGCCTTGTGCCCAGGAGGAGAAAGTGCCAGCAGAAGAGGAGCCCGATGGGGCCCACTGGAAGCTTTTCCTCCAACTAATTCTAACTTACAAGGGATGTATTTGGGATTTCACCAGTTGATTTTTATCAACCAAATGTGAAGACCATGTAGGTCAGTTTCTGTTGCCAAGCATTTCAGGATATGGCATGGCTGCAGGTCCTCATACAAGGGGATAACACACATAAAAACCAGACAAGAATAAAACAAAACAAAAACAATCCAGGCTGGGCGCCGAGGTTCAGGCCTGTAATTCCAGCACTTTGGGAGGCTGAGGTAGGAGGATTACTTGAAGCCAGGAATTTGAGACCAACCTCAGCAACACAGAGAGACCCAGTCTCTCTTTTTTTTTGTTTTTTGTTTTTGAGACAAAGTCTTGCTCTGTCGCCCAGGCTGGAGTGCAATGGCATGATTTTGGCTCACTGCAACCTCTGCCTCCCTGGTTCAAGTGATTCTCCTGCCTCAGCCGCCCAAGTAGCCGGGACTACAGGCACATGCCACCACGCCAAGCTAATTTTTTGTATTTTTAGTAGAGAGGGGTTTCACCATGTTAGCCAGGATGGTCTCGATCTCCTGACCTCGTGATCCACCTGCCTCCCAAAGTACTGGGATTACAGGCGTGAGCCACTGCGCCCAGCCGAGACCCAGTCTCTACAAAAAAGAAAAAAAAAATTAGTTGGGCATAGTGGTGTGCACCTACAGTCCTAGCTACTCAAGAGGCTGTTGTAGGAGGATCGTTTGAGTCCAGGAGTTCAAGGTTGCAATGAGCTCTGATCACACCGCTGCATGCTAGCCTGGGCAACAGGGCGAGATCCTATCTCAAACAGGCTGGGCACAGTGTCTCATACCTGCAAACCTAGCACTTTCGAAAACCGAGGCAGGAAGATGGCTTGAGTCCAGGAGTTCCGGATTAGCCTGGGCAACATGGTTAAGACACTGTCTCAAAAAAAAAAAAAAAACCCAACACCTGGGCCGGGCGTGGTGGCTCACACCTGTAATCCCAGCATTTTGGGAGGCCAAGGAAGGCAGATCACGAAGTCAGGAGATCGAGACCATCCTGGCTAACAAGGTGAAACCCCGTCTCTACTAAAAATACAAAAAATTAGCTGGCATGGTGGTGGGCGCCTGTAGTCCCAGCTACTCGGGAGGCTGAGGCAGGAGAATGGCGTGAACCCAGGAGTGGGAGCTTGCAGTAAGCCAAGATCGCGCCACTGCACTCCAGCCTGGATGACAGGGCGAGACTCCGTCTCAAAAAAACAAAACAAAACAAAACAAAAAACCAACACCAAGCACTTTAGGAGGCTGAGGCCAGAACATCACTTGAGGCCCGGAGTTTGAGACCAGCATAAGAAACAGAGAGAGGCTGTTGCTACAAAAATTTTTTTTTAAATCCCAAAGTGAGGCCGGGTGCGGTGGCTCACGCCTGTAATCCCAGCACTTTGGGAG
This sequence comes from Homo sapiens, assembly GCF_000001405.40. Taxonomy (NCBI): domain Eukaryota; kingdom Metazoa; phylum Chordata; class Mammalia; order Primates; family Hominidae; genus Homo; species Homo sapiens. Next base: position 41,472,955 of record NC_000015.10, on the reverse strand, counting down.
GCCGAGGCGGGCGGATCACGAGGTTAGGAGATCAAGACCATCCTGGCTAACACGGTGAAACCCCATCTCCACTAAAAATACAAAAAATTAACCAGGCGTGGTTGCGGGCGCCTGTAGTCCCAGCTACTGGGGAGGCTGAGACAGGAGAATGGCGTGAACCTGGGAGCCAGAGTTTGCAGTGAGCCGAGATCGTGCCACTGAACTCCAGCCTGGGCCACATAGCGAGACTCCGTCTAAAAAAAAAAAAAAAGAGACTCAGTCTAAAAAAAAATCAGCCAGGCGTGGTGGCGCATGCCTGTAGTCCCAGCTACTTGGAGGCTGAGGCATGAGAATCGCTTGAACCCAGGAGGCAGAGGCTGCAGTGAGCCAAGAGCGTGCCACTGCACTCCAGCCTGGGCAACGGGGTAAGACTCTGTCTCCAAAAATAAAAAACAAAAAATTAAAAATAAGGCCGGGCTCAGTGGCTCATGTCAATAATCCCAGCACTTTGGGAGGCCGAGACAGGTGGATCACCTGAGGTCAGGAGTTCAAGACCAGCCTGGCCAACATGGTGAAACCCCATCTCTACTAAAAATACAAACAGTAGCCAGGCACGGTGGCGGGTGCCTGTAACACTAGCTACTCGGGAGGCTGAGGCAGGGGAATTACTTGAACCCAGGAGGCGGAGGTTGCAGTGAGCCAAGATCGTGCCATTGCACTCCAGCCTGGGCGACAAAAGCGAAACTCTGTCTGAAAAAAAAAAACAACAAATAAATAAAAATAAAAATAGGCCAGGTGCGGTGGCTCACGCCAGCACTTTGGGAGGCTGAGGCAGGTGGATCACAAGGTCAAGAGTTCAAGACCAGCCTCGCCAACATGGTGAAACCCCGTCTCTACTAAAAATACAAAAATTAGCCAGGTGTGGTGGCATGCGCCTGTAGTCCCAGCTACTTGGGAGGCTGAGGCGGGAGAATCACTTGAACCCGGGAGGCGGAGGTTGCAGTGAGCCAAGACCACGCCATTGCACTCCAGCCTGGGTGACAGAATGAGACTCCGTCTCAAAAAATAAAAATAAAAAAATAATAATAATGGTAAAATAAAATATAAATAAATAAATAAATAAATCCCAAAGTGTTGGGATTACAGGAGTAAGCCACTGTGCCCAGTCCACCTAGACCACAGAAGCAGTGCTGGAACCTACATAATAACCTGTATTAGTCTGGAGGGTTTTTTTTAACCTCAATACAATTCCCTGGTGTAGAAGTCACTTGGTATGCAACATGAAACTTTTCATTCATTGGTTTTTCAAATGAACAAATCTTTTAGATTATGTAACTCCCAATGAACACTTCATAGATGCCTCCCTTCTCCCTTTTATACTGAAGGGAGAATAGAGAAAATTATTCTACATCCAAATCTTCCAGGCCCTTGGGCTCCAAGTCCTCCTCTTGGCAACAAGTCATGAAGGATTCCTGGGCACCTCACTGCTCTATGGGGATCCCACTTGGAGTCTACTTTCCATCAAATGCTGAGAGAAGAGTGATCGATTTTTTCAGTAGCTCCTGCCCTCAGTTGAGACTAATTATACTGAAAGCATGGACAATTGTCCAAGGGAAGAAATACCAACCCGGTAAACTGGTTTGCTGTTGTGGTTTCCGATGCCAATCCGCACAAAACATCCTGTGACAGTTTTAGCAAAGAAGGGCATGTGACACCAGCGTTCTAGCTTATGCCGTGATAATCGAACCCGATTCAATTCTTCAGGTAAGGAAACTGGTTGGGATTTGGGAGGGATCTCTTCTTTCCTAAGAGGAACAAAGGGGCACTGGAAAAAATGTTCATCATAAAAACAGAACAAGACAGAAAAATAATATCAACTCCTCAAAACTTAACCAAAGTACATGTGACTGGCCTAGGAGGAGAAGTAAATGAAGCACCAGCAAAGACTTGTAATAGGATCCTGTTCCTGACCAGTAGTATGAGCTGTTTCAAATGAGGCTGCCATCTTAGATAACCCATCAGAGTAAGAAAATGAATGAGCCTGTAATCCCAGCACTTTGGGAGGCCGAGGCGGGCGGATCACGAGGTCAGGAGATCGAGACCATCCCGGCTAAAACAGTGAAACCCTGTCTCTATTAAAAATACAAAAAATTAGCCGGGCGTAGTGGCGGGCGCCTATAGTCCCAGCTACTTGGGAGGCTGAGGCAAGAGAATGGCGTGAACCCGGGAGGCGGAGCTTGCAGTGAGCCGAGATCCTGCCACTGCACTCCAGCCTGGGCGACAGAGCGAGACTCCGTCTCAAAAAAAAAAAAAAAAAAAAAAAAAAGAAAATGAATGAAAGCTCCAGGCCAATCTGAGAATGACACGAAGTCAGTTCCTACCTTCCAGGCCCAGGTGAAATGTCTAAGCGTACAGGCTAGCAGCCAAATGAATGGGCTGACGTGCTGGGGAACTCAGTTCAGCAAACCAAAGGTAACCATGTCAGAGTTAGTGGCCCAACCAGGGAGATTTTGGAAACGATACCAAGCTCTTCCTCAAAAACCCACCTATCCTGCCTACTAGACCAAAATGTACAAGAGCTTACTCCTCTTCTTCATCAGACGATGATGTTCGTGATGAGCGGTCTGACTTTTCACTGGATTTGTCATCCTCTTCCTCCTCTTCATCATCAGAGTAGACCTCACTGGTTTTTAATGGCTGTTTTTTGGCAAGGAGCTCAGCTAGAAAGAAAGAAGAGATGTTTACCTAGGTTTTCTCAACAAGAAAATGAATTCATCCTTGAAAAAGAACTGGAAATGGAAGAGGACTCAAATACACAGCTCCGTCCTCTCTAGACTGGATTGTGCTAACTTGGGGTATATACAGAAATGAGTTAAAACACAGAGTTAAAATTATTCAGGTGCCAAATGTCAGGCCCCAGCAGATGAAAAAAGGGCTGGAAGATTGATACTAGGTGGGCAGAAAGGGTCACCAACACTACTGACAGTTCTCTTTTATGGCACTCAAGACACTTGACTATGGGGAGGAAAGAGGGGGAAAGACTCATGATGACTTCAGAAGCTTCTGAGGAAAATTTAAAATAGGAGAGTGGCTAAATCACCACTGGTACATCTACCAATGAACTACTATGCAGCTATAAAAAAGGAACGTGGGGACGGGTGCGGTGGCTTACGCCTGTAATCTCAGCACTTTGGGAGGCAGAGGCAGGTGGATCACTTGAGGTCAGGAGTTCGAGACCAGCTTGGTCAACATGGTGAAACTCTGTCTCTACTAAAATACAAAAATTAGCCAGGCATTGTGGCCGGCACCTGTTATCCCAGCTACTTGGGAGGCTGAGGCAGGAGAATCGCTTGAACCCGGGAGGCGGAGGTTGCAGTGAGCCAAGACTGTATACCACTGCACTCCAGCCTGGGCAACAGAGCGAGACTCCATCTCAAAAAAAAAAAAAGGAACGTGGCCAGGCATGGTGACTCATGCCTGTAATCCCAGCACTTTGGGAGGTCGAGGTGGGTAGATCACTTGAGCTCAGGGGTTTGGGACCAGCCTGGGCAACATGGTGAATCTGCATCTCTACCAAAAATACAAAAAACAAACCAGGAGTGGTGGCTAAAAAAAAAAGAGAGAGAAAACTGTGTATAATATGCTACCATTAATCTAAGATGGCAGGTTAATCTGTGTACTTACGATTTAAAAAGAAAAAAGAATAATATAAAAAAATTTTAGGCTGGGAGTGTTGGCTCATGCACTTTGGGAGGCCAAGGCAAGGCGGATCACTTAAGGTCAGGAGTTCAAGACCACCCTGGCCAACATGGCTAAACCCCATCTCTACTAAAAATACAAAACAAAATTAGGTGGTGGTGCACGCATGTAGTCTCAGCTACTCAAGAGGCTGAGGTGGGAGAATCGCTTGAACCCGGGAGGTGAAGGTTGCAATGAGCCGAGATCGCGCCACTGCACTCCAGACTGAGTAACAGAGAGAGATCCTGTCTCAAAAAAGAGAGAGAGAAAAAGATGGATGGAAGGAAGGAAAAATAACTGCAATGGATTAAAACACATAAAGCACGTTAAAAATGATGAGTTCACAAGGATATTCAAAATAAATAAAACCCATCAGTCATCTTTGGAAGTTGCTAAAAACTATCTCTCTCTCTCTCTTTAAAATATTGCAGAAACAGGGTCTCACTATGTTGCCCAGGCTGGTCTTGAATTACACATGTGAGCCACTGTACCTTGCCAGGAACTATCTCATTCTTTCAAAAACTGGTAAACGAAAGGAAAATTAATCAAGCATTTATCTTGCCTTTCCTGTTCAAAATGTGCCTGGGGGGTAACTAAATAGCTGATTAGAAGTTTCTCTTTAGGCCGGGTGCGGTGGCTCACACCTGTAATCCCAGCACTTTGGGAGGCCGAGGCGGGCGGATCACAAGGTCAGGAGATCAAGACCATCCTGGCTAACATGGTGAAACCCCTTCTCTACTAAAAATACAAAAAATTAGCTGGGCGTGGTGGCAGGTGCCTGTAGTCCCAGCTACTCAGGAGGCTGAGGCAGGAGAATGGTGTGAACCCAGGAGGCGGAGCTTGCAGTGAGCCGAGATCGCGCCACTGCACTCCAACCTGGGCGACAGAGCGAGACTCCGTCTCAAAAAAAAAAGGTTTCTCTTTATAGAAGCAGGCTAGATAATGAATGAGGAAAGAATGACAGATTCGAAATATCACCATTTTGCAACTCCTAATGAATTAAATTATCTAGGTAATGACCATCAGTGGCTACTAGGACAGAACACGTTATTATTTCTTTTTCTTTTTTTTTGAGACAGAGTCTCACTCTTGTTGCCCAGGCTGGAGTGCAATGGTAGGATCTTGGCTCACTGCAACCTCCACCTCCCGGGTTCAAGTGATTTTCAGTGCCTCAGCCCCACAAGTAGCTGGGATTACAGGCATGTGCTACCACGCCTGACTAATTTTTGTACTTTTAGTAGAGACGGGATTTCACTCTGTTGGCCAGGCTGGTCTCCAACTCCAGACCTCACGTGATCTGCCTGCTCTGACCTCACAAAGTGCTGGGATTACAGGTGTGAGCCACCGTGCCTGGCCTGGCTAATTTTATTATTTTTAGTAGAGATGGGCTTGCACCATGTTGGCCAGGCCGGTCTTGAACTCCTGGCCTCAAGCAATCCTCCAGCCTCAGCCTCCCGAAGTGCTGGGATTACAAGCGTGAGCCACTACACTCAGCCCCACATTATCTTTTGTTGTTTTTTTTTTAAGATTGAGTCTCACTCTGTTGTCCAGGCTGGAGCGCAGTGGCGGAATCTCAGCTCACTGCAACCTCCGTCTCCCGGGTTCAAGGGATTCTCCTGCCTCAGCCTCCTGAGGAGCTGGGATTACAGGCATGCACAACCATGGCCAGCTAATTTTTGTATTTTTTGTAGAGATGGGGTTTCACCATGTTTGCCAGGCTGGTCTCAAGCTCCTGACCTCAGGTGATCCGCCCACCTTGGCCTCCCAAAGTGCTAGGATTACAATTGTGAGGCACCACGACCGGCCCCCACAGTATCCTTTCTAATTCTTCACCCATCTCTATACCCATGTCCTTTGCTATATGCCTTAGTCATTCTTCCCGGCCCCATAGTGACACTATGCCAATTCCAAGTCTAGGCCCTAAGAGGCATGTGTGTCTTTGCTTGCCCCTTTTATACTTCTGTCATCACCATATAAAAGTGCTCGGGGTTTACTGGCCCAGGGAGGAAGAGAGAGGTAGAACAGACCTGGCTACCACCTATAGCTTGGAGATAATTCCAGCTGAACTCATGCCATCAGGAGGGTGAATTGCAGTTGAACTTCAGATGCATGAGCAGAACAGGGGTTAGTTTGTTACTTCACATTATTGTGGTAAGAGCTAACTGACAGGATTGTTAACATCACAAACTGAGAGACAGTCAGATATCATGTGTCTCCTGATGGAAATACATACCACTACCTAAAAATCAGCCTTCCCCAAGAACAAGCAACAATGACAACAACAGAACAAACCCAAATCTGACCAATTCTGTAGCTCTAACTAACCATTTACAGGAAACCCAAGGGACCAGAAACACATTCAACAACAAAAACGAGATGTAGTCAGCAATGTGAGAAACCAGAAGACAAATGACCCAGTTCCTTCAGCAAATAACGCTGCAAGGCAGGGCAAAGAGATGGGGAAGAAAACATACAGATTAAATGCCTTAAGGGACGTATTAACAGATCACAATGTATGGACTTTAAGATCCTGATTCAAGTGGTCTTGTTTTTTAAATTACAAAACAAATAGAAATGTTTTTAAAATCTTGTTTTTTAAATTACAAAACAAATAGAAAAATTTGAACACTGACTAGATATTTGACAAAGAGTTCATTGTTATTTCTAGGTGTAATAATGGTATTATAGTTAGGTTTAAAACAAAAGTACTTATCTTTTAGAGGAACATACTGAAATATTTATGGTTAAAATATAATAATGCTGGTATTTGCTTTAAAATAATCTGATGAAAGGATTATAGATTTAACAAGACTGGCCAAGAGCTGACTGCTGTGGCTGGATGATGGGTTTGTGGATGTTTATACTATTCTGGGTATGTGCTGGAATTTTATATGAGAAAGATATAACAAGAGGGCAAAATGAAAATGGACACCAGGAAGTCAAATCATATAAAGACACAAGTAGCCATTATATTTCCCTCGCTTACCTGTTCTGTTCTTTCGTTTTTCTCGCTCTGCTTTTAGCTCCTCCATGGCTTGAGATTTCTTGTCTAGTTTCTCATCCCGCTTGGAACGCCGTTCCTTGTTGTGGGATGTTACCTAGGAAGGGAAGGATATATAGAATGGCCCTTTTTACCAACAGCTGATAAGATTCTCTAAACCTACTTAATGCATTTAGTCCTCCAACATCAATCTATATGGGCTGCAAAAACTTAGAGCTTTTATGTAAGGGGAGAGAGCATCCTCTTGTGGACAAAGAGGATAGCGCAGTAAAGTAAGCCCTGTCTAAAATGCCTATTCCAAGTTCAAGAATTATCCGAATAAACTCTTTCTGGAAGAACACACTACAACACAGCTAATGTTGGGATTACAGGCATAAGCCACTACACTCAGCCCCACATTATCTTTTTTTGTTGTTTTTCTGAGATGGAGTCTCATTTATGATAAATACAGAGATTATTTTCCCAGCTATATTTATACCAAGTAAAGGATGATATACATCTAAGTAAACATCATAAGCATCTGGCTACCTAGGACAGGTTGTTTACCAACTTTTCCTTAAGGGATGGTCACTCACTAGTGGGCTGCTTTTTTTTTTTAAAACAGAGCCTCGCTCTTCTGCCCAGGCTGGAGGGCCATGGCATGATCTCAGCTCACTGCAACCTCCGCTTCTGAGGTTCAAGCAATTCTTGTGCCTCAGCCCCCCGAGTAGCTGGGATTAAAGGCATAAGCCACCACGCCAGGCTAATTTTTGTATTTTTAGTAGAGACAGGATTTCGCCACGTTGGCCAGGCTGGTCTCAAACTCCTGGCCTTGAGTGATCTGTCTGCCTCGGCCTCTCAAAGTGCTGGGATTACACATGTGAGTCACTGCAGTTGAGGGCTGCTTTTTAAATGCAGACTTCAGTGAAAGCCGGGCACGGTAGCATATGCCTGTAGTCTCAGCAACTCAGGAGGACTGCTTGAGACTAGGAGTTTGAGGCTTCAGTGTGTTATGACTGTGCCAGTGAATAGCCACTGTATTCTAGCCCGGGCAACATAATGAGACCAGGGAAAGGGAAGAGGAAGGGAAGGAGGAAGGGAAGGGGGAAGGAGGAAGGGAGGGGAAGAAAAGGGAAAAAGAAAGAAGAAAGAAAAAAGAAAAGGAAAAAGGAAAGCAAAGGAAAAAGTGCTAAGGATTTAACAGCACAGCTAATGGTGATATGTCCAGAGATTAATGAAACCATGTCACAAGTCTTATAAACTTAGGCTGATTAATATAAATCCACCTTTTACACACACACACACACACACACACACACACACACTCAAAACAGGTTTATTCTTTGGACAATGAGGAACACTGAATCTCCTACCTGAGATTCTTGAATCTGTGTCAGTTTTTTCTTTTCTTGCTCCTCTTCTTGCTTTTTCTTCTTTTCTTTCTTTTCTTTCTTTTTGGCTGTTTTTAGTTTTTTCTTGATTTCAAATCTGGTTAAAAGATATTTGGTTTTTAAGTAGCAATGAAATGTATATAAAAACTGATTTCTATTAGATAGGAGAAAGGAACTAAGGGAAAGGAGCTAATAGATATTTTGGCTTTCCTGCAAGAAACTCTGGTGTACCTTTTAAGTACATTAAAAATATTTAATATGTTAATTACAACAAAATATAAAATATTTGATAGCATTAAGTTGGAATATGTTTAAAATGAGAGACTACGGGCCAGGCACAGGGGCTCACACCTGTAATCCCAGCATTTTGGGAGGCCGAGGCGGGGGGATCAAGAGATCGAGACCATCCTGGCCAACATGGTGAAACCCCGTCTCTACTAAAAATACAAAAATTAGCTGGGCATGGTGGCGCACACTTGTAGTCCCAGCTACTTGGGAGGCTGAGGCAGGAGAATCGCTTTAATCCGGGAGGGAGGTTGCAATGAGCCAAGATCGCGCCACTGCACTCCAGCCTAGCGACAGAGCAAGAATCCGTTTCAAAAAAAAAAAAAGAGAGAGAAAGAGAACATATATAGGGTATTGCTGTACTCATCTGCGCCACTCTAGCCTGGGCGACAGAGTGAGATTCCATCTCAAAAAATAAACAAACAAACAAACAGGCCCGGTGCAGTGGCTCACACCTGTAATCCCAGCACTTTGGGAAACCAAGGTGGACGGATCACGAGGTCAGGAGATTGAGACCATCCTGGCCAAAATGGTGAAACCCCATCTCCACTAAAAATACAAAAATTAGCTGGGCATGGTGGCATGTGCCTGTAATCCCAGCTACTCGGGAGGCTGAGGCAGAAGAATTGCTTGAACCCAGGAGTCGGAGGTTGCAGTGAGCCAAGATCACGCCACTGCACTCCAGCCTGGCGACAGAGTGAGACTCCGTCTTGAAAACAAACAACAAACAAACAACAACAAAAAACACACAATGAAAGACCATTTCACACCCACCAGGATAGCTATTATCACAAAAAGGGAGGCCAGGCACGGTGGCTCACACCTGTAATTCCAGTACTTTGGGAGGCCAAGGCAGGAGGATCACTTGAGTCCAGGAGTTGGAGACTAGCCTGGACAACATGGTGAGACCCTGTCTCTACAAAAATTTTAAAAATTGGCTGGACATGGTGGTACATGCTTGTAGTCCCAGCTACTTGGCAGGCTGAGGTGGGAGAACTGCTTGAGCCCAGGAGATTGAGGCTGCAGCCAGCCATGATCATACCACTGAACTCTAGCTAGCCTGGGCGACAGAGTGAGACCCTGTCTCAACAACAACAAAAAAAGGAAAAGACAAGTGTTAAAGTGTTAGTGAAGAGGTGGAGAAACTAGTACACTTATTGCCGATGGGAAATCTAAAATGATGCAGCTGCAGTTTCTCAAAAAGTTAGAAAGAGTTACCGTACCAGCCAGCAATTCTACTTTCCAGTATACACTCAAAAGAACTGAAAATAGGTACTCAAATTGTTGTATATAAACGTTCACAGCAGCACCAGTCACAATAGCAAAAAGGAGGAAACACCACAAATATAAATCAACAGATGGACAGATAAACAAAATGTGGTATATACATAAAATGGAATATTACTCAGACATAAAAAGGAGTGAAGTACTAATACATGCTAAATGGATAAACCTCAAAAACATACTAAGTGAAAGAAGTCAGTCACAAAAGACTACATATTATGATTTCATTTATATAAAATATCCAGGTCGGCCATGGTGGCTAATGCCTGTAATCTAAACACTTTGGGAGGCCAAGGCAGGAGGACTGCTTGAGGCTAGGAGTTCAAGAATAGCCTGGACAACATAGCGAGACCTCTTCTTTAATAAAAGTTTAAAAAATTGGCCAGGTGGTGGCACACGCCTATAGTCCCAGCTACTTGGGAGGCTGAGGTGGGAGGATTGCTTGAACACAGGAGGTCGAGGCTTCAATGAGCTATAATCATGCCACAGCACTCCAGCCTGGGTGACAGAACGAGACCCTGTCTTGATAACAACAACAATAATAATAAACATATCCAGAATAGGCAAATCTAGAGAGACAGAAAGGAGATTAGTGGTTGCCTAGGGCTGGGAGGCTTATGGGGAAATACAGGAGTGACAAAATGCTCTAGAATTAATTGTGGTGATGATTGCACAACTCTGTGGACATATAAAAACCAATGAATTATACACTTTAAGTGGGTTATTTTAAACAAAGTTATTTTTTAGAGTTAGTGATAGTTTACATTTACATAATGTTCTTATGTATATAATCTCTCTTGAGGTTTACAACAACCCCCAGGAGGAAGCTGAGGCAGGAAGAGAAAGTGATTTAACTCCGATCACCCCTCCAGCGAGTCTGACTTGACCCCTAGACCTTCTAACTGCAATGTCAGTGCCCTTTCTACAACCAGGCTACCTTTTATGCTTCCTGCCCCCATGAATAATCTAACAACTGAAAATGACATCTCACTACTGGTGCTGCTGGCTAGAGAACAGGATGCTAATGGTGCTTACATAAAAAAGACTACAAAGATTAAATGCAATCCATATAAAGAGCTTTTAAAGTAAAAAAGATTCAGGAAATTCCAGAGTTTCCATATTGCACTGCCCTGAAGCTAAACAAACGAACTACTAAAATATCAATTTTCTATGATGGCTCTGAACCTCTGTCTTAATAATCAGCACACTAAACCATTCTTATAGTCACTAAAAAAAGTCACTGAAGCTGGGGGTGGTGGTTCACACCTGTAACCCCAGCATTTTGGGAAGCCGAGGTGGACGAATTGCTTGAGGCCAGGAGTTCAAGACCAGCCTGGGCAACATGGCAAACCCCCCCTCTCTAAAAAAAAAAAAAAAAGAAAAAAAAATTACAGGGCCAGGAGAGGTGGCTCACGCCTGTAATCCCAGCACTTTGGAAAGCCGAGGTGGGTGGATCACCTGAGGTCAGGAACTCCAGACCAGCCTGGCCAATATGAAAAATTAGCCAGGCCGGCGGGCACGGTGGCTCACACCTGTAATCCCAGCACTTTGGGAGGCCAAGGCAGGCAGAACACGAGGTCAAGAGATCAAGACCGTCCTGGCTAACACGGTGAAACCCCATCTCTACTAAAAATACAAAAAATTGGCTGGGTGTGGTGGCGGGCGCCTGTAAACCCAGCTACTTGGGAGGCTGAGGCAGAATAGCATGAACCCGGGAAGCGGAGCTTGCAGTCAGCCGAGGTTGCGCCACTGCACTCCAGCCTGGGGGACAGAGCGAGACTCAGTCTCAAAAAAAAAAAAAGAAAGAAAAATTAGCCAGGCCGGTGTGGTGGCTCACGCCTGTGATCCCAGCACTTTGGGAGGCCAAGGCAGGAGGATCATTTAAGGTCAGGACTTGGAAACCAGCCTGGCCAACATAGTGAAACCCTGTCTCTACTTAAAATACAAAAATTGGCCAGGCACAGTGGCTTACGCCTGTAATCCCAGCACTTTGGGAGGCAGAGGCGGGTGGATCATCTCAGGTCAGGAGGTGGATGGAGACCAGCCTGGCCAACATGGTGAAACCCCGTCCCTGCTAAAAATACAAAAATTAGCTGGGCGTGGTGGTGGGCGCCTGTAATCCCAGCTACAGGGGAGGCTGAGGCAGGAGAATTGCTTGAACCCGGGAGGCAGAGGTTGCAGTGAGCCGAGATTGTGCCATTGCACTCCAGCCTGGGCAACAAGAGCAAAACTCCATCTCAAAAAAAAAAAAAAAAATTAGCTTGACATAGTGGCGCATGCCTGTAATCCCAGCTACACAGGAGGCTGAGGCAGGAGAATCACTGAACCTGGTAGGCGGAGGTTGCAGTGAGCCAAGATCGTGTCACTGCATTCCACCCTGGGCAACAGAGTGAGACTCCATCTCAAAAAAAAAAAAAAAGAAAAAAAAGAAAAAATATTAGCCAGGCATGGTAGCCTACAGCCTGTAGTCCCAGCTACTTGGGAGGCTGAGGTGGGAGGCTGGCTTGAATCCAGGAGGTGGCAATTGTAGTGAGCCGAGTTCACACCACTGCACTCCTGCCTGGACAACAAAGCCAGACTCTGTCTAAAAAAAAAAAAAATTTTTTTTTAAGAAGTCACTGAATCAGTCAACTGTCTCATTCACGTAAGGTGAAAAACATAAAAACTAAGTTTGAGACAAGCCACCTATTACCCTTGAGCTACTTTGTGATTTTGTCATAGGACTTATTGGCCTTACACGACAACATCTTACTATGCTTTCCACAGTTCAGATATACAAATTTTAAACCATCTGGTAACTCCAGCACAGTTTATTAAGTCCTATTTGTTCCAATATAGGTAAACTTGGAAGGATTCACACTCAAAACAAATGTTGAAGCCGAGCGCGGTGGCTCACACCTGTAATTCCAGCACTTTGGGAGGCTGAGGCAGGTGGATCACTTGAGGTCAGGAGTTTGAGACCAGCCTGGCCAACATGGTGAAACCCTGTCTCTACTAAAAATACAAAAATTAGCCGGGCGTTGTGGCGGGCGTCTGTAATCCCAGCTGCTTGGGAGGCTGAGGCAGGAGAATCACTTGAACCCAGGAAGTGGAGGTTGCAGTGAGCCGAGATCGTGCCATTGCACTCCAGCCTGGGCAACAAGAATGAAAGTCTGTCTCAAAAAAAAAAAAAAAAAACAAAAACAAAAACAAAAATCAAATGTCTATTGCTTGCTGCTGACTGAAAGCCAAACATTCTTCTCTAGGATAACTCAGCATACTTAATATGGTCTCCAGAAGGGACAAACAAAACTCCCAGATGAAAAGGAACTAAGTGCTGCCAAAGAAAATGCTTCTATTCTCCTTTCATAAGATTAAATAGGTAGGATCCTTGTTCTGAGGGCTATTTTATTTCCAAGACAAAAGCCAAGTTTATTTTTACCTTGAAATTCTGTTAGGAGATAAGGAAGAACTACTGCCATATTTAAAACTTTTCCATTTAAAATATGGCAAAAGTTCAAAACATTGAAGCAGCTTCTAAATATCAAAAAGTAATTTAACACTTGACTTTTTAAAAAAATACAAAAACCATGCTAGAGGATAGTCAGATACCTAACTTGTACATAATGAGGAGAAATTCCAAGTCTTGAATCCTGTGAAGACAGGGCTCCAAATATGAATTTTGGAAAATTATTTCAACCTAGGAGCGTGAACAATTTGAAGCCAATTTGTAAAATATAAAGCTTTAAAACACCATTTGTTCATTTAATTTTTACATATCATTTGATGTGTTCCCATATTACTCTCAATCATTACTGTATTCATGTTCTAAAACCAACGCAATCTTATGATTACTTCAATACTTTTTGCTCAGTAGAAATCAAATCACGTACTGATCTTTATCAAGACAAAAACAATCTCTATAATTCCCCTCCCTTTTTTTTGACACAGGGTCTCACTCTGTCACCCAGGCTGGAGTGCAGTGGTGCAATCTCAGCTCATTGCAAACTCTACATTCCGGGCTCAAATGATACTCCTGCTGACTCAGCCTCCCAAGTACCTGGGACTACAGGCATGGGCCACCATGCCTGACTATTTTTTGTAGGAGAGAGCGTTTTGCCATGTTGCCATGACTGGTCTTGAATTCCTGGAATCAACTGATCCACCCACCTCAGCCTCCCAAAGTGCTGGGATTACAGGTGTGAGCCGCCGCGCCAGGCCTGTAATTCCCTTTATTTTTTATTTTTTGAGACGGAATCTCCCTCTGTCGCCCAGGCTGGAGTCCAGTGGCATAATCTTGGCTCACTGCAACCTCCGCCTCCTGGGTTCCAGCCATTCTCCTGCCTCAGGATCCCGAATAGCTGGGATTACAGATGCGTACGACCATGCTTGGCTAATTTTTTGTATTTTTAGTAGAGATGGGTTTCACCATGTTGGCCAGGCAGGTCTCGAACTCCTGACCTCAAGTGATCCGCCCGCCTTGGCCTCCCAAAGTGCAGGGATTACCAGTGTGAGCCACCACACTTGGCCTGTAATTCCTTTTATTTATTTATTTTTATTTTTATTTTTTATTGAGACAGAGTCTCGCTCTCACCAAGGCTAGAGTGCAGTGGCGCCATCTCAGCTC